>NC_000010.11:124121502-124432982 GCF_000001405.40 Homo sapiens | reverse complement strand
CCCAAATTGCTGGAATTACAGGAGTGAGCCGCTGTGCTCAGCCACTAACTGAATTTTTGTACCCATTCACCAAACCTCTCTTCACCCCTCCCCACCCTTCCCAGCATCTCGTCACTACCATTTGACTGTCTACCTCCGTGAGATCAGCTTTTTAAACTCCTACGAGTGAAAATAGGTGATATTTGTCTTTCTGTGTCTGGCTTATTTCATTTAACATAATGACCTCCAATTCCAAAACCATGTTGCTACAAAGGACAGAATTTCATTTCTTTTTATGGCTGAAGAGAATCCTATCATGTATACATGTACCACATTTTCCTCATCTGTTCATCCATTGAGGGGTACTTAGGTTGAGTCCATATCAGCTTTTTTTTTTTTTAATTCTTTTCTTTTTTTGAGACAGAGTCTCTCTCTATTGGCAGGCTGGAGTGCAGTGGCACAATCTCGGCTCACTGCAACCTCTACCTCCCGGATTCAAGCAATTCTCTTGCCTCAGCCTCCCGAGTAGCTGGGACTACAGGTGTGTGCCACCACGCCCAGCTAATTTTTGTATTTTCAGTAGAGACGGGGTTTCACCATGTTGTCCAGGATGGTCTTGATCTCTTGACCTTGTGATCCATCCGCCGCGGCCTCCCAAACTGCTGGGATTACAGGGGTGAGCCACCGCGCCTGGCCTTTTTTTTTTTTTGAAATGACGTCTCACTCTGTCACCCAGGCTAGAGTGGCACAGTCTCGGCTCACTGCAACCTCCACCTCCTGGGTTCCAGTGATTCTTCTGCCTCAGTCAGCCGAGTAGCTGGAACTGCAGGTGTGCACCACCATACCTGGCTGATTTTTGTATTTTTAGTAGAGACAGGGTTTCACCGCGTTGGCCAGGCTGGTCTTGGAACTCCTGACCTCAGGTGATCCACCCACCTCGGCATCCCAAAGTGCTGGGATTACAGGTGTGAGCCACCGCACCTGGCCCATATCAGCTTTTTTGATCTCATACCATTCAGAATAAGAAAGTAGTGACCCTGCATCATCCCCAATATATGTATTTATCTAAACTATGTGTATATGTTTACATATGCTACAATGCTAACAGATGATCTACATCGCAAAGTAAAATGTACATTTAAAATGATAAGATTTGCTGGGTGTGGTGGCTCATGCCTGTAATCCCTGCACTTTGGGAGGCCAAGACGGGTGGATCACTTGAGGTCAGGTGTTTGAAACCAGCCTGGCCAACATGGTCAAACCCCTTCTCTACTGAAACTGCAAAAATTAGCCAGGTGTGGCAGTGCACGCCTGTAATCCCAGCTACTTGGGAGGCTGAGGCAGGAGAATCTCTTGAACCCAGGAGGTGGAGGTTGCAGTGAGCAGAGATCACACCACTGCACTCCAGCCTGGGTGACACAGCGAGAATCTATCTCAAAAAACTAATAATTAAAATTTAAAAAGGGACAAGATTATAAAACATAAATAGATTTTCTAAACTTTTCTTTCTGCTCATTCATATTTTATCTTATCCCCGCTCCCCATGTTTTGGAGATTGGATCCCAGCAGACAGACTGATTCCTGATGCTTTGCTTTTCTGCTGGGGGATTCCGGGCCTTTTGCAGGTGAGATGTCACCATGTCCTTTAGCACCTATGACATTTTGTACTGTGCCATTGCCATTTATTTCATCTGGGAGAGGCGCTCTCTCCCTTTCTCACTCCCTCTCTCTCTAACAACTCATCGACGTTTGGCGAATCTTGTATCTCTCACACCCCAACATGTTGATGTTGAAAACGTTGCTGTTAAATGACTGAAATAGGTTTTTCCTTTTTCGTTAGCTTAATTATATTTTATTTTTGGATGTTTAGGCATAGTTCTATTTTTCCATAACTTTTTTGGAGGTGTGAATAACAAGCCTTTCTGGATGTGAAATGATTTGAAAGGAAAATCTCACATTAATAAAAAAGCTTTGCTGAATGTGATGGCGCACGCCTGTAGTCCCAGCTACTTGGGAGACCGAGGTGGGAAGATTGCTTGAGCCTAGGAGTTCGAGTCCAGCCTGGGCAACGTAAAATTTTAAAATAACAATAATAATAAAGAAGTTGTTTGTAGCTTTGGAAACATTCATTTTTATTTGTTATTTTATTTTATTTTATTTATTTTTTGAGAGGGAGTCTCCAGGCTGGAGTGCAGTGGTGCGATCTCGGCTCACTGCAGCTTCTGCCTCCCAGGTTCATATGGTTCATGTACCTCAGCTTCCCAAGTAGCTGGGATTATAGGCGCCCGCCACCACGCCCGGCTAATTTTTGTACTTTTAGTAGAGATGGAGTTTCACCGTCTTGGCCAGGCTGCTCTCGAACTCTTGACCTCGAGTGATCTGCCTGCCTCAGCCTCCAAAAGTGCTGGGATTACAAGCTTGAGATACTGCACCCGGTGTGATTTTTACTTGTAATTTTAAACATGTTTTGCATAGCCATGAGAAGTATTTTTTGGCTGGGCTTGGTGGCTCATGCCTATAATCTCAGCACTTTGGGGAGGCCGAAGTGGGAGTATTGCTTGGTCCAGGAGTTGTAGATCAGCCTGGGCAACATAGAGAGAGGCCATCTCTACAAAAAAAAAAAAAAAAAAAAAATTAGCTGGGCGTGACGGCACATACCTGAAGTCCCAGCTACTCTAAAGTAGAAGGCTAAAGTGGGAGGATCACTTGAGCCTGGGAGATTGAGGCTGCAATGAGCGATGATTATGTCACTGTACTCATCCTGGGCAACAGATCAAGACCCCATTTCAAAAAAAAGAAGTAATTTTTTTCTTTCTTTCCTGTGGTCACAGATTGCTAAAATCAATAAAAATGAACTACTTAGAAAAATGATAATGCACTTTGGTATTGCAACAAGGTAAAGTTGCTCTACATTCTCTGACTACTGTCAATTTCCGCAGTATCTCCTTGAGAGACTGGCACCAGCCCATAGACCACACATTGGGCAGCACGCTTCCTCTCATCCAAGCCCTGGGTTTAGAGTCTTAACCTTATTGTTGGACATGTAGGCAAGTCCTTTGACCCAGCAATCCCCCTTGCAGGGCTTTATCATACAAACATACCTGCATGAAATGTCAGAGACAGTGTCCTTTGTGGCACTGTTTATCATAGCAAAAGACTGGAACTAATCCAAGTGTTCGGCAACATAGGGCTGTTATGTAGCTGTAAAAAAGAACGAAGGAGAGCTCTCCATACTGACACAGACAGAAGTCCATGCGTATTAAAGGGTAAAGTCCCAGGCCAGGTGTGGTGGCTCATGACTGTAAGTCCAGCATTTTGGGAGGCCAAGGAGTTCGAGACCAGCCTGGGTAACATGGCAAAACCTCATCTCTACTACAAATACAAAAATTAGCCAGGCATGGTGGCTCGTGCCTGTAGCCCCAGCTACTTGGGGGGCTGAGGCAGGAGACTGCTTGAGCTCAGGAGACGGAGGTTGCAGTGAGCCCAGATCGCGACACTGCACTGCAGCCTGGGCAATAGAATAAAAGAAAAAAGGAACACAGTCTCATTTTTTTTTTTAAAAAGGTAAAGTACAAAAAGCACATATGTGTTACAGTGAAAAAACAATGACACGTATTTGTATTTGCTTCTATTTGCATGAAGAACCATTGAAAGGATAAACGAGGAAGCAGTGTAAAGCATTGCCCACTATGGGCTGAGTGGGGTTGAAGCAGGAAAGAGAATTCTCAGTGTACTTTTTAATTTGCCTTGATTTGTGAAGAAAGGAAATGAATTAACTGTTTATAAAAGAGAAAGGCCAGGCGCGGTGGCTTACGCCTGTAATCCCAGCACTTTGGGAGGCCGAGGCGAGAGGATCACCTGAGATCGGGAGTTTGAGACCAGCCTGATCAACATGCAGAAACCCCGTCTCTACTAAAAATAGAAAATTAGCTGGGCATGGTGGTGCATGCCAGTAATCCCAGCTACTCAGGAGGCTGAGGCAGGAGAATCGCTTGGACCTGGGAGGCCAAGGGTGCGGTGAGCTGAGATCCTTGCGGTTGCACTCCAGCTTGGGAAACAAGAGTGAAACTCCGTCTCAAAAACAAAAACAAACAAACAAAAAACAAACAGAAAGAAGGAGTTGCCTGGGGGAGAAAATGTCAAAGAGGAAAGTAGTTCTATAGAGTGATGAAAAAAAAAGGAAAGAAAAGGAAAGAGCTAGATGCTGTAACTTACATACCTTGAAGGTTTCCAAAGTTCCTTCTAGCATCAAACTTTGGAAGTTTAGAAGAAAATTTAAACTGTCTTTTGACAATCTGCCAGTGGGGCACTGGGCTACCTCCCCGGATTTATCTCAAGCTTCCTCTAGAAAATTACCAAGTAGGAAGTGTTAATATGGTTTGTTTATTGTGCAGAGGAAGACCAACTCAGAGTGAAATTCAAAACCTGTAATACAGCCTCACTGTGCTTCCCAAACTCCAGGGAGTGGCAGAGATAACTCCAGGGTGGCCAGGGTTTGCGCCAGTGTGGGAACAGTTTTCTGAGCTGTCTGCAGGACACCTTATTCAACAGAATAAAAAAAAGTGGATTTTTCTGAGTACAATTACTCAAGCAGATCCCAGATCCTGGTGATCATTGCTCTCTTCTCTTCTCTTCTCTTCTCTTCTCTTCTCTTCTCTTCTCTTCTCTTCTCTTCTCTTTTCTTTTCTTCAAGGTCTCTCTCTGTTACCTGGGCTGGGCTAGAGTGCGGCTCACTGCAGCCTCAACTTC
Source organism: Homo sapiens (assembly GCF_000001405.40). NCBI lineage: Eukaryota > Metazoa > Chordata > Mammalia > Primates > Hominidae > Homo > Homo sapiens. The sequence continues at coordinate 124,428,254 of NC_000010.11, read as the reverse complement.
CTGGGCTCAGGTGATCCTCCTACCTCAGCCTCCAGAATAGCTGGGACAACAGGCATGCACCACCATGCTCGGCTAATTTTTGTATTTTTTATAGAGACAGGGTTTAGCCATTTTGCCCAGGCTTGTGTCGAATTCCTGGACTCAAGAGATCCACCCACATCAGCCTCCCAGAGTGTTGGGATTACAAGTGTGAGCCATCGCATCCGACATCATTGCCTTTTAAATAGACACTTTTAAAAAGCCTTCTAAGTATGTGTACTTGATTTCTTTAGATTTCAATAAGAATCTCTGTAGAAGAGGGAAGATTCAAAGCTAGAGGACTTGGAGAAGGGCCTTCACTTATCATTGTAAATAAAGATAATTACACTACCTTGTACTGAGCCGCCAGGTGGCTTAGAAGTAGCTGGAGAAGCGTCACATGTGTCAGTGATCCTTAGAACAACCCCTTTTACAGGATGGGATAAGTGAGGCTTGGGGTCTCAGGTTACCTAACTGATTATCGATAGAGTCAGGATTTGACTTCTGGATTGCCTCAATCCAAAGCCTGCTCTCTCAAGCACTCTGTAGTATGAACGCTGGGTGCTCTGGGGTCTGGCTAACATGTTCCTTAGAGCATTGGCCACAGTCAAGACTGACACCGGCATGTGCCTCAGAGGGCCAGAGCTGAAATGTATTTAATTGCCTTAATTTTCTTTGGAATCAAAAGGCTGTGCACTGCCCTTTGCAAATTAGGAGCCCTGCCGAAACAGTTCAAAATTGAATTAAAAGTGGAGAGAGGCCAGGCATGGTGGCTCACACCTGTAATCTCAGCACTTTAAGAGGCTGAGTGGGAGGATCACTTGAGCTCAAGAGGAGTTCGAAACCAGCCTGGGCAACATAGTGAGACCGCCCCCGTTATGTCTACAAAAAAAAAAAAAAATAGCTTGGCATGGTGGCACACACCTGTGGTCCCAGCTGCCTAGGAGGCTGAGGCAGGAGGATTGCTTGAGCCCAGGAGTTTGAGGCTGTGGAGAGCTGTGATTGTGCCACTGCACTCCAGCCCAGGTGACATAGCGAGACCCTGTCTCAAAAACAAAACAAAACAAAAACAAAAGAGGTAATTTGTATGATCAAAGGACTAAGTCAAACTTAAGGTGGTGGAGAAGAATATAACTTAAGGATCTCCAAGAATTTTTTTTTAATTTTTTTTTTTGTGATACGATCTCGGCTCACTTCAACCTCCACCTCCACCTCCTGGGTTCAAGCGATTCTCGTGCCTCAGCCTCCCGAGTAGCTGCAATTGCAGGCACATACCACTGCGCCCAACTGATTTTTTGTATTTTTAGGGGTTTCACCATGTTGGCCAGGCTGGTCTCGAACTCCTGACCTCTAGTGATCTGCCCGCCCCGATCTTCTAAAGTGCCAGGTGGGTGAGCCACCGCGTCCAGCCTGTAACTAAAATCTTTTGGGGGAGAATACAGGTTAAAGGAAAGGATCCTGGCCGGGTGCGGTGGCTCACGCCTATAATCCCAGCACTTTGGGAGGCCAAGGAGGGCAGATCATTAGGTCAGGAATTTGAGACCAGCCTGGCCAATATGGTGAAACCCCGTGTCTACTAAAAAATACAAAAATTAGCCAGGCATGGTGGCGCCCGCCTCTAGTCCCAGTAGTCCCAGCTACTTGGGAGGCTGAGGCAGGAGAATTGTTGGAACCCAGGAGGTGGAGGTTGCAGTGAGCCGAGATCGTGCCACTGCACTCCAGCCTGGTGACAGAGCGAGACTCTGTCCCCCAACTCCAAAAATAAAAAAAGAGAACAAAAGAAAAAAGAGAGAAAGGAAGGATTCTATATGACTTTTTTTTTTTTTAATAGGGTCTCACTCTGTCGCCCAGACTGGAGCGCAGTGGCACCATCTCGGCTCACCGCAACCTCTGCCTCCCAGGCTCAAATGATTCTCCTGCCTCAGCCTCCTGGGATTACAGGCGCACACCACTACCACCCAGCTAATTTTGTATTTTTAGTAGAGACGGGGTTTCACCATGTTGGCAAGGCTGGTCTTGAACTCCCGACTTCAAATTATCCACCCACCTTGGCCTCCCAAAGTGCTGGGATTACAGATGTAAGCCACTGTGCCCAGCTTCCTATACCACGATTAAGGATGTGACAGCCACAAAGACAGAGCGTATTGATGACCCAAATACCAGGACTGGCATTGCTTTTGGTGAACTCGATTGTCCCAAACGGTGAAACTCTCTGCAAAGTTCTGTGCAAAAAATATTAAATGTTTTCAGCAAAGATGAAATGATTTACAATACCCATTGTATTAATATATTTATTTCATAGCATTTCATATATTTATTCCATACATTTACTTAGGTCAACAATTTCAGGAATAAACTGTGGAAATTTCTTCTTTTCTGGTTTGTTTTTATTATAGTCCAACTTCAAAGAGTCAGAATTAAAGTCCTCAAAAGAAAAGTAATCAAAGTTATCTAAGTTTGCCATCATGGAATCAATAAAAAAAATCATTGCAAAACACACTGATCTTCTTAGTACCTAAATAGATAAGGATATAAAGTAAATGTTTAACTAGTAATTGAGGTTTATCTTATTTTTTAAAATTAACGAGCAATGTAATATTCTTTAAATAAATACTGCTGCTCATTCCTTAAATTTTTATTAAAAACTTTTATTTCAGCCTTTTTTGTTCTTAGTCAAAATTCTTACTTCTGATTAAATGTCTCAAATGTGGAACATGATTGGTAGAACACACAGTTTCTTGGCTGTCCCTGTGACCCATTTCGTAAGACAGGTGGGGGCCCTTTACCTTGGAATCTTGGATTGGATTTCTCTGCCTTTAAAAGAGTTAGATTAGTTTTTTTTTTTTTTTTTTTTTTTACAGAGTCTCACTCTGTCACCCAGGTTGAAGTGCAATGGTGCGATCTTGGCTCTTGGCAATCTCTGCCTCCTGGATTCAAGCGATTCTCCTGCCTCAGCCTCCCAAATAGCTGGGATTACAGGCATTTGCCATCATGCCCAGCTACATTTTTTTAGAGATGGGGTTTCACCATGTTGGCCAGGCTGGTCTTGAACTCCTGACCTCAGGTGATTCGCCTGCCTTGGCCTCCCAAAGTGCTGGGATTACAGGCATTAGCCACCGAGCCTGGCCTAGATTAGGTTTTAAAGTGTCTCTTTATCTCTAAAATCTATTCTGTATTTGCATCTCTAATGCCTATGTTCATAAGAAAGAAAACATATTATTTTTCTTTTTTTTTTTTTTTTTGAAATGAAGTCTTGCTTTTGTCCCCCAGACTGGAGTGCAATGGCACGATCTCGGCTCACTGCAACCTCCGCCTCTCAGGTTCAAGCGATTCTCCTGCCTCAGCCCCCCAAGTAGCTGGGGTTACAGGTGCCTGCCACCATGCCCAGCTAATTTTTGTGTTTTTAGTAGAGATGGGGTTTCATCATGTTGACCAGGCTGGTCTCGAACTCCTGACCTCAGGGGATCTGCCCGCCTCAGCCTCCCAAAGTGCTGGGATTACAGGCGTGGGCCGCTGCGCCCAGCCAACATATTATTTTTCAATATTGAGCCTTAGCTGACTTTCACAGCTCCGTGAGCCTAATGGCTTTTTACGTCTTTGCTTCTGGGCTAATTTGAATAGTCCTGACCCCCTGGCTTGGTAAGCTGAATGGGCCTGGTCCTCCTCCATCCCTCTTCTGGTATTTTCTGTTCCCCCCACTCCCCTGTACCCAGTTTTTCAGGCACCCAGTGTCCTCTGGCCTCAGCCCCCCAGCTCTCAAGATCCTCGCAGAGGCTCCCCTCCAGATCTCATGCCACATCCAGAGAATTGTCAATCTCCTCTCCAGACAACTGTAAATGTGCCAGGCCCAGGTGACATTCCTTCAGCGGGACAGTTAGCCAAATGTAAATGGGCAATAATGCTTTGAAGTATCCTCCTGCCTTCAACTCAAGCTTCTAGGGCTTTAATTTGAATAGCTGTCGCTATTCTAGGGTTGAGGAGAGGCTCTTGGAATCTCAGAACCACTCCCAAAATGATTACCTGCTCTGCCTCTGATTCCTGTCCAGAGGAATAAAGATGAATAGTGACGAACGAGTGTAGAATAGTAATTTCTACTAGAGCCATGTAGAGATGGGCGCTGGGAGGCTGTGAAAATCCTGCAAGACAAGCTCTGCCTTTAAGAACTTAAATGTGGTTGGGAAGATAAGACACTGCCAACCTCAAATAATGAGACTCAGAAAATACAGTGAAGTATAGAGTTTATTCAAGCCCAAAGCTTGAGGATGGCCACCTGGGAACAATCCATTCAAGTTGCCCTTATCATACACTCTGATTGACGTCAGTTACAAGTGGGTTTTTTTTGTTTTGTTTTTGTTTTTGTTTTTGTTTTTTGAGACAGAATCTTGCTCTGTTGCCCAGGCTGGAGTGCAGCAGCGTGATCTCTACTCACTGCAACCTCCACCTCCTGAGTTCAAGAGATTCTCCTGCCTTAGCCTCCAGTGTAGCTGGGATTACAGGTGCATGCCACCACTCCTGGCTAATTTTTGTATTTTCAGTAGAGACGGGATTTCACCATGTTGGCCAGGCTGGTCTCGAACACATGACCTCAAGTGATCGGCCGCCTTGGCCTCCCAAAGTGCTGAGATTACAGGCGCGAGCCACCGTGCCCAGCCCCAAGTGGGTTTTTAAGGAAAAAAGAAAAGGCAATTCCTAAATTGTTTACCAAGAATTTACATTAAAATAAGCTACTGATTGTCTATACATTGTTTTTTGTAACTTAAATTCCAGGAACATGAGATGAGTGTGTTAGGTAGTCAGGAACAAAAATGCCTTTAAACATCTACCCCCGGGCATGAGTTTTGGGGGTTGTAACTGATGTCTGGTGTTGGTGTTTCTCTGGCCTGATTTTGCAAACCTTGAATACCTGCTACGAGTGAGTTTTCATTTCATTTTTTTTTTTTTTGAGACAGAGTTTCACTCCTGTTGCCAAGGCTGGAATGCAATGGCGTGATCTTGGCTCACTGCAACCTCTGCCTCCCGGGTTCAAGCGATTCTCCTGCCTCAGCCTCTCGAGTAGCTGGGACTACAGGCATGCGCCACCATGCCTGGCTAATTTTGTATTTTTAGTAGAAACGGGGTTTCCCCATGTTGGTCAGTCTGGTCTCAAACTCCCGACCTCAGGTAATCCTCCCACCTCGGCCTCCCAAAGTATTGGGATTATAGGTGTGAGCCACTGCGCCCAGATGAGTGAGTTTTCTTTTCTCAAATTGATAGAGCTAGAGAGCCAGAGAGATATTGTAGGTTAAAAAACGACCGCAGGCCAGGCATGGTGGCTCACACCTGTAATTCTAGCACTTTGGGGGGCCGAGGCCGGAGGATTGCTTGAGCCCAGGAGTTTGAGACCAGCCTGAGCGAGATGTCGAGACCCTGTCTCTATGTGTATTTTTAAATTAAAAAAAGAAAAAAGACTGCAGGCCAGCCTGACGTGGACAGGAAGTGCTCAGGAAGAGGACGAGGCCCCTTCAGTCTCAGTCGTCAGGGAGGGTCTCACCTGGGGGACGGGAAGGGGTTGCAGCCTGAGTTCGTAGGTGGAGCTTGGCTCCGGGAGAGAAAAATTAATACTCCCGTCAGGCACAGCCTCATATGAGGACCCATAGACGAACGGCAACATTTCTGAGTCTCTGTCTATCATTCCCAGTTCAGAACGTTTACCATCGATCACTCTCCCACTGTCCTCGATGCCTTGCTTAACTTGCTCCTTCCAGATCCCTGCCTTTCTGGACTTAAAGGAGGTTTGCTCTCCACCAGACCTAAATACCTGTCCTGACTTGGTGCACTGGGAGCAGGAAGGATGCGTTACACATGTTGCCCAGACTTCTGCTGCGAAGACATCTTTTTAGGGTGAATGTAATCTGGGAAACAAAATTTCTCCTGCAGGTTAAAAATCACCAAACACTTATTTTCTCTGTGTCGTTATCAGTTTTCCTCCTTGGCTGTCAGCTTGGATTTTCCTTTTTAATCATTTGAAGCCCAGGTATATGCAGACTATACTAATAAGAAGTCAGGACGAGTGGGACAATAAAGGAAGCAACGCAAAGCAAGAGATCTGCATAGCCCACCCGTTGTTTTTCTGGCCACTAAATACTAGAGAGTTGTCTGTATAAGAAAATCAATGATTCTTTCCTTTTTTAAAATACAGTTGCAGCTTTTTTAGATGACCAATGTCGCAAGATTTTTGTTCACATCTGTTAAAGGAGCATTTCTGGAACTTCTCCCTCCTTACTGAAGAGACTCATATGGGTCGGGCATGGTGGCTCATGCCTGTAATCCCAGCACTTTGAGAGGCAGAGGTGGGCAGATTGCTTGAGTCCAGGAGTTCAAGACCAGCCTGGACAACATGGTGAAACTCCATCTTTACCAAAAAGATATAAAAATTAGCTGGGCGTAGTGGCATGCGCTTGAAGTCCCAGTTACTCAGGAGGCTGAGATGGGTGGATCCAGGAGGTAGAGGTTGCAGTGAGCCATGACCATGCCACTGCACTCCAGCCTTGGCGCCAGAGCGAGACTCTGTCTCAAAAAACAAACAAACAAACAAACAAACAAACAAAAAGGACTCACATGGTGTTGCCTGATGATGTGAAACCCCTCGCAAGGTCAGGCACCTGAGGCACTCAAAGGACATTTGTCGAATGAACTGATGAAATGAATTTAGGTCTTGGATGTCTGTTATGAGGGCCATGGAGTTTTGCTCTTGTTGCCCAGGCTGGAGTGCAATGGCACAATCTTGGCTCACCACAACCTCCTCCTCCCGGGTTCAGGCGATTATCCTGCCTCAGCCTCCGAAGTAGCTGGGATTACAGGCATGCGCCACTGTGCCTGGCCTGAGGGCCACTCTTTATATCCTCAGGTTTTATGGTCCCCATATAGTTAATTACTTGAATTATTAATAGTTTTTAGAGACTCAAAAATCTTTGTAATGTGCACTTTACCTTTATGTTTCTAGATTGAACAAATAAAATACATACAAATAAAGCAGCTCTGTTTCTTGGTTGAAAAGAAGCAGCTTTCAAGTTCAGGTCTCTCTGTCAAGGCCACATTATGCTGAAAAACAACTCTAGTACAGAGACCATAAAATGTTATCATGCTTTCTGGACCTATTGCATTTTTCTGATAAGAGGAAAGAGATAAAACCCAGACATTTCCAGCAACTTCTTGCATATGAAACTCCTTAAAGAGCACCTTATCTGTGAGCCCAAAGACATTGTAACATACTTTATGTTACCCCTGGATCCTGGGTGTCATGTGCCTCTCCTGAACTCACCTGCTCCTCCTTGACAAGGCATAACTCGGGAGTCTTGGGCTCTATAAGAGTTCCAAGAGCTGGGCATGGCCCCACATACCTGCCCAGGTTTATAGAGCAGGACCATGGAGAAACCATTCCTTTCTGACCCCTTGGGCAGAATAACCTAACTTCCAGGAAGTTAATCACATTGTATTGGGTGCTGTGGAGGAACATGAAAGAAATAAAAGGCAATGTTCTGCTCTCAGTGAGTTCTGGAGAGCCCATGGCCACAACAGTCTGAGAGAGTGACCTTGGTATAGGGCAGATGGAGCCCAGGGGGACTGAATCCCTTTTGGTGTCTTGCTCTGCACATCTGCAGATACTGGCTCTGCTGTTCACAGCTCTGCACCCATATCACTTTCTTATCCCTACCATTTAGCATGGACTTTACTTTCTGCTTAGCTAAGACTTATCTTAGCCAGTTATGTATGTTGGATGTCTTCCAATTGCTCCCCTACCCCGTCTCCACCCTTTTCCACCCTGCTGTTTGTCCCAGGAGGCTGAGCTGTCTTAAAGGGCTCCCCTGGCCTCTGGCCTCCTAATGGCTTCAGCCCATGTGGAAGCCTGACAGGAGATGCTCATTGTCCAGCTCCTTCCCATGCAGTTGCTGATGACTTTGGTGACCAGATAGCCTTTCCCACACTCCTCTCTTTGGGTTCTGGAATTCTGGAAACCCCACTTGGAGGCCGTTGGGCCTAGGATGGATAATGGCCCTCGCTGGTGCATGAGACCCAGGTTATTTCTCCATCCCTTGTGGTTTACTTGCCTACATTGATTGATTGATTGGTTGATTAAGATAGATGGTCTTGCTTTGTTGCCCAGGCTGGAGTGCAGTGGTGCAGTCATAGGTCACTGCAGCCTCAACCTCCTGGGCTCAAGTGATCCTCCCACCTCAGCCTTTGGAGTAGCTGGGAACATAGGTGTGCCACCACACCAGATTAATTTTTATTTTTTTTTGTGGAGACGGGGTCTCACTGTGTCGCCCAGGCTGGTCTGGAACTCCTGGGATCAAGCAATCCTCCTGCCTCGGTCTGCCAAAGTGCTGGGATTACAGGCATGAACCACGGGCCCCCACCACCACGTTTTAGGAAATGTTCACATTGGAGTGTGCCCTCTGTTTCCAGCTGGGCCCCCGACTGGTCATTGTGGTCTAATGGAGTGTGGTGCCGGCAGCTGCCAGCGCCTGCCCTCTGAGAGGGGTGGCGAGGGGCACACAGGACCAGACTGCCCCTACTGTTGGATGACTGGGTAAGTCGCTTTCCTTCTCTGGGTCTCTGTTTTCCAATATTTAACATCTTGTTGTGGGCTAAGTGAAGTCCAAGTCCCTTCCGATTCTAACATGAGGTTGTCCCGGAATATCTATTTTGTGTTCTGAATTTAATAACCGGCTGTGGAGGGCACCACAGGCAAATCTGTACTGTGAGTGGGTTGCTGCCACTCAATTATCTGACAGCAGCTGCGAACAGGTGGGCAGTGTGTTTTCCATAGGCAGCGACGACTTTTGGAGGTGGATTCAGAGGCACAACTAAGCCGCGCGGCGCATCAGGGTTCAAGGGCATGGGGCTCCCGCAGCTGTGGCTGGGGCAGAGCTGGGGCTGGTCCCTCCCTCCAGGAGCACAGGGCGGGCGGTCCAGCCTCACGTCTCTCGGCCTCCAGCCACACCCGGCCCGCGCAGTGGGGGGCCCAACAGACTTTTCCTTTTCGGGCCTCAGTCTTCTCGTCAGCAAGGGCGGACAAGGACTCTTCTCGTCCCGCCAGAGGAGGCGACCGAGGGGCCTGAGCTCAGGTACAGGCCGGCGGGCTCAGGAGGCGCGAGCGCGGATCGAATCCGCGGGAGGAGCAAAGATCCTTGATGCGCGGCCGGAGGGCGGGGCGGAGGACGGGACCCACGCGATTGGTATCCTGCCCTCCGCCCCAGCCAATGAGCGGCGAGGGTGTCTTGGGGGCGGGGCAGAATCAGCCTTTAAGTTGCAGTGACTCTCCGGCGTCACTGTTGCGCTTCATAGACGCCGCGTGTACCCGGTTGTCCTCAGGCGCTGTCAGGTACCGTCTGGGCGCCGCTGTCCTGGGGCTCTGGTTCGGGCCCTGGCCGGGGTTCCCTGACAGCGGCGGGGGAGGCGGGCGGGCGCGGGGTGGCCGCGGCCCGGGTTCGGGGGATGCTGGCTGAGGGGGCGCGCTGGGCCTCGGCCGGGGAACGAGCCCCGCTTCAGCGGCCCGTTTACTCTGCGGGCGGCTCGGACCCGGGCGCCCTGGAGTCTCCGGCCGGCGCGCAGCTTCAGGGGGCAGGGGCGTGGCGACCCACGGCTTGCAGGCCGGAGTCCTGGTTCCAGCCCAGAGCGGCCGACGGGCGGGCGGCAGGGAGAGGCTGAGGATGTGGCAGCCCCGCCTGCCAGACCGGGCGGAGCCGCCGCCCCCTGCGCTCGCGGCCTGTGGAGGCCAGGACTCGGCCCACCCGGCCCAGAGACCCCGAGGCGCCCCGGGGTTCCGGGTAGGAGGCCTTTGGGCACCCTTGGTTCCTGGGGTTGGCGGGGAGGCTGCGTTCTGGGGACGGGGGAGCTGTGCAGTAAACCGGTGGCCCTGGTCACGCGGCGGGGGCGCTGATGCAGCCTTGGAGGGCTGGGTCCTCCCGGCCTGCTCCTGCGCCCTGCAGATCGGCCTGCCCATCGCTCCCCTCTTCCAGCCTATGATTTTTTTTCTCCAGCCTCTGTCGAAATAAAGAAAATTACGGAAGCAGAACCTTCCTTACAGTAACGTGCAGGTTAATTAGATGGTGGGGGATGGGGGGGCAACAGGACTTTCAGCATGAAAACCTCCCGTTGGGGGCTTTTTGCAAACCCTGCTGAGCATCAGTAAATGGGCCTGGCCAGTGCGTTTCCTCGATCGCCTTCCCGGGCGGGACGGGAGGGGTCATTGTCCGCCCTTTGCTGGCGAGAGGACTGAGGCCCGAAGTCACCTGGGCACTCGCCCTGTGACCCACCGTCTCCTTTTGTCACTCTACATCTTACCTTTTCGGTGTTCAGTTTTACCTCTTAGATAAATTACGGTGATAAATTAAGGGCGAACAGACAGTGACTTTGGAATGAAGTGGCTTTACCTTAAGAAATGACTAATGTTCAGTTTCCAAATTCTAAATTTCTCCTTCTGGGATTGAAAGGGTTTCTGTGGATAAGCTAGTTCTTTCAGTTAACCCCGGAACTGTTCTTTAGATTGTAATCAATCGCTCTTAGCCATGTGAAATAACAATAGACTCCTTTCATTAGAATATCCTGGTTCTGTCTTTAGATGAATCTTTTCATAAAAACGAGCGTTAAATTAAAAAGCTTATTTTTAGCCCGGCACGGTGGCTCACACCTGTGTAATCCCAGTATTATGGGAGGCCCAGGCAGGCGGATCACCTGAGGCCAGGAGTTTGAGACTAGCCTGGCCAACATGGTGAAACCCTTTCTCTACTAAAAATACAAAAATTAGCCAGACATCGTGGTGCGCGCCTGTAATCCCAGCTACTCGGGAGGCTGAGGCAGGAGAATTGCTTGAACCCGGGAGGCAGAGCTTGCAGTGAGTTGAGATCGTGCCACTGCACTCCAGCCTGGGCGACAGACTCCGTCTCGAAAAAAAAAAAAAAAAAAAAAAAAGCTTATAGTTTTGGGTTTACAGTTTTTCATGGTGTTTAAGATTAGTTTTGCATCCCCCCCCCAAAGAAAAATCCAGTATAACTTTAAATAGTAAACATTTTTAAAAGACATTTTTCCCTCAAAGCAGCTGTCTTAATATGTATTATCCCCATAGCGTGCCTTTATTACAGTTATTTGTGTGCATATTTTATGCCCTTTAGTGAGTTCTTGAGGACCTTTCAAATCTCAAACATTTACAAATAGTGATGAATGCACGAATTTGGATGTGTGTGGAGGATGTGCTGTAGTTGACCCCGGTCCTTTCTCAGTAGTAAAACTAGTTGTTTGCCAATGATGCACTTGGCTTGAATTTTAGCCAGAATACTGATTACGTCAAAGAGACTTCTGTTGGTAGAACTTTTTTTTTTTTTTTTTTTTAAAGGCCTGTATTTGTGAATGGTTACCTCAGGAAAAGTAAATATTTGTCAAAATAGCAAGAACAAATTTACTCCTCAAGTTGAATATTTTAAGTGGCTTTTGGACAACTTTACGCCGACTATTCTTTTAGAGTAAGAAAATAGTTTTTAAGAGTATAGGCTAAATTAACTTCAAAATGCAGCCTTTTGTGGAAATTCTACTGTAGGTATGTTCTAATGTAGATGGATGGGCTAGATGGAGGGAGTAATGGTAGCCTGAAGGACCCTGTTAATTACGTGGATAAAACCTTCAGTGTTAGAATTCTAGCTTGCCAAGAGCAATTTGTTCTCATTTCCAGGACCTGAGTATGGGCGTCAGGTAGATGCATGATAGCTGCCTGGAACACATTATTTTGACCTTTGAAGGCCATTAGATCTAATGAAGTAAACTCTTGATGAAGAGATGAGTTATTCTAGATGAGGTCAGAGAGTGAACACCCCCTCTTAGAGTTAGACTCAACCTGGTCAGGGATAGGTGATCCCATGGTCTTGATCACTTGCTACCTTGACTCCCTCAGGAGTCCTAAGTAAGACTGACCTCTTTATCTGATAAAGGCCCACAGGATGCCCAACCTGGGCTAGGTTCTAGGAATGCAAAGTGAATTTTACTGTTTTTTAAAGGAGCTTAGAGTATAGACTTATAGGCATAAAAACAAGTGGCCTGCAGTGTTAGGACCCGTTACAAGTCTGCACAGTCCCTGGGAGTCTCTAGGAGGGACTTAAATAGTAAATTCTATAGGGGAGGGTGAAAAAAAGCTAATATGGATGCTAATTATGCATAGAAAAAATAACCAAATGTTAATGGTTATCATGCAAGTGTAAAATTGCTGGTAATTTTCTTGTCTGTGTTTTCTAATTTTTTATCAACTGAAAAATGGTGTGTGTGTGTCTTTTTAAACAGTTTTAAAAATAAATCATGGCACTGTTGATTCTGATATTTCAGAAACTGGCTAGTTTTAAGGGCAAAAGGGAACTGAGTGGCCATTTTGTGCTGGATTTGGCACAGTAACATTAACCCATTTCATCCTCAGTGACACTTCAACCTCCTTTTACAAATGGGGAGACTGAAGCTCAGAAAGATTGACAGAATCACCCAGAGTTACTCTTCAGAACCACAGACAGAATTTAAAATCCCGGTCTCCAAACTCGGGATTTTCCGCTTGATTCTCCCGGTTTTGAAACCTTTTTGGAAGAGGCTGTTATTGATGTTGGCTATTTTTAAGTCCATCTTAATTCTGCTCTAAGATTTCTCATACAGTGCCAAGCACAGTAACTTGAACACAGAAGGTTCTTTAATAGAAATGCGTTTACAGGATTTTGATACATCATGGCTCATCCAGTTTCTGACCTTTCCCAGTTGAATTAAATATCCAGAATTCATCTTAAAAACCTTAAGAATAGCTGACTCAGGGGTGTGTGCCTGTAGTCCCACCTCTTCCTGAGGCTGAGGCAGAAGGATCCCTTGAGCCCAGGTGTTCGAGGCCAACCTGGGCAACATAGCTGAGACTCCATCTGTAAGTGAAAAGAAACAAAAACCTTAAGAATGAGTATTAGTAATGTTTTGAATGATATTATTTTGTCCCCAGTTATTCTTTAATAAAACTGCCTAAACTTAACAGGTAAATGAATTTTTCATCCCATTTCTGTTGGAAATTAGCTGTGCAGATAACTTTTATATAAAATAAGAATGTTGAATTTAGATAATCTCTGATATTCCTTTTTTTTTTTTTTTTTTTTTTTTTTTTTTTTTTTTTAGCGCTTTGTAGCCCAGGCTGGAGTGCTGGTGGCACAGATCGTGGCTCACTGCAGCCCAGAACTCAGGGCTCAAGAGATCTTTCCACCTTAGTCTTAGTCTCCTAAGTACCAGATACTACAGGTACGCATCGCCACACCTGGCTAATATTCATATTTTTTATAGAGATGGGGTCTCCCTATGTTGCCCAGGTTGATCTTTAACTCCTGGGCTCAAGTGATCTGCCTTGGCCTCCCAAAGCGCTGGGATTATAGGCGTGAGCCACCTTGCCTGGCCCTAGAAAGTTGTTACGGTTTAGAGCACCACTAAGTATTGCCTGAGTGTTTTACTGCTAATTTGATAGGCAAAAATTAATGTTCTAATTTTTTAGTTGATCAAACAATTTATTCATACTGAGTAAAGCATAAAGAGTCCAAGAAAGAAATCATACATGAGTGTTTTAGACTTAGCAGTAGTATTTTGGGGAAGTTACATATAGTACAGTTAGACATTTTTGCTAGCAGCTACCTCCAGTTGGATGATTCTTACATCACTTTTGTTTTGATTGTTGGTACCCACCCCTTTGAGATAAAGTCTGATGAAAGTTATGGACCTTCTTCTTGGAAAAATATACGTCTGCATGTAATTCTGCATTTTATTTCAGGAGATTTTGGACTCTCTGCAGACTGTCCCTGGATCTTGGGTTAAAAATCTGTATTCTAGACTGAACCGTGGGAAGAAAAAATAGTCAGTGAGTCTTTGGCAAACCGGAGTACTGGATTTTGTTTAGCAATTGCAAATTCCTGAACATACTGGATTTACTGGGTAGTGCCAAGTTTAAAGGGAAGTAAGCCAAACTCCAAGTATTATGTTTTGCTAATTTGGCAGCTCGAATCAAGAGTGGCTGTGAGATTATACATGGTTTGACTTGTCATTGGTAGACTTCTGTTGAAACATGAATTAACTAGTCTTTTAGAAAGTAAGTATAGATGGAATAAGTATGCCTAGTTTTTGGCAACTTTCTCCTAATCATGAATTTATCTTTAAGCTTTTTTTTTTTTTTTCCTTCCAGAGGTGATTCCTATGCACATGCTCTAATTTCCTTTTAATTATTAGTTTCTTTCATAGCTTAGTTTTTACTTCATGGCTTATCAGGATGCTTAATGGTAAATTGGGTACAAAGAGGTGTGTGAAGCCTTGTGGAGGGGCTAGTTTTAGGGCTGGGGGTGACTGGGGAGAGTAGCTATGGCTCTGACTTATGTGATGGGGCGGCAGGGTAAACACCAGCCTGCTCAGTGATGTTTAGACTTTAACACTCATACAAGTAACGGATTGTAGTTTGTAGTTTGACTCTCTCTAGTTTCTCAGTTACCTTTTGCTAACAATAGCTTTTTCGTTTGTTTGTTTGTTTTTTGAGACGGAGTTTCACTCTTGTTGCTCAGGCTGGAGTGCAATGCGCAGTCTTGGCTCACTGCAGCCTCGTCCTCCCAAGTTCAAGCGATTCTCCTGCCTTAGCCTCCTGAGTCGCTGGGATTACAGGCATGCACCACCACGCCTGGCTAATTTTGTATTTTCAGTAGAGACGGGGTTTCTCCATGTTGGTCAGGCTGGTCTCGAACTCCCGATTCAGGTGATCGCCTGCCTCTGCCACCCAAAGTGCTGGGATTATAGGCATGAGTCACCGCACCTGGTCAACAATATCTTTTATGCTACAATTTTTCAGGATAAGTTTTGTAGAAACAACCATCCTAGCAGAATAGATTGTTTTGTTTGGGAATCTCATATATGTGTGTGTGTGTGTGTGTGTGTGTGTGTGTGTGTGTGTGTGTATGTATTTATGTATGTATGTATATGTTGGTCTAATTCAACTTGCTGTGAACACTTTAAAGCTATTATAAGTTAACATTTTTTTCCTAGTCTTTTTGCCTTTCACCTTTGTTTATGATAAATTTGACCTACAGAAGTTTTAGATATTTGTGGCTAAATAAAAGATTTTAGGCTGGGCACAGTGGCTCACACCTTTAATTCGAAAACTTTGGGAGGCCGTGGTGGGCGGACTGCTTGAGCCCAGAGGGATGGACAGTTCCTCTGTCTCCTGCCCCATGCCTAGTCTCTGGCAGTCTTCTCTGATTTGGTCTCCCTGCCTCTGGTCTCTGCCCTACAGTTGTAGCTGTCTCATAGCATTGTGCCTGATGGTATCGGACTGTGGTAGGTGCTTAACAAATACTTAGTGTTTAGCAGGTACTCAGTCAACACACAGTGCATTAGCTCTGGAAAGAGTCTTACTCTTATTGATTGGTTGGTTGATTGATTGCCTGATTGACAGGGTATCACTCTGTTGCCCAGGCTGGCCTCAAACTCTTGGGCTCAAGTGATCCTCCCGCCTCAGCCTCCTGAGCAGCTGGGGGCTACAGGCACAAACCACCACACCTGACTCAAGATTCTCACTCTTTTTTTTTCTTTTATAGAGACTATGTTGCCTAGGCTGGTCTTTAACTCCTCGGCTCAAGCGATCCTCCCATCTTGGCCTCCCAAGGTGCTGGAATTACAGATGTGAGCTATCACGCCTGGCCATTTTTTTTTTCTTGAGACTGGGCCTTTCTTTGTCTCCCAGGTTGGAGTACAGTGGCACAATCTCAGCTCACTGCAGCCTCAACTTCCGGGCTCAAGCAATCCTCCCACCTCAGTCTCCTGAGTAGCTGGGACTGCAGATGCATACCACTACACCCAGCTAATTTTTCAATTTTTTTTAGTGATGGAGTCTTGCTCTGTTGCCCAGGCTGGTCTCAAACTCCTGGGCTCACGTGATCCTTTGACCTCAGCCTCCCAAAGTGCTGAGATTATAGGCATAAGCCAAGGATTCTCACTCTTAATGCATTCTCTTTTCTTTGGACAGATCTGTGGTTTTTCTACTTGAAGGACACAATGTTTTCCAAACTAGCACATTTGCAGAGGTTTGCTGTACTTAGTCGCGGAGTTCATTCTTCAGTGGCTTCTGCTACATCTGTTGCAACTAAAAAAACAGTCCAAGGCCCTCCAACCTCTGATGACATTTTTGAAAGGGAATATAAGTATGGTGCACACAACTACCATCCTTTACCTGTAGCCCTGGAGAGAGGAAAAGGTACGTTTCAAATTAATCCGTCTTTTCCCTTTTCTTGAAACCTTTTATAAAAAAAAATTGCTTCCATATTTTCACAATATACATTTTTCTAGATGTGTTTAATGTGTATATTGCAGACATGGTTAATTCTTCTTCTTCTTTTTTTTTTTTTTTTTTTGAGACGGAGTCTCACTCTGTCACCCAGGCTGGAGTACAGTGGCACAATCCCAGCTCACTGCAACCTCTGCCTCCCAGGTTCAAGCGATTCTTCTGCCTCAGCCTCCTGAGTAGCTGGGACTACAGGCGTGCGCCACCACACCCAGCTAATTTTTGTATTTTTAGTAGAGATGGGGTTTCACCATGTTGGCCAGGCTGGTCTCAGACTCCTGACTTTGTGATCCTCCCACCTTGGCCTCCCAAAGTGCTGGGATTACAGGTGTGAGCCACCACGCCTGGCCAGTTAATTCATTTATTGAGTGTCTAGTGCTGCTGTGTTAGGTGCTATGGAGGCTTCAAAGAGGAACCATTGTCTTTGTCATGTAGACCTTACCAAGAGGGAATGCAAGAGAAATAAGGAAAGTACTATCATATTGCTGTCATTTTTTTCTTTTAACTTTTATTTTGGCATAGTTTTAGACTTAAGAAAAGTTGTAACAAATAGTACTGACATTTTCCTTTTATACTTCTCCCAGATTTTCCAAGTGCTAACTTTTTGCTGCTTTGGTCTTAGTGTGTTCACTCCCTTCTCTTCTCCCCCCGCCGCCTGCATATTCTACATTGTTTTCTGAACTGTTTTGAGAGGAAGTTGCAGACATGACATCTCTTCTTCTTTTTTTTTTTTTTTTTTTTTTTTTGAGACGGAATGTCGCTTTGTCACCCAGGCTGGAGTGCAATGGTGGGATCTCGGCTCACTGCAACCTCTACCTCTCGGTTTCAAGTGATTCTCTTGCCTCAGCCTCCCGAGGAGCTGGGACTACAGGCCCACGCCACCACGTCCAGCTAATTTTTGTATTTTTAGTAGAGACAGGGTTTCATCATGTTGGCCGGGCTGGTCTCGAACTCCTGACCTCAGGTGATCCACCCACCTCAGCCTCCCAAAGTGCTGGATTACAGGCGTGAGCCACCGCGCCCCGCCACATGACATCTCTTTACCCATAAATACTTAGTGTGTCTTTCCAAAAACGCAATGACTTTTTGAGATAGGGTCTCATTCTGTTGCCCAGGCTGGAGTTCAGTGGTGTGATCATGGCTCACTGCAGCCTGGAACTCCCGGCTTCAGGTGATTTTCCCACCTCAGCTTCCCAAGTAGCTGGGACTACAGGTGTGCCTTACCATGCCTGGCTTATTTTTTGTAGAGATTAGATTTTGCTATGTTGCCCAGGGTGATCTTGAACTCCTGGTCTCAAGTGATCCTACCACTCAGCCTCCCACAGTGCTGGGATTGCAGGTGTGAGCTACTGTGCCCAGCTGACTTTCTCTTTTATAACCATAGAGTAATTGTAAAAATCAAGAACTTAACACTGGTACAGCACCATTAGTCTAGAGACCTAATCCAGATGTCATTTGTTCTCTTTTATAACAAAAGAAAAACCTCCGATGAGTTGCATTCAGTTGTCATGTTTAGTCTTCTTTAACCCAGAACAGTTCCTCAATCCTTGGTTGTCTTGGTCTTCTTTCCCTTTGTATTAAGTATCTTGTGGGGACAGAGTGTAAAACTCTGTAAATATCCAGTTACTCATGAACTTTTACTCACAATTTCAGCATCCACTAATGATTCTTGCCTGAATAAATGATTACGGTGGTAGTTGCCAAATGGTGATTTAATCTACAATTTGGAATAAATAACAGCCTTAACCAAATAAAACCAAAGTTTATTACTTAGCTTTGTACCAGAAAATGACAATATAAGAGTATCACACATTTTGGTCATTTGCTTGTATTTTATTTGGTACCAGTACTGTAGACATATCTTCTTTTGAACTATTGAAAATCTGTTTCATATTACATGACATGGCAACCTTGTTTTTACTTTCCCACTAGCAATGTATGAGAGTGCCAATTTCTTCAGATCCTTGTCAAAAGTTGTTTTTTTAATTATAACCATCCCAGGGAGTATGAGATGGTATCTCATTGTGGTTTTAACTTGCATTTTCCTAATGATTAGTGATGTTGAACATCTTTTCATGTGTTTCTTGCCATTTGTATATCTTCTTTGAAGAAATAGCTATTCAAGTCTTTCCCCATTTTTTAAATTGGGTTGTTTGTCCTTTTGAAATTGAGTTGTAAGAATTCTGGATATTAGATCCTTATCAGACACATGATTTACAAATATTTTTTTTCCATCCTAAGGGTTATTACAGTCTACTTCTCATGATTTTTGTCTGTTATGTGTAACTTCTGCTTTTTTATTTTTAAATTTTATTTATTTTATTTTTTTTTTTTATAGGCAGGATTTTGCTCTGGTGCCCAGGCTGGAGTGCAGTGGCACAATCTCAACTCACTGCATCCTCTACCTCCCAGGCTCAAGCAATCCTCCCACCTCAGCCTCTGTAACGGGACCATACGCGCGCACTACCATGCCCAGCATTTTTCTGTAGCGTCAGGGATTTTGCCGTGTTGTCCAGGCTGATCTGGAACTCCTGGGCTCAAGCAATCCCTGCCTTGGTCTCCCAAAGTGCTAGGATTACAGGCGTGAGCCACGGCTCCCTGCCTAACTTCTGCTTTTAAATTCTAATTTTGGATCCTAAATCTTAGAATTAGGTAAAGGTTTTACTCCAGAGTTTATAACCTTTTTGTGTTATTTTTGTTAAATGTGTGTTTTGAAGCTGGGCAGATAAAATACAATTCTTAGTAATTCCTTACAAACCAAAGTTTATTATGCCTGAGCTAAAACAAGCTTTAACTACAAATATGTATTAAATAGAGGTTCATATATAGGCATTCAGAGGGCTTGCTAGCACTCTTAATTTTTGGACTTTATGCCGTATAGTAATTGTCTAAAATTATTTTCCTTTCTTATGTATTTTAGGTATTTACTTATGGGATGTAGAAGGCAGAAAATATTTTGACTTCCTGAGTTCTTACAGTGCTGTCAACCAAGGGCATTGTCACCCCAAGATTGTGAATGCTCTGAAGAGTCAAGTGGACAAATTGACCTTAACATCTAGAGCTTTCTATAATAACGTACTTGGTGAATATGAGGAGTATATTACTAAACTTTTCAACTACCACAAAGTTCTTCCTATGAATACAGGTAAAACATTTCCTTTTTTTGTTAAATACCCTCAAAAATAATCTTTTTATTTTTTGATAGTTTAACATTTTAAAAAAATCTGAACATTTTTCTCTCCTGATAGGAGTGGAGGCTGGAGAGACTGCCTGTAAACTAGCTCGTAAGTGGGGCTATACCGTGAAGGGCATTCAGAAATACAAAGCAAAGATTGTTTTTGCAGGTATGTGAAATTAAATATTAACTTCTATGATTGAAACATACAATATAATTTACTGTGGCCAGGCATGGTGGCTCATGCCTGTAATCCTAGCATTTTGGGAGGCCAAGGCAGGAGGAGTCTTTGAGCCCTGGAGTTCAAGACCAGCCTTCTGGGCAACATAGGGAGACCCTGTCTCTATTTAAAAAAAAAAAAAAAAAATATATATATATATATATATATATATACACACACACACACACACACACACACACACACACTTATATATTTTATATATAAAAAACATATATATATGTGTAAATTTACTGTTTTAATTTGCTGATGAAATACTTGTAATATGTTTTGCCTGGTACATGATACGTATTTGCTGAATGTTTCATAAAAATTTATGAGGGATTTCCTCTTCTTGGGATTATTTCTTCATATATGAGATTTTTCTTTCTGAACTCCATATTCCTCTCATTTGCCTGTCAGATTTTTTTCATAGCAGTTATCCAGTTAATTAGATAGTCTCACTGGTGGAGGGTTTGTGTTGGGTGCTGGGGTTGGGTGAAGTTAGTGTGGGGCCATGGCCTACATAGACTGTGGTTTGAATCTTGATATTGGAGGTCCTGTTGTGCCATGTTCCACTTAGAAGCTGTTGAAAAGAGGAGGCTTGGAGTTGCCCTTGTTAGGTTTCTGGGACTGGATGAAAGGAATAACTTGAATTTTGGTTAGGGAGACTAGCAATTAGTTGAGAAGATGTAGTTTGACTGTTGGGTTCTTTATATGATATTCAAATGAGAGGTTCTGACTTGTTTTTTAAGCTTTATTTTTTTAAAAAACAAGTATGTGTACATTTGTCACTATAATGGTCAAAGTTCATTCTTGTGATAGTTGAAATCATTAAATATTCTGCCTTGTGAACACATGCAGTTAAATGATAAACCCCATAACATAATAGAATCCAGAGTTCAACCGAAGGCCAGAGGTGATTGGTATTTGAGGGGACAGATTGGTATTCCCAAAGAAGAAATCTTAGCAAAACTCTGTAACTTGCCATTTAAAAATCTTGTGCTTTCGTTGTAGGACAACATAACTGTCTCTTGCAAACAAAAATGGTGTTTCTGGTGATTTTCATTCTTATAGACTGTGTCCAGTCTCTTTCTTAATAGCAAAGGGTGCAAAGATGTTTTCACCTGAGTATTGAAAGAAGCTGGTGAGTCAGTGGGGTGGAGAGACAGAGGAAGACTGTCCCTAACTGTAAGTCCCTTATACCTGCAGGGTAAGTGACTGAGGATGAGGTTCCTGAGGCTAGGCAGGGGAGAGCAAATAGGCTTATGGTCTAATCAGTGCATTTCTTCTTAAACAAACCTAGTCAAAATCAATGTGCTATTTTTTGTGGACAAGTGAAAGAAGAGATTACTTGTGGGTAAGGGATGCTGGTGAAAGAGGCTTTGCAAGAATAGTATTTAGAAACGAGATGAAGCCAAAATACGATAATCCAGCACTGATTAATGGAGTTGCTGCTGGCAGAAGTGGTGAGAAGATAAAAACATGATGTCACAAACTCCCAACCTCTCTGTTATTTTACATGGTGTCTTTCCTTCTTGAATGTCATCCTCTCTGAAATTATCTAGCTCACTTGCTTTACTGGTTTATGTCAGGTGTTTTCTCCCTGCTAGAAAGGAAGCTCCCTGAGGATAGGGATCTTGCCAGTTGTGATCATGATCTATTTCCCAACTTTTTTTTTTTTTTTTTTTGAGACAGAGTTTCACTCTTGTCACCTAGTCTGCAGTCTGGCTCACTGTAACCTCTGCCTCCAGGGTTCAAGTGATTCTCCTGCCTCAGCCTCCTGTGTAGCTGGGATTACAGGCGCCCACCACCACGCCCAGCTAATTTTTGTATTTTTAGTAGAGACAGGGTTTTGCCATGTTAACCAGGCTGGTCTTGAACTCCTGACCTCATGTGTTCTGCCTGCCTCGGCCTCCCAAAGTGCTGGGATTGCAGGCGTGAGCCACTGCACCCGGCTTCCCCAACATCTTTATTATTATTATTATTATTATTTTTATTTTTTGAGACAGTCTTGCTCTGTCACCCAGGCCGGAATGCAGTGGTGCGATCTCAGCTCACAGCAACCTCTGCTTCCTGGGTTCAAGCGATTCTTGTGTCTTAGCCTGCTGAGTAGCTGGGACTACAGGTGTGCACTACCATGCCTGGCTAATTTTTGTATTTTTAGTAGAGATGGGGTTTCACCATGTTGGCCAGGCTGGTCTTGAACTCCTGACCTCAGGCGATCTGCCCACCTTGGCCTCCCAAAGTGCAGGGATTACATAAGTGAGCCACTGTGCCTGGTCTATTCCCCAACATCTAAAACAATGCCTGACATAGTAGATCCTCAGTCACCTTTATTAATGGATAAAAAATATTCCAGCAGAAAGGGAGACGTCTGTCATTTAGCATCATAAAGGATTATAATATCAAGGAAGGTAAAATGGAAACGTGTTTGGATTGCTTGAGGATCTTTTCTCCAAATGAAATTGGAAATGCATTCTGTTGTTAGCCTGCAGTATTGGAGTTTTGAAAGGAAAACCGCTAATTGTCTATGAAGGATATTCTTTCTCATATCACTATCATAAATGCACCTTCTCTAGAAAACATGCATTCAAGACCTCAATTGTTAGGGCTTGGTTTTGGGTTGGGGATTATTGAAAGAAAAGTAAGTTATCTATCTTCAGGGGCTATATATTCCAGTCAAGAGGCTCAGTAGAGAGAAATGCCTAAAATAGGAATTACAAGGCCAGACTTAGTGGCCTTGTGTCATAGGAGCCATGGTGTTTAATATCAGACTTTGTTTTAACAATTGAAAGCCCACCGAAGGTGCACTAAAGCAAGCCCTTGATTTATTTTTTGAGTCAAACTTCTTGTGGTGTTTTGCGGGGATAGTGCTTATTGAATTTTGGGTTTCTTTGAAATAATCACTGTTTGTTTCCCCTTTGTAGCTGGGAACTTCTGGGGTAGGACGTTGTCTGCTATCTCCAGTTCCACAGACCCAACCAGTTACGATGGTTTTGGACCATTTATGCCGGGATTCGACATCATTCCCTATAATGATCTGCCCGCACTGGAGGTATTTCACTAGCATCATAGTGCTCAGCTCATTGGGAATAGAAATTAAAGCTGTTGAATATATGAATTAAAAGTACATTATATGACAGTAATGCAAATTTATCTCACTTAAGTTAAGCCACGATTTCAGACTTGTTCTCAGTAGCGATCAATTAGTTTCCAACACAGAGAAAGCTGAGTTCTGTGATCTACTCTGTACAGCCAGCCAACTACTTTAGATGTGTGTCCTTCATAACAGTTAACTTCGGTATACCTGCTTACTTACTAGGTAAAATTTCTGTTTTTAGCTAGCTTTTTAAAATTATGAAGTGGAAGACTTTTTAAGAAAGCCTTAAGTTGGCTTTAAAAGGCTATTTACTTTAGATTTAATTTAAGTAATTAATTTCTTTTTTTGAGACAGAGTCTCACTCTGTCACCTAGGCTGGAGCGCAGTGGCACAATCTCGTCTCACTGCAAACTCCGCTTCCTGGGTTCAAGTGATCCTCCTGCCTCAGCCTCCCAAGTAGCTGGAACCACAGGCACACACCACCACACCCAACTAACTTTTCTATTTTCTTTAGAGACATGGTTTCGCCACGTTGGCCAGGCTGGTCTCGAACACTTGACCTCAAGTGATCTGCCCACCTTGGCCTCCCAAGGTGCTGGGGTGACAGGCATGAGCCACTGTGCCCAGCCAGATTTAATTTAGGTACATTTGTGTATTAGAAAACAGGCTGGGCATGGTGGTACATGCCTGTAATCCCAGTGCTTTGGGAGGCCAGGGCTGGAGGAGCACTTTGTGTTCAGGAGTTCAAGACCAGCCTGGGCAGCATAGGGAGAGCCTGTCTCTACAAAAAAATTTAAAAATCAAGGTCAGGCGCGGTGACTCACGCCTGTAATCGCAGCACTTTGGGAGGCCGAGGCAGGCAGATTGCTTGAGGTCAGGAGTCGAGACCAGCCTGGCCAACAGTGAAACCAGAGACAGTGGTGAAACCCTGTCTCTACTAAAAATACAAAAAAAAATTAGCTGGGCGTGGTGCTGTGCGCCTGTAATCCCAGCTACTTGGGAGGCTGAGGCAGGAGAATTGCTGGAACCCAGGAGGCAGAGGCTGCAGTAAGCCAAGATCGTGCCACTGCACTCCAGCCTGGGTGACAGAGTGAGACTCCATCTCCAAAAAAAAAAAAATGAAAATAAATAAAAAATTAGCTGGGCATGGTGCGCAGCTACTTGGCAGGCTGAGGCAGGAGGATCACCTTGAGCCCAGGAGTTCGAGACTTTAGTGGGCCATGTTTGTGCTGCTATACTCCAGCCTGGGCAACAGAATGAGGCAAAAAAGGAAATGTAGGCTAGTGTAACTTAAAGGTGAGGTATTTGGAGCTTCTGATAATTGAATGGCAGTGAATTTGAAGTCAGAATTTACGTTAGTGCGAAAACTTGATTTGCATACTTAATGTAAAATATGTGTGGTATATGCTTTCAGATTTCCAAGTGTGGTAGAAAGGAAGTTATTAAAACTTATTCCTGTTTCTTCTGTAGCGTGCTCTTCAGGATCCAAATGTGGCTGCGTTCATGGTAGAACCAATTCAGGGTGAAGCAGGCGTTGTTGTTCCGGATCCAGGTTACCTAATGGGAGTGCGAGAGCTCTGCACCAGGCACCAGGTTGTCACGTTAGCTGTTTGTGATAAGGCTGAATGTCGAGTTAGCTGTTTGTGATGAGGCTGAATGGGCTCCTCCCCAACTCCTCTCTGAATTCTGCTGATTGGATAAATGCAAAGATTAAATTACTTTCCACTAGAGGGCGATGGCATTCTAAGAGCTTAAGTACTTCCTAGTGCTTAGAAACCTGCACAGAAGCAGACTTTTTCCTGTCTCTGGCCTTGTCCTGGGCCCTGTGCAGAACTGCAGACCTGGTCTTAACAGCGTTTCCTTCCTCGCTGCTCTAAGAGCCTTTCACTCTGAGCCCCCGCAAGCCCTTTGTTGTATTCTCTCCTCCTTTCCCCCAGGGCTAATAGTAGTATATTTTGTTTACCATTTGAGAGTTTCTGTCACATATTAAATGCTTGTGGAATAAACAAATGAATTAATTTGTTCCCAGAGGGTAGTTAGGTCCAGAAAAGCCATACAAAACCCTCACCTTTGCATCAGCACCTTTTCACTATGTAGAGCAGGGCAGAATGGGCCTCTAGGGAGATAGTGGCCTGACAAAGGAAATAGTTGGTGAGTCTACAAGATTCTTATAGGATACTCTTGAAATTGTGTGCAGTTAAAACATTTTTACAAATTTGAGGGCACATCAGAATTACACATTTATTGTTGGTGGGGGGACAGTGAAATAAGGATGGCTATTTTCCCTGTGGAAACGAAAGTGATCACTAATAGGGGTATTTTTTTTCCCCAATAGGTTCTCTTTATTGCTGATGAAATACAGACAGGATTGGCCAGAACTGGTAGATGGCTGGCTGTTGATTATGAAAATGTCAGACCTGATATAGTCCTCCTTGGAAAGGCCCTTTCTGGGGGCTTATACCCTGTAAGTTTCATGTTCCCCCTCTTTCCATTTCCTACTCTTGTAAAATATACCCCTAAAGTATTTATACATCAACTGATTGTGACAACAATGCTTTCAGATTGTTTGATTTTACCAAGTGTGCTGCAGGCCACCCGGAATATCTGTAATAAAAACATTTAAGGGACCAGTGTGTGACCCACTTACTTATTGCCTGAAGAATTGAGTGTGCCTTGGAATTTGCTATGACATTGGATTTGGGTGGAAACAGTTTACCCCCAAAGGACTCCTGTAGACTCCTGTCCTTTTTTCCAGTGTTCAGAAACATGGCATATTACTAATTGTTTAAAACCATGACTGGTGAACAAAGAGACTGAGAAAAATTAATGTTTGTTGTAGTTCATGTCTTGGGTTTGCCTTTCAGAGCCAGTAATTGTTACTACATCAGAGGTCTCTGAAGTATAGATGTTTTTGCTGAATAGACAAAACTTTTGCTAAAAAGAATGCTCAGCTTTGTTTTTTAAGCATTTAAACAAAGCATTTCATCTCGACGTTGGAAGTGATTGTGAAATTATATCATTGCAGAAATAGCTTTTCTCTTTTAGTTGCAAAATTATATTGTTTTGTGCCATTGAAGTGTACCTAAAGTATTTGTAATGTTTTAGGGTATGACTAAGTCATTAGGTTGTTACTGGTAGTTAGGTTGGCAGATGTAAACTCTTTCGTTGAAGTCATTAAGTATCAGTTTCTTGGCCGGGTGTGGTGGCTTATGCCTGCAATCCCAGCACTTTGGGAGGCCGAGGCAGGCAGATCACCTGAGGTCATGAGTTCGAGACCAGCCTGGCCAACATGGTGAAACTATATCTCTACTAAAACTACAAAATAAATAAATAAATAAATAACATGTGTGGTGTGGTGGTGGGCACCTGTAATCCTAGCTACTTGGGAGGCTGAGGCAGGAGAATTGCTTGAGTCCAGGAGGCAGAGATTGCAGTGAGCTGAGATCACGCCACTGCACTCAAGCCTGGGTGACAGCGAGACTCTGGGGAAAAGGATGCTTAGTAGAATGCTTAGTGCTGAGAAATGACATGGTGAATTGACTGTCTTTCAGGTGTCTGCAGTGCTGTGTGATGATGACATCATGCTGACCATTAAGCCAGGGGAGCATGGGTCCACATACGGTGGCAATCCACTAGGCTGCCGAGTGGCCATCGCAGCCCTTGAGGTAAAGACTGATACAGCCACACAGTGTCTATTCTTTAAAGCAATGTTGAAGTGATTTTTAATTTGGGCCCACTGGTATAATAAAAAATTCAATAAGAATGCCAAATATTAGAAAACATGAAGTATAGAGGAAAAATTTTAGGAACAAGATATTCTCAAAAAGTAATTTAAACTTGGCCTAGTAGACTGGATTTCCTCCGTGGGCTTCCTGAGTTCACAGTCACCTGGCGCTTTGAGTTCTTCGGCCCTGGCTGGCCCTCATAGAACTCTCAACTGTGACCCACCTACCAGACCCGTCTTTTTGCTTAGCAAGCAAGTCTTCTTTCAAGTGTGGATTTATAATGTTTTCAGACTGATTTTTTAAGTGCCTGCTGAAGGTATACAATTATTATGTAATCTCTGAGGACAGATCTTTGTGAGGGGGGAAGAAACTATTGCAGTTTAGGAATTACATTTCGTCCATTGATGTATTCAATTAATGACAGTATGTGAGTTGCATTAAATAAACTTTAATCCTTATTTTGCCATGAATGATTGGCAATAGATTTGTGATGAAAGCAAGACTCTGAGCTAGTGTATGTTTAATTAGAAACTAATACAGGCTTTGAAAAATAGCAATGAAAGTTAAGTTCCTCTGGTATTTTATCTAGTCATGTTTTTCCTGTGTTTACAGTCCCCGTTGTCCTCCAAAAAACAAAAAAAGGACAGTCTTAATATTTGTATAATTTTTCTTTAAACGTAGGTTTTAGAAGAAGAAAACCTTGCTGAAAATGCAGACAAATTGGGCATTATCTTGAGAAATGAACTCATGAAGCTACCTTCTGATGTTGTAACTGCCGTAAGAGGAAAAGGATTATTAAACGCTATTGTCATTAAAGAAACCAAAGGTATGGAGATAAAACATTTACTCAAGATAATTTTTTAAGGAAGACCTAAAATACACTTGGTATTTAATTTAATTAATTTATTTATTTTTCGAGACGGAGTCTTGCTCTGTCTCCTAGGCTGCAGTGCCGTGGCGCAATCTTGGCTCACTGCACTCTGCCTCCTGGGTTCAAGCAATTCTCTGCCTCAGCCTCCTGAGTAGCTGGGATTACAGGCGCCTGTCACCACGCCCAGCTAATCTTTATATTTTTAATAGAGATGGGGTTTCATAATGTTGGCCAGGCTGATCTCAAACTCCTGACCTCGTGATCCACCTGCGTTGGCCTCCCAAAGTGTTGGGATTATAGGCGTGAGCCCACCGCGCCCGGCCACACTTTTTTTTTTTTTTTTTTTTTAAGATGGAGTCTTGCTCTGTTGCCAGGCTGGAGTGCAATGGCGCCATTTTGGCTGACTGCAACTTCCGATGCCCCGGTTCAAGCGATTCTCCTGCCTCAGCCTCCCGAGTAGCTGGTATTACAGGCACGTGCCAACACGCCCAGCTAATTTTTGTATTTTTGGTAGAGATGGGGTTTCACCATGTTGGCCAGGGTGGTCTCGATCTCCTGACCTCGTGATCCGCCTGCCTCAGCCTCTGAAAGTGCTGAGATGACAGGCATGAGCCACTGCTCCTGGCCACACTTGGTATTTTAATTGGGTGTTGGGATGTTCTGTTTGAAACTGCTGACTGACATAATGACCAAACCTTTTAGACAGATTATTGTCTGATTTATAATTATATTAAGAGTATAAAAAATATAGCTCTTTTCTAAATGAAGGCACATTTAACCAATTTGACCCTTGTTCCTTTAAGACACTTATTTTTCTGCCTTAAATTAGTCATGCAGTATTTAGAGAGTTCAAGTTTTTTTGTTGGTGAGTCTGGACTTGAAAGTGTCCTCTTTGCTATCCTTCCCTCCCTCACTTTGATGCTTTGTGTCAGTAGAGGTTATAGGAGCAGCAGAAATAATGATATGAATGACAGTTATGGGGTCAATAATAAAAATAATGCTGGCTGTCACTTAATTGGGTGTTTGATGTTTTAGTACATCCTTTGTAACCCTTAGGTGTTCCTTGCTGGATTTTCTTGTGATAACTCTTCCTTTTAAAGCAACGATTCCAACCTCCCAACCTTGGCTGCACTTAAAGAATCACCTGAGGGGCCGGGCGCGGTGTCTTATGCCTGTAATCCCAGCACTTTGGGAGGCCGAGACGGGTGGATCACGAGGTTAGGAGATCGAGACCATCCTGGCTAACACAGTGAAACCCCATCTCTACTAAAAATACAAAAAAATAGCCAGGCGAGGTGGTGGGTGCCTGTAGTCCCAGCTACTCAGGAGGCTGAGGCAGGAGAATCGCTTGAACCTGGGAGGTGGAGCTTGCAGTGAGCTGAGATTGCGCCGCTGCACTCCAGCCTGGGCGGCAGAGTGAGACTCCGTCTCAAAAAAAAAAAAAAAAAAAAAAAAAGAATCACCTGGGGAGCTTCTTAAAAAAATGAGTCAAAGCCTGGCCTTACCCCAGGGATTCTGATTTGACGGATCTGGGACGGGGCACAGGCATTAGCAATAGCCTTTAAGGTGATTCTGATGTGCAGCCAGGTTGAGAATCGCTGCTATAATATGTTGAGCTCAGGAAGCGAGTCCCTTTTTGGAATGTGTAGTGTTCACTGGGTTTTGAGTATTGCCCATTTTATGTCAGTTAATCATCTGTATCATACCCAAGTTCTTTTTTTTCTTTTTTAGAATTTTATTTATTTTATTTATTTTATTTTTTGAGACAGTGCCTTGCTCTGTTGGGCTGGAGTGTCTGTCGCCAGGCTGGAGTACAGTGGCATGATCTTGGCTCACTGCGACCTCCACTTCCTGGGTTCAAGCGATTCTCCTGCCTCAGCCTCCTGAGTAGCTGGGACTACAGGCATGTGCCACACCACGACAGGCTAATTTTTGTATTTTTATTAGAGATGGGGTTTCACCATGTTGGCCAGGATGGTCTCGATCTCTTGACCTCATGATCTGCCCACCTCGGCCTCCCAAAGTGCTGGGATTACAGGTGTGAGCCACTGCATCCAGCCTATACCCAAGTTCTTTTGCATTAGTTCCTTGTGTGATTAATACAGCAGCCTTAGCACATTTTTTTTTTTTTTTTTGGCTTGGTCTTTTTCATTTATGAAAAACTATGATATGTCTAATCATATCATTCAAACCTAGTTATGTGCTTGCTGAAAAGTGAAGAGTAACTTCATTTTTAGGAGTAAAAACAAAGCAAGCTTGCAGCTCCAAGCTTCCCTTTCTTTTTTTTTTGAGACGGTGTCTTGCTCTGTCACCAGGCTGGAGTGCAGTGGCGCGATCTCCGCTCACTGCAGCCTCCGCCTCCTGGTTCAAGCGATTCTCCTGCCTCAGTCTCCCGAGTAGCTGGGACTACAGGTGCGCACCATGATGCCCAGCTAATTTTTGTATTTTTAGTAGAGACGGGTTTCATAATGTTGGCCAGGATGGTTTCAATCTCTTGACCTCG
Organism: Homo sapiens; assembly: GCF_000001405.40. Taxonomy (NCBI): domain Eukaryota; kingdom Metazoa; phylum Chordata; class Mammalia; order Primates; family Hominidae; genus Homo; species Homo sapiens. The sequence goes on along the minus strand of NC_000010.11, from coordinate 124,398,291 downwards.
TGATCCACCCACCTCGGCCTCCCAAAGTGCTGGGATTACAGGCATAAGCCACCGCTCCCAGCCCAAGCTTCCCTTAGTTGAGCAAGTTCTGTTAATTTTGTTTTGCCAGGCTGCACTTTGCCCATACATACGGCAAGGGATGTTTAAACGTTTATCTTTGAGCATGTACGTTTTACTATTTTTCTTTAGATTGGGATGCTTGGAAGGTGTGTCTACGACTTCGAGATAATGGACTTCTGGCCAAGCCAACCCATGGCGACATTATCAGGTTTGCGCCTCCGCTGGTGATCAAGGAGGATGAGCTTCGAGAGTCCATTGAAATTATTAACAAGACCATCTTGTCTTTCTGAGGGTAGCCAGCTGTTTTCAGTGGTCCCTGGGAGCCAGCTGGAGACAGGTGGTCCTGTAAAAGCTTTATTCCTAATGTGGGCACATTCCACTCCCATGAGTCTTCAAAAACTTTTTTTTTGAATATATTTTTTTCAGTTGATACATAATAGAACAACGTTTATGAACCTGCCGTTTGCTTTGTAACGTAACTAAATAATGTAATGGCATCTATATTCAGTTGAAGTGTTTTGATGTGCATGTGTACTTCCTAAGGTGAAATGCATCTATATACAGACAGCCTCTAAATCAAGTCCTTCAGTATAATTGATATATGTTTTTATAATTTCCTCACTGGTATAAGTGTTTCATATTTGAAAAAGTTATCTCTGGGTATTGCATAAAAGGCTTCATCTTATAAAGTGAAATCATTGTTATTGAATTTTAGGAAGGATTAATGGTTAAGTGTATATAAAATACTAATATTAAGTAAACTTCATATTGGCCAACACCAGGGTTGTATTCTATGGATGTCATTATTTTGAATTAAGAATTAGTGTTTAACATTCCTAAATTGTTTTGAGTGCTTGATTATAATTTGTAAAAAATGTTTATTTTCAATACTTCTTTAAATTTAAAATAAAGCTTATATTTCAAATGTCTGTTTTGTGATGATTATTCACCTTAAAAGGAAGAAGCTGAGGCAAAATTAATATAGAATGTTTAGGTGGGCCAAGGTTGGGGACTGCAGCTCGGGACACACTTCCAGGTTGCCCTGGAGAGTGCTCCAGAGAACACTTCTTAAAGAAAAAAGGATAGATCAGCTGCTCTTATACCCTCTACTGACACAAGGTGAAGGGGTGATTACAAAAGTTGTTTATCAGGAATTCTCATTGGCTTACAGAACTAACCTTGGTTAGTGATTGGCTATATGCTGTTGAACTACAGGGTATATGGCATTTGATAGATACTTGGCTTCAAGAGGTAATTATGTAGCTTGGGAGAGAGTGACCTGACTATGATTTCATTCTATTGCCTCTCTGGGCCTGATAATTTAGTTTTTATTTTTTGAGATGGAGTCTCTCTCTGTCGCCCAGGCTGCAGTGCAGTGGCACGATCTCAGCTCACTGCAACCTCCACCTCCTGGGCTCACATGATTCTCCTGTCTCGGCCTCCCGAATAGCTGGGATTACAGGTGTGCACCACCACACCCAGCTAATTTTAGTATTTTTAGTAAAGATAGGGTTTCATTAAGTTGACCAGGCTGGTCTTGAACTTCTGGCCTCAGGCGATCCCCCCAACTTGGCCTCCTAAAGTGCTGGGATTACAGGCATCAGCCCCTGTGCCTGGCCTGGGCCTGATAATTTAAAGGGGCTCACGTTCTTCAGTTACAAGATTTCTTTATTCCCCATGTCACTATGCTATTACTGCAGTGTTATCAGTTACATTTTTTTTTTTTTTTGAGATGGAGTCTTGCTCTGTTGCCCAGGCTGGAGTGCAGTGGCGCAATCTCGGCTCACTGCAAGCTCCGTGTCCTGTGTTCACGCCATTCTCCTGCCTCAGCCTCCCCAGTAGCTAGGACTATAGATGCCCGCCACCACGCCCGGCTAATTTTTTGTATTTTTAGTAGAGATGGGGTTTCACTGTGTTAGCCAGGATGGTCTTGATCTCCTGACTTTGTGATCCACCTGCCTCGGCCTCCCAAAGTGCTGGGATTACAGGCGTGAGCCACTGCGCCCAGCCTATCAGTTACATTTTTAAGCTTTTTGAGATTTATTTATTCCATGTGTTTTCTTTTTTTTGTATTCCTTTTTTTTTTTTGAGACAGAGTCTTGCTCTGTTGCCTAGGCTGGAATGCAATGGCGTGATCTCAGCTCACTGCAACCTCCGCCTCCCAGGTTCAAATGATTCTTGTGCCTCAGCCTCCCAAGTAGCTGGGACAATAGGCCTACACCACCATGCCCAGCTAATTTTTGTATTTTTAGTACAGATGGGGTTTCACCATGTTGGTCAGGCTGGTCTCGAACTCCTGACCTCAGGTGATCCACCCACCTCGGCCTCCTAAAGTGCTGGGATTACAGGTATGAGCCACTGTGCCCGGCATATTCCATGTGTTTTCTAACAGCATTTCAACTCTGATCTACAGAAAACTAGAAGTTATAAAAAGAATACATCTAAAAGATAGGTCTCATACTTCCCTTTCAAAGTAGCGCGTTCTCTGTGCATATACTAATATTTATCATTTTTTTAAAGTTATCCTTTTTATATGTGGTGTTCTGCAACTTTTTCTTTTTTCTTTCTTTCTTTTTTTTTTTTTTTACCTGAACAGAGTATTTTGGATGTTTTTCCGTCTTATTCTCAAATAATTAGTATTTCATCATATATGGGTATACTGTAATTTCATCTCATATTGGGACCATTTGACTTGAATAAAACTTGTGACCACTTCATATCTTTTCACAATGGTGCAAAAGTGCACAGTGTTTCTATGGAGTAAATCCCTAGAAGTGACTTGCTTTTCAAAGAAAAAAAACTCAAGTTAATTGTGTCACATTGCTCCCTGCCTCCCCCAGGTTCTAAAAAGTTACCTCTTAGCAGTATGAGAGTTGAGTCTTTGGTACTCTGTCAGGGTAGTGCTCTGTCACTGAATGACTACGTTTAAATGAGTGAGCAGTTACTGGGAGGCCTCCTCATACCAATTACAACTGGGGTGGCACCCAGGCCAGGTAAGCTCTCCAGGGCATTCAAGGTTGAGAACCTGTCTTAGGAATCTTATTAAGATGCAGATTTTTGTTTTGGAGACATAGTCTCACTGTCACCTAGGTTGGAGTGAAGTGGTATGATCTCGGTTCACTGCAACTTCCACCTCCCAGGCTCAAGCGATTCTCCCACTTCAACCTCTCTACTAGCTAGGACCATGGCCGTGTGCCACCAGATTTGGCTAATTGGTTTGTATTTTTGGTAGAGACAGGGTTTTGCCATGTTTCCCAGGGTGGTCTTGAACTCCTTAGCTCAAGTGGTCCACCTGCCTTGGACTCCCAAAGTGCTGGGATTATAGGTGTGAACCACAGTGCCCAGCCTTAAGATGCAGATTCTAATTCAGTCTCTCTCTGTGTGTGTGTACTGGAGATTCCACATTTGCAGGTTGCCTTAGGACATACTATTATTATGATGAGTCAGTTTAATTTGCATTCAGTTATTCTCACCAGAGATGACCTTAGGGCAGGTGATTTTTAACAAAGCTATCTTCCTGCTAAATTCTTTGAAGGCTTTAAAAGTCAGAGAGGACCCAGAGGTAGGAAAGTACAGGGAGTTGTGGAGACGGTGGCCAATGACAATGAGGGCCTTTGGGCTTAATTTGGTGAGCAGTGGGGTCACTGAAGAAAGGGGTTGAAGCAGGGGCGTGGCGTGATCCTATTAGAAAATCCTAGGCTGGGTGCGGTGGCTCATGCCTGTAATCCCAGCACTTTGGGAGGCTGAGGTGGGCGAATCACCTGAGGTCGGGAGTTTGAGACCAGCCTGACCAACGTGGAGAAACCCCATCTCCACTAAAAATACAAAAAATTAGCCAGGCGTGGTGGTGCATTCCTGTAATCCCAGCTACTCGGGAGGCTGAGGCAGGAGAATCACTTGAACCTAGAAGGCAGAGGTTGCAGTGATCAGAGATTGCACCATTGCGCTCCAGCCTGGGCAACAGAGCGAAACTCTGTCTCAAAAAGGAACAAACAAAAGAAAATCCTTTCTGGCTGATGGTTTAGGGCTTACTCATGCAGTACACACTGGTTGTAGGGCCTCAGGGCCTATGTCCAGTGGTGAACAGGTGGGCAGGAACCTGCTGACGGCACTTAGTGCCCTGGGGATGAAGTGGAGGGGTGGTGAAGCGGGAGGCAGGGAGAGTCAGACACAGGCTTTGGATTTGGGGTAGAACATCAGGGCAACTGCTGTGGTTAGATACTCCCTTTCCTTAGCTGTGAGGAAGTGGGATGCTATCTACCTTTCAGGGGAGTTAGGAGGATTAAAAAAGATGGAGTAGGTCAAGCTCCTGGTGGAGGACCTGGCACAGAATTACAGATCAATAAATAAGTTGCTAGCTCCCCCTCCCCACCCCCAACACATACAGTTGGAGGAGTTTGGGAGAGAGGAAGCTTCGGGAGAAGGATTCTTTCAGATAAGGGTGACATCTAGATAAGGAAGAGATGGCGTAGAGCTGATAGCCTGGCTGTATCACAAAGGGGATGTCAAGTTAAAGGAAGAAGCTGAGGCAAAATTAATAATCATAAAGTTATTCATGATAGCAGGAGGCAGACAAAATGCCTAGGCTGATAGGGGCGGTCCCCAGTGAAACACCACCTTCAAGCCAAAAACAGCCTGAAGTCTGAAAGACTGAACTGTTGGTTCTGGATGAAACCTGTGACCCAGAGTGAGAACTTCTGTTCCTATTTGCCCACTCTTTCCCGATTGGTTCTTTCTGAATAACGCTTTTTGACCAGTTGAATGTTGCCTTTTCTGATACTACCTATGGCCTGCCCCTCCCCCATCCTGTGCCTATAAAAACCCCAGACTCAGCCACACTGGAGGAGACCACCTTCCCGTCTCCTCTCTGCTGAGAGCTGTTTTGTCGCTTAATAAACTTCTCTGCCCTCACCACCCCTCAGTTGCCAGTGTGACCTCATTCTTCTTTGACGGACAAGAACTCCAGACTCACTGAACATGGGTACTCACAAGGCTGTAACACTGTGGCCCTCTGCCCTTCACTGGCAGAGGGCAGATGCCTCATGTGATGGAAAGTAGTGATGGGGCGGAGCTGGCCCCGGAGCTGCGGGCTGGAATGGGGCAAGGGGCTGACTGAGCTGTTAACATGCCACCGTCTGTTGGGCTATGGATGGTGGGACTAAAAGAGCTAATGAGCACATTGTAACACTCTTTTGGGGCTTTAGGGTCATGGGCACCCCTGCCTGGGCACCACTGCATTCCCCTTGGAGTGACACACCTGGTCCAGCTGCAAACCCCGCATGGAGCCCACCCCTGTGCCAGCATTTGGAATGGCTGGCTGGACCCCACACTTGCTCACTCACATACCCCCTCCCACCAGGGCCTGAGCATGCAGCAGCAGCTGCTGTGGGATCTGCGCCGGAGTGCAAGCCAGATGCGGCCTGGCAGGCCCAGTAGATGGGGTGCCTCCTGCTGCGTGCCTGGCAAAGGGGCCGAGAAAAATCTTCTCATTTGGGCCAAGCTTGAGAACTGCAGCCCAGGATACATCATCAGTTTGCCTTGGGGAGTGCTCTGGAGAATATTTATAAAGAAAAAAAAATCAGGAGAAGGGGTGATTATAAAACTTATTTATTAGGAATTTTCATTGGTCTAGAGAATTGGCATTAGTTACTGATTGGCTATTCATTGTTGAAGTACAGGATGTATGGCGTTTTTGTGGCCATTTGGCTTCAGTTAGTCTAGAGCTGCATGGCAAGGGGCTTCGAGAGGTAATTATTTAGCTCAAGGGGGAGTGAGACCTGACTGCCATTATATTTTAGATACTTTTCTGGGCCTGATAATTTAAAGGGGCTCACATTCTTCAGGTAAAAAGTTATTTTTCTTCTTCGGGGAGGAGTGGTTCAAAGTAGAGGAGAACTCACAGAGTATGTGGTGCCCAGATGCACATTTAGATATGTGCAAAAGAAAGATGATAATCTTGGTACATTTTTGCACTTTAAATAGTCACCACCTTCACTCTCCACACCCCCTAATGATAACTTGTTCTTTGGATTCTGACCTTCCAGAATACCTCATCTAAATTAATTACTGCACATATAAGAAAACTGAGGTTGGGATAGGACATCTGATGTACCCAGAATAACAGAGGTGAAAGTGACAATGCGTTTCAAGCACTAGGACTGTGAAGTTCCCAGCATGCTCTCTGCAGCACATCTGTATGTGATGGGGAAGCACCACAGAGGTCGGGGGAGGCATATAGGGGACATTTATAGGTTTAGATCTGTGCTGCTCAATGCCAGCTGCACTTCAGAGTCACCTGGCTTGCTTAAAAAATTAGTATCGGCCAGGTGTGGTGGCTCATGGCTGTAATCCAAGCACTTTGGGAGGCCGGGGTGGGTAGATTACCTGAGGTCAGGAGTTCAAGACCAGCCTGACCACCATGGTGAAACCCAGTTTCTACTAAAAATGCAAAAATTAGCTGGGCGTGGTGGTGCACGCCTGTAATCCCAGCTACTCAGGAGGCTGAGGCAGGAGAATCACCTGAACTCAAGAGGCGGAGGTTGCAGTGAGCCGAGATTGTGCCATTGCGCTCTGGGCTGGGCAATAAGAGTGAAACACTGTCTCAAAAAAAAAAATAATATTGATGGCCAGACCTCACCTCAAATCAATTACATCAGCATCTCCTGGATGGGGCCTTGCACCTGGATATTAAATGCTCCTGGGGATTCTAATGTGCAGTCCTTGCAAAGTGGGTATTGAGTGTGAGGCAGGGTGTCATTCACCCAACCATGCTGGGGCACTGACGTCTACTGGTGAATAAGGCACACGATTCCTGGCATCAGCGGGCTTTTTAATAGGTACATTTATTTCAAAAATGTTTATTGAGTACCACTTGGCTGGTCCCGGAGGATAGACAGTGGTTCAAATAAATAGCATTTATTCAGCAGTCTGTGCCAGGCACTATTTCAAATGCCTTAAGTCTCACTCCAGGTATTATTACTTCCATTTACAGATGAGGAGACCAAGGCTCAGAAACACAAGCTTGCTTTAGGTCATTGAAATAGTGGTGATGCCCAAGAGCCTTGGATGGGCTGGACAAACCTTCTGAGGGAGCCAGTAGGTGGTCCTGGTGCCTCAGGGACTGGGGGCTTTGAGAACAGCTCCTCCCTTTGTCTCAAGAGCTTGGCCAAGAGGCCCCTGTGGCCTGTAAAAGCATTTCAATTTGTTTTGAACTTGGGGGATGGATTCTTAAAATACCAGCAGGAGGCATCAAAATGAATAATATATATCTAAAAGCAGCTTAGTCCATTTAGGAAAAAAAACTTTAAAATATATTTCAGGGCTCACTCCAGTGTTCCATGCATGTATAATGGCTCAGAGGAGGTTTATTAGCTCCCCAGCCTTTATTTTGATTAACTTGCAAATGAGATTTTTTCTCTATACATCAGCCTAGCCCTTCAAATTGTTAATGAGATATCTGAACTAAAATGGCTTTTATAATTTGCATCACAATACTTAAGAGCCCAGCAGATGATTGCTGCAAATAAGCCTTGTGTGGAATAGCCAAGCATGGCTCAAGGCAGGGTTCGGGAGGACCACCGACAGCTCAGGCTTGCACATCCATGGGGATGCAGGGTCTGGGGGCCTTTGATCTTGGTGGCTTTCTCCTAGGCCAGTCTCTGAGACCGGCAGTGAAGGGCAAGTGGGATCCACCAGCCCCTACTCTCTCCTGCCTTCCTTTTTATCACAACATCTCTTTAATTTATGGCCCCTGAGTGCCAAGCCGTGTACCTGTGAACAAATGGAGTAATTACTCCTGGGAGAAATAGAAAAACATGGATGCAGACCATACAGAAAGCTGCCGGCTTTCAGTGGGGTGACCTGGGAGTGATCACCGGGTGAGGGTGTCCTGCCAGTGTTCTAGGAATCCTGGAATCATGGAGGGTCTCCTGCCAGTGTTTTCATGTTACTGGAGGCTCAGAGAGCGGAAGGGACTTGTCCACCGGCTGCGCTCCCTGGGACAGAAACCTGGGGAGGCCTCCTGATGATGACGGGAGGCGGTGGCGTGGGTGGTTGCTGCGAGGCTCAGAGCTTCGGTTTTGCTTTTGCCTCTGACAACCAGGATGACCTCTGGCAACTCAATGCCTCTCTGTCCTTTATCGAATGAGGGGGTTGAATTAGGACAGAACAGTCACGGGTGGTTTCACAACAGGTGTATGTTCTGAGAAATGCGTCCTTTGGCGATTTTCTCGTTATGTGAACATCATGGCGTGTACTTACACAACCTAGATGGCACAGCCTGCTACGACACAATGCTAAGTATTTGCATAGCTAAACACAGAAAAGGCACAGTAAAAATATGGTATAATCTTTTGGGACCTCCGCCATATTAGAAGGGCATGACTGCCTGGTCTCTGGAGGTGGGGGTGAGGACTGACCAGGTGAGCCTGAGCCCCCATCCAGTGGGCACCGGGCTCAGGTGGGCGCGCGACGGGTCTTGGGAACTGACAGAGGAGCCAGGGTCTGAGGCCCCCGGCAGGTTTTATATAGAGATGGCCAGAAAAGCGCCCCCACGTCCTGTGAGGTTCCCATTCCCCCGTCTTGGGTTTTAAGATCCCCTTGAGACTTAGTTTCCCCCAAAGTCAGTTTCCCGAGAAAAGGAGGCCCCATTTCAGCAGAAAGGGGCTTCGAGCTCCAGGGAGAGGACGGGGGTGTGGCGAGTTGTCCCCTCCCCTCCAAGACTCAGCGCCCACGCGCAAGTCAATAACCCCAAGTCCGGGTCCTGGGGCTTTTGGCCGGAACTGCTCGCAGCCATAGGGCCCCACGCGCGTTGGGACGGCAGGGGGCGCTGCCCGCAAAGCGTTGCTTCCCGGCCGTCCTGCGAGCCCGCGAGATGCGCGTGCGCGAGGCCGGGGCTCGGGAGCTGGGGCGGGGCCGTGGGCGGGGCCAGGAGCCGCGCTGGGGACCGTGCCCTCCTCCGCCGAGGCCTGTAGGGCGCTCGCTCTTCGCTGGGCCGAGTCCCCCCGCGCGCTGCAGAGCAATACAGTTCTGTAAAAGTTTATTATTCTGACGTTGGAATATGCTCCTTGGAGACAATTCAGAACTTGCAGAAACCAGAGCCCCGCGGCCCCTCCCTGCGTAGACTGCGGGCGGCTGTCCCGGGCGTGGGCTGCGGCCCCGCGGGCCCATGCGTGTTCTGGGGACTCTGGGGCGCTGGTTCAGTCCCGCGTGTGTGGGAGTCACGTTCACCTCCTCAGTGCCAGGTGCTGTCCGCGCACCCGTCGGAGCGCCTCGGTTCACCGTGCAGAGGTGTGGGCTCCGGGGCAGGGAAGGGTCCACCCCACCTCCCGCGCTGCAGCGAGCTTGACAGGTGGTGATCCTGGACAGGCGCATCCGTTGGGCCGGGGGCAGGGGCGCTCTGACCCTGTGGGCAGGGCCTCCCGGGACTCTGCCCGGAGCTCCTGGCTGGGCTGTGCCCGGAGGGATCTGAGTGGTGGTCCTTGGGCCCTTGCGGGCCTCAGTTTTTGCCACTGTGCAATGGCCTTACTCATACCTGCCCTGGTGATTGGGGGACCGAAGTTGTGCAGGGGGTGGGAGGATGCGGGGCCTGGTCTCTGCCTGGCTGGGGCCCACCTTGATCCGTGTGGCCCTGCTGAGCCCTGTCCACTGGTCACTGAGATAGTGACGGTCCTGGGCTGGGCAGGAGTGGCAGGCCCTGGGTGTGTGGATGCCATAGGAGGAGAAAGAGCTTTTCCTCACCGTCCTAGGTTCCTGCCTGGGACTCATATAACAAGAGAATAACATACACATTTATTTAATATAATTTTTACCGGATGCAGGAGCCTTCATAAGGAAATGAAGACCCAAAGAAATGTGTAAACCTGTGTGTGTGTGTGTGTGTGTGTGTTTTTGAGACAGAGTTTCACTCTTGTTGCCCAGGCTGGAGTGCAATGGCAGGATCTTGGCTCACTGCAGCCTCCACCTCCTGGGTTCAAGCGTTTCTCCTGTCTCAGCCTCCCAGGTAGCTGGGATTACAGGCGCATGCCACCAGGCCCGGCCAATTTTTGTATTTTTAGTAGAGATGGGGTTTCATCATATTGGTCAGGCTGGTCTCGAACTCCTGACCTCAGGTGATCCGCCCACCTCGGCCTCCCAAAGTGCTGGGATTACAGGCGTGAGCCACCACACCCAGCCAAACCTGTGTTTTTTATGCTTGGTTTGATAAAAAAAGTGGATAGTCCTAGAAAAGTTTGATTGGATAAAAACGTCTGATGTAACGGTAATAGATGGAGGGACTTAGCCAGGCCTGCGTGTTCACAGTCTCCTCTATCCCTGTGTCTTCAGAGGTGAGGATGTTTCTTCTGGGTATAGGGAGACTAACACCTGAATGAGGGTTTTATGTCCTGCTTCAGGGGAGAAGGGAGGGTGGGAGGTGAAAACGACCTTTCTGTTTCTGCTGTTTCCTCAAATGCCAAGGTGCTGTATTTTGGGGTACCATGTCCTGAACCCCATCAGTGCCAAGGGCAAGGCTGGTGCCCAGGGCCCAGTCCTGGACTTACCTTGGACTTCGTGGATGGGAGGGGAGGTGGGGCCTGAGGAGGGGTGACACCCGCAGGTGGAAGCTTGTGTCTGCATCCCAGGAGGCAAATTACCAGCTCTGAGACCTAGGACCAGTCAGTCACACAACCTCTGGAGTCTCAGTGTCCTCATGTAGAAATGGGAGCAGCGGGCTGTGGGGAGGTTGATATTGGCTGCTGGGTCCTGCCTGTAGCTCCCTCTGCCCCCGACCTCAAACTCTTGAGCCCTCTGGGATCACCTGAGGCTTGATAAACACACAGGGGCCCCGGCCCTGCTCTGACAGGTGGCTTCATCGAGTTTGGGTGGTACCAGGAATCCCGCTGGGAACAACCCTCTTAGGGTCTGGTCAGGCACCCTCCCAGCCCCCAGCACAGGGCAAGGAAGTGCCAGGGCCATGGGACAGCAGGAAGGTACCCTCCCCAGGCCCACCAATCCCACAAGACTCTGTTGAGAAAGAAGGATTTTAGTGGTTTGCGTGGGGATGCTGAATCGGTGTTCCACTTAAGAGGGCTCAGGGAAGTGAGGACACCCTGGGACACCCCAGGGGGTATGTCCTCATCCTGGCTTCACTTGACTGGGGCCTGGTTTCTAATCCTGGGCTCACTTGCCCGGTGCCTGTCTCTCCCCCAGTCTCAGCCTGATGAGTGAATGAAGGTGATGATCACCCGTCCTTTATGGCGGGCCGGTTCTTGCATTAGATCTTACGATCCCCATGCCAGCCTTGAAAAGCCGGAGTTCATAGGACCCAGGTGCAGGGAGTTCAGACAGCTCTTAACAGAGTCTTAAGGTGGGGTGCTGAGGCTGGATCCACCTGGACCTGGTCCCGGACAGCCCGGACTGTGTTGTGGAGTGAAGGGAAACTTCATCCCCATGTTGTCCAACCTCGAGTGGGCCTGGCTGGTTTGCTAAGTGTGACCAGGGGATTGGGCTGGTCCAGAATGTCTGGAGGCCTGGGGTAAGGGGAGGGCAGCGTCTGCCCCCTGCTACCCCATCCCCCTCACCTGTTCCTGTTGCCTGGGGTTAGGGTTAGCGAGTTGTGACTCCACCCTCCTGCCCGGGTGGGTGGAGAGGGCCCTCTCTGGAGAGGGTCTGTCAGCCTGCCCTGTAGAAGAGCGGGTGTGCTCTCCTGGGGTGGGAGGGGCCTTGCCTTTCTGTTTGGAGGAATGTCTGCCTCCGTGGTACATTCCAGAGAGAGCAGCCCCTCCCAGCTTCTTTAGGCTTCTCTACCTTCAGGTGAGCAGAGGGGCGGTGTCGGGCCTGCAGCAGCTGCGCCTGACCCCATTTGCGAGGACTCAGTGCCTCCCTGGGCCCGGGCTGTTTGTGGTCTCACCTCCAGAGCATGTTTGTCTGGGTCACCACGCCCCCTGCAAACAGCCCTGTCTGGGGTGGCCAGACCAGGCCCTGCCCATGGCCAGCCACTTTTCCAGCAGAAAACTCAGCCCCATTGGAGTCCCCCGCCACAGCCCTGCTTGAAGCTTTGAAGGTGGGAGCCAGAGGGGCAAAGTCAAAATTGCAGGGAGAGTAAACACCTGAGGACCTAGTTTGGCCTGGCTGAGACGCTGGGCGGCTACAAAGGGACAGTGTGAGGGAAGCCCTCGCAGCAGAAGGGACCCATTCAGTTCTTGCAGAAAGGGATTTGCCTGCTAATTAGGCAGGGAGGACCCTACTGGTGTGTGGGCTGCAGGAAGGGGTGGCATGTAGTGGGGAGCTGGTGACCCTATTTGGGGAAGAACCTGCTGGTTCTGAGCTGCTGGAACCTTTCGGTCCACACCTGACCCACAGACCACCTGCTCCAGAGTCAGGCGGGGAGCTCCTTAAACAATGGCGATGCGTCAGCCCCAGCCCAGGCCTCCTGGCTGAGCCACAAAACCCATCATTGCATGAGGGGCCTCCGATATACCAGCCCTCTGCCTAGTGCTTTGCAGCCATCAGGCCTTCCCACCACTGCCCCTCAGCCTCCTGCACCTGAGATGGGGGTCCCTTCAGCCCTGGGGTGACCGGAGGCAGGCTCGCTCACGTACTCGGTGCACTGTGTAAATCCATTCACATTCTCCAGGTACGCTGTCAGGAGAAAGGCTGTGAAGCACCAGAGTCTCTCATTTCATCTCATACCTGGAAGGTCTATTATTAGCTCCATTCCACAGGTGAGAAAACTGAGGCTCCAAGAGGTTAACTGACTTGTGCAAGTCACACCACGCTAGGGCTGGGCTTTTTCCCATGATTCTGCCTCTGGGTATGGGTGGGGATTGTGCATGTGAGGTTGTGAAAAGCTCTCCGGTGGTTGGACTGTGTAGATCTCTGGTCCAGATAACCTCTTGCCACCATGTCCTGTGGTCTCACTGCACATGGTTCTGGGGAAAGTGAAGAAGGATCCTTTAAAAGTGCTGATGGATAGCATGAAGACAGGCCCAGGGAGGGACCCCCTCTGCAGGATGCCCAGGCATGCACGTGATACTCTCTTGTCCCATGTAGCAGTGATGGCAGCTGAGAGTCATTTCCAGACCCTTCTGGAGAAGTTCCTATCCCTGTAATGACAGCAGTTGGTTTGCTTAAGAATGGTCTGAATGCATCTTGGTGGGCATCTGGTGGGTTCACGGGAAGTCACTTGACTTTGTGCCCACTGTGCCTGGCATGGAGGTTGGCCCCCAGTGGGCATTTGTTCTGGGCTGGTTAGGAGTGAGGGAAATGGATCGCAAAAGAGGGGGCCAAAGGGGTGATCAACTGCTGCTGGAGGGAGCCCTGGGGCTGAGCAGGGCTCAGTGGTCTTGCTAGAGGCAGAGAGAGGGGGTCTGGGATCAGGTAGGACAGAGGGGTCTTGAGCAAGGGGGGTCCTGGGAGACTCCCTCCAGCACTGAGGTGCTGGGCAGTGCTGGGCTAACCAAGGGCACAGGCCTGGGGCTGGCAGGCTAAGGCTGCCGGGGCACTGTTTGGTCCCCATCGTTCTCTGTCCTGCCTGTGGGGCAGCACACTGGCTACGGGGCAACACATCCGTCCCTGTCATGCTGCCGACTGGCATCAGGCAGGGGAGTTTGGGGACATCCCTACTGCAGGCCCCTCACCTCTCACTGGGGCCTTGGCCCTGTGAATTCCTGTGTGTGAATTATTCTGTGACGAGGATGAAGGGAGAGCTGGGATTCCCATCGGTCCCCTCTCAAGGACTCAGAAGAATGCTCTTAGACAGGTGAAAAATGGAAAAGCTTTGCTTAGCTAGCAGATTGCTCCTAAAGCAATTCACAGTTTGGATTGAAAAAGTGGGTTGCTGTTTCTTAGGCTGTCCCTTGGGATCCTGCCCTCCGAGGCTTGGCAGGTTTTTCATTCTGGTGAGAGAAGTCTTGGCTGGGGTCCTGTGAGGCTGAATGGAGCCCAGAAGGGCCACCAGGTGTCCTGATTGCAGAGGAATTCAACTTTGTTGGTTCCTTGCCTCTGCTTTGGTTTTAAATGAAGGATCAGTGGCCAGGGAGATTCTGGAAATAAATGTGAGTTCCTCAGCCACCGGAGAGCTAGCCCAACAGCGGCTTACACCTGTAATCCCAGCACTATGGGAGGCTGAGGCAAGAGGATCGCTTGAGCCCAGGAATTTGAGATCAACCTGGGCAACATAGTGGGACCCCATCTCTAAAAAAAAAAAAAAAAAAAATTAGCCAGAGTGGTGGCATGCACCTGTGGTCTTAGCTACTGGGGAGGCTGAGTAGATGAGCCTACTGAATCAGCCAGCAGATGAAGACATGTACCCTCCACTATCTTGAGTTATTCATGAGGTAGGAGGATCACCTGAGCCCAAGAGATTGGGGCTACAGTGAGCCACGATTGTACCACTGCACTTCAGCCTGGGTGACAGAGTGAGACCCTGTCACCCAGGGTCGAAAAAAAAAAAAAATAAAGACCCTGAACTATGTCTGTCATTTTTAGGATCGCAAAGACTCAGAGTGATAGCTGTTGATTCCACATGCTGGCCAGAGGGGCTGGCGGTGTGGGTGAGGTGCCTGCCTGGGGCTGCACATGCAGCTGACTCAGTGGTACATAGACTGTGCTTGAGTCGGGAGAGGGCCCTCAGTCAGGCAAGGTGGCCAGGTTGGGGTGTGTCAGGGAGTTCAGCTAGATTTAATTTTATTTAGAAAAACTTTCAAATGAGATATTTATTGAGTCTGAGTGTCGTGGAGCAAATTCATGCTTCTTTACACAAATAAAAATAATATTTGTGACTGGCAGCTGCTTTGTAAGTCTGTAGAGTGGATTCCTGTGCTTGGGGTGGACCTATTTGGTCAGTGGGGGCTTAGAGTTTTTTTTTTTTTTTTTTTTTTTGAGACAGAGTTTCGCTCTTGTTGCCCAAGCTGGAGTGCAGTGGTGTGATCTTGGCTCACTGCAACCTCTGCCTCCTGGGTTCAAGTGATTCTCCTGCCTCAGCCTCCTGAGTAACTGGGACTACAGGCATCCGCCACGCACCTGGCTAATTTTTTTTGTATGTGTAGTACAGACGGGGTTTCAGCATGTTGGCCAGGCTGGTCTTAAACTCCTGGCCTCAGGTGATCCGCCCGCCTCAGCCTCCCAAAGTGTTGGGATTACAGGCGTGAGCCACCACGCCTGGTCCCTTAGGGTTTTATGATGTCTGTTTTACAGACAAGGGAGCTAAGAGTCTGCCTAGCACCAACTTCACATGATGTCGGCGGCAGAGCTGGGGCAGGGTTCCACCACTCTGGCCCTCTGTGAGGCTAGAGGTCTTCAGTCTTTGGAGCACTCCAGGGACATGTGGCCACTTTTACAACATCTGTATGCCTTGTCTGGGGTGGGCCCGACACATACGTGTGTATATATACATATATAATTATTATTTTTGGAGACGGGGCCTCACTCACTCTGTCACTTAGGCTGCAGTGCAGTGGTGTGATCATAGTTCACTGTAACCTCAAACTTCTGGGCTCAATCACTTCTCTCGCCTCAGCTTCCCGAGTAGCTGGGACTACAGGTGTGTGTCATCATGCCTGGCTAATTAAAAAAAAATTTCTGGCCGGGCACGGTGGCTCACGCCTGTAATCCCAGAGCTTTGGGAGGCTGAGGTGGGCAAATCACAAGGTCAGGAGATCGAGACCATTCTGGCCAACATGGTGAAACCCCGTCTCTACTAAAAAATACAAAAAATTTAGCCAGGCATGGTGGTGGGCACTTGTAGTCCCAGCTACTCTGGAGGCTGAGGCAGGAGAATGCCGTGAACCCAGGAGGCAGAGCTTGCAGTGAGCCGAGATCGTGCCACTGCACTCCAGCCTGGGTGACAGAGCAAGACTCCGTCTCCAAAAAAAAGAAAAAGAAAAAAAAATTTCTTTTCTTTTTTTTTTGAGAAAGATTCTTGCTCTGTCACCCAGGCTAGAGTGCAGTGGCATGATCTTGGCTCACTGCAACCTCTGCCTCCCTGGTTCAAGTGATTCTCCCGCCTCAGCCTCTGGAGTAGCTGGGACTACAGGCATGCACCACCATGCTCGACTAATTTTTGTATTTTTAGTAGAGACAGCGTTTCACCATGTTGGCCAGGCTGGTCTCGAACCCCCCTGACCTCAGGTGATCTACCCGCCTCTGCTTCCCAAAGTGCTGGGATTATAGGCATGAGCCACCACACCTGGCCAAAATTTTTTTTTTTTTTTTTTTTTTTAGAAATGAGGTCTTGCTATGTTGCCTAGGCTGGCCTCAAGTAATCCCCCCTTCTTGGGCTTCCAAAGTGTTGAGATTATAGGCGTGAAGCACTTCCCCTGGCCTACATGCATATTTTAACAGACTTTCCAGGTGCTTCTGCAGCATAGCCAGGGTTGAAAACCCCTGGAGCAAAGTTTCAGTGATCAAAGCAAGAAGATTCAATTGGATCAGCAAGTCGATGAAGAGATGTACCGTCCACTACCTTGAGCTAGTCTTGACTTCCTCTAGTGACAATTGTTGACCGGTTTGTTTTCCTGGAGTGCACCAGACCATGCAGTTGGGATTATGTGTTCAGTGCTGACCCACTGCCAGCATTGGGAGTTGAGAATCCATAATTCAGCCACCTTTATTGAGTACCTGCTGTGTATGAGGCCAGGGATGCTGAGGCGGGTACTACAGAGAGAACCCTGGATGCCGGGACACTCATTTTAGCTTTACACATTCTGTGGCTCTGCCAGGGGGCACCCATCTGTGGCATTGCTGGGGCAGGGTGATGACAGAGGCTTCTGGGTGCTTCCAACTCTAGATGGGGTCTTGTCTTTACTGTCCTTGGGTGTCCATTCTGGCTCTGACATGGTTGGCTGGGAGCCCGGGACACCCAGCTAACCTTCCGTGCTCAGGGTTCTCTCGGTCAGTCCAGTTTGCATTGATCATAGTCCATAATCCCCTGAATGCGACATCAATTAAACAGTGTCCTCCACAGGAAGGGCTTTGATTTCTTTCCTCAGCTCTGACGGGCGGCTTTATTGATGTCGCTGCTTCTTTCCGATAGTGCTTGCGAAAGCCGTTCCTGTTCTCCACCGCGAGAGGTGCCTCTTGTTTCCAGTGATTTATTGCACTTACAACGTTGATGTTTACAAAGAACCGCATATTTATTCAAGCACAGAAGTTCGTTTCCCGCAAATACACGTGTGAAGGAAAACCAGATGAGTCAGAGTGTGGGAGGCCTTCCCAGCAGGATGGATGTTGGTTTCCTTGATTTCCCCAGCACACCTGCCCCTGCCTGGCTGGGCATCTTGAATCAATTTGCAGACAACTGCCAAGAAAAGCTTGAGGTGCATTATTTTCAGAAATTGATGAGCAATTCGAAATCAAACCAGGGTCTATTGGGTGTTTACAGTGCCAGGATCTGAGCTAGGGGCCAGAGAATGAAAGCTAAGAAAAGACAGATAGCATCTCAAAGTCGTGGGGGAGGAGAGACAAAAACAGCAAAACTCATACAAGTCAGGATGAAGAAGTGGTTGGGACAGAGCTGGGGATGAGCACTGAGGAGCTGGGGCATCAGAGGAGGAGCTGGAGTGTCAGGGCAGTGCACGGAGTTGCTGTGGAATCGGGAGGAGCACAGAGGAGCTGGGAGGAGCTAGGGAGTCAGGAGAGGAGCACAGAGGAGCTGGGGAGTCAGGGGAGAAGCATGGAGGAGATGGGGAGGAGCTGAGGAGTCAGAGGAGGACCATGGAGGGGATAGAGAGTTGGGAGGAGCAGAGAGGAGTTGGGGAGTCAGGAGGAGCATGGAGGAGATGGGGAGTTGGGAGGAGCACAGAGGAGATGAGGAGTCAGGGGAGGAGCATGGAGGAGATGAGGATTCAGGGGAGGAGCTGGGGAGTCGGGAGGAGCACGGAGGAGCTGCGGAGTCAGGAGAGGAGCATGGAGGAGATAGGGAAGAGCTAGGGAGTCGGGAGGATCACAGAGGAGATGGGAAGGGGCTGAGGAGTCAGAGGAGGAACGTGGAAGAGCTGGAGAGTTAGGGGAGGAGCACGGAGGAGCTGAGGAGTCAGGAGAGGAGCACCGAGGAGATGGGGAGGATCTGGGAAGTCGGGAGGAGCACAGAGGACACAGGGAGTCAGGGGAGGAGCATGGAGGAGATGGGGAAGAGCTGGGGAGTCAGGGGAGGCTCACGGAGAAGATGGGGAGTCAGGAGAAGAGCACAGAGGAGGTGGGGAAGAGCTGGGGAGTCAGGGGAGGAGCAGGGGAGTCGGGAGGAGCAGGGAGGAGGTGCCATTAAATCAGGCCTTGCAGCCTGGGAGGAGTGTGACCCTCAAGGGAAAGGGAGTCAGGCCCAGGGGTTGGTGGTGGGACATGGCTGCTTCTGCTTGGCTGCAGAGTGGGCAGAGTAGATTGAAGGGAGCCAGCCAGGCAAAATTCCCCGGGACCTCAACCTTTGAGGACACAACAGCACCACAGAAAATAAGCCGAATTGGCAAAATGTAAAAAGACCCCGCCCCCATCACCGTGCAAGGCTCTGGGAAGTGGAGAGAAATCAACAGCCTCTCAAAGTGCCTCAATGGCAGTTGCCGGGCTGGAAAGCCCCATGTCATCAAGCCTTTACCCTCCACACAGTGGAGGCAGCACTGGTTCCTTCCTGCAATCGACAAATACGTTTGAACAAATAGATGAAGAATATCAGTTGGAAGGTACCCAATTATAAACCTTCCTGGATACCTGCTGTGAATCTGGCTCTTAGAGTGGGGCACGTGCACTGAGCTATGGGAAACCCCTTTGGTCCCCAAGCCGAGGGCCAGGAGGCACTGGATGGCCACCTGCCACTCATCTGCACTCCTGCAGTGAGGGGGCTGGGCAGGCCCTCCACGGCCTGTGCTGTGGAACTGAATGGACTGGGGGAGAAGCTGGATCCACTATGGGCCGTCCTGGCTGGCACCAGCGGCCCCTGGGGCAAGCCTGTTGCTCCCTGCAAGGCCTTCTCAGCAGCAGGGAATCTCCTCCCTCTTCAACAGTCTTTTCACTGGACTAGGACTCCTGCCACCCTTGGAAAGGCCAGGGAGGGGATTGTACACACAGCGCCTGGGATTTTTGATACTTAAAGGGGGCGAGACACTCCCCCCTCACCGTTCTTGGCAAATGCCTCCTGAATGAGGGATGCCTGCCTGCCAGCTCCCCACGCTGAGATCTCTGCTGACAATCGGGAACAGCCAGCGGGAGGCTAGAGATTGATGACTAAACCTCTTGGAAGTTTCAAGCCTCAGGTACGCCCTCGGTGTCAGAAAGGCCAAGAGAAGCAGCCTCGTTGGTTGCCTACGGAATACCTCCGGGTGCCAATGGGCGGGCCTTGCCCAGCTCAGACTCCCTCGGCTGTGGCTTTGCCCATCAAGTAGATCTGCTTGGAGTGAACTAGGGGCTGAAGGAAAATTGATATAAAAGTAATACATGTTCCTTGAAAACCTCTTAATAATAGAAAAATACACAGAAGGAGGGTAGAATCATCCATAATCCCGTCTGGCAGATAGAGCTCCTGAAGATGGCTTGCAGCTTTCTTTCCGGGCCTTCTGTCCATATCCTTGCATAACTATCCTTCCAAAATTGGGCACTGTGGGCACCATGGAGTCTGGGAGGACTGAAGTTAACTTACCTTCCATGGTTACTTGAAGGGTAACATTCTTGGCCACCCTTGGCTCTGCAGATGTCGAGCAGACAGGCCCTCATGCTGCGTGGGTGGGCAGGTGTACTGTCCACCTGCCCCTGGTGAGCCTGGGTGGGCCAAGAGGGGCGTCAGCACCACTGGCCACACCCAGCATCTTCTTTGCATCTGTCCTGACCCTTTTCCATCTGACCTCGTCTACATAACCTTCTTCCTTCTTGGACTCAGGCCTCCTCCATCCCTCCTCACTGCATTCTCCCTCCCGTGAAGGCTGATTCTTTCCCCAAATGGCATCTGCGTTTCCACGCCACCAGGTTTGCAATAAACATTCTGGGGCTAGGCTGTGTTGGGCGGGCAGGAGTTGGCAGTCTTCAAGAGGACAAGCCCAGTGCCCAGTTATTCTTCCCTTCCCCTGCCCTCTGCATCCCCTCCCTCCCTCCCTCCCTTCCTTCCTCCCTCCCTCCCTCCCTCCCTCTCTTTCTCTCTTTCCTTTCTTCCTTTTTGAGACAGAGATCTTGCTATGTTGCCCAGGCTGGTCTCGAACTCCTGGCCTCAAGTGATCCTCCTGCCTCAGCCTCCTGAGTAGGTGGAATTACAAGTGTGCACCTGGCTCCCCACACCATCTCTGAATCACATTCACTGGGTGCTGAAGTGCTAGGTTCCAGAATGGTCCTCGCCATCATCAGCATTCCACTTCATCCTCCCGGGATCCCAAGGCAGGCACTGCCATTAGCACCGCTGTGTACGTGTGGCCCAGCAAGTTTGCCCAACATTGTCCTCCCGCGCTGAGAGGGCACTGCCACAAGCACTCTGTGCTGGACGTTTGCCATGCAGCATTGTATCTAAGTCTCACAACAGCCTTGAGAAGGAAGCATTATGAGGCCCATTTCACATGTGTGCAAATGGAAGCCTGGGAGCCAAGTCAGCGCTGGCCACACAAAGGTGACGAGGCACAGTCCCAGCCCTGGGGGAGCTCATGGTCCACCAACGGCATTCTTCCTGACTCTAGGGGACTCTCCGACCACTTCTGCAAAGAAGCAGGACAGGGCTGGGTGCTCCCACTGCCATCTTCTTTCCCCACCTCCCTTTATTCATTTTCTAAACCATCAATCCCCAGAGCAGGTGCTGGACCTGCAGCCGGTGCCCATAAACACTCAGCTGATTTAAGGGGGAACAAGGTGGGTGCTGTGCTGGAAGAAGGGGGAGAGAAGAGTTGAGAAAAGGGCACGAGGAAGGTGGTCTCGAGGACTGGAGTGCTACCCCCATGCGGTCTTCACTCCAAAAGATGGCACAGTGTGGGGGGCCTACTTGGTGCCAACAGCCGGGCTACCTCCGAGACAAAGCCTGGCACCCGAGAGGAAGGGGAGCTACTGGCAGGGAACCCCATGCACTCTTGTCCCTTGGAGACCCCAGAAGATCTCAAAGAAAGGGGCAGAGCCACAGTCTTCCAAGGCTTCTGTAGGGTCTTTCGTGCATGAGAGAAAACTCAGGCACAACCTCTGTGAACAACCCCTACAGGGACTCAGGGGCTGGGAGAGACACCAACTGCCACCCCTTGGAGGTTGTGCCCAGAGGTGGGGGCTGAAGACCCACTGGCTCTTTGAAGTGGAATTTTCAAAAAATTTCTTTATACTGAAGTTCACAAATCTGTAATCTCGCCTGGGATAATGGGGTAGGGGTCAGGGCAGGAGAGGATCCTAGTTCTTGAGACTCCATCGGGCTTTGTCTGCCACTGGCGGGCACTCTCGGGAGGATTTGAATGGTGAATGGGCCAAGGGGATGGAGGCCTCAAACGGACTTGACTTCCGCCCACCTGCAGAAGGAGGCTGATGGCTCTGATGGCTCTATAATAACAAGCCTTTCTCCTGTCCAAAAACCTGCAGGAATGACTGTGGGGAAATGACAGCATTTCCCCCAGCTCCTTACCCCATCCTCTACCTTCCGTCCGGCTTGTGTACTGTCATCTGGAAGGAGGAAAAGATGTGATGTGATGTCTTTATTAACATCACCTTTGGGAGAAGCGGGGGAAGCCCGGGGTGCTGGGAGGAACTAACTTGGCCACACAGAACCCGAGTGGAGGGGCTCTAAGGGCACCGGAAGGCAAGGTGGTCTTACAGCAGTGTCAGACCTAGGGAGCGGACGGATGTGCTGCCGGTGTGAGTGTCTGTGGAGAAAGGACTCTGTTCCCTCATTTGCTGAGGTTCACCCACCTGGGTCATGGTACTCGACCCCCTCTTCCCATCTCCAGGAAGTCTCTGTCCCAGACACCATCTTTATTTTTTTTATTTTTATTTTTTGAGACGGAGTTTCTCTTGTAGCCCAGGCTGGAGTGCAATGGCGCGATCCCGGCTTACTGCAACCTCTGCCTCCTGGGTTCAAGTGATTCTCCTGCCTCAGCCTCCTGAGTAGCTGGGATTACAGGCACCAGCCACTACACCCAGCTAATTTTTGTATTTTTAGTAGAGATGGGGTTTTACCACTTTTGGCCAGGCTGGTCTCAAAGTCCAGACCTCAGGTGACCTGCCCGCCTCGGCCTCCCAAAGTGCTGGGATTACAGGCATAAGCCACCACGCCCGGCCCCCAGACACCATCTTTAAAGCTCCCTGGAACCAAGTAGCACTGGCTTGGTCACACCTGGCCCCAGTCCCCAGGTATTTGCTGACAGACCGCTGGGCCTAGCACTTTGAGGGGATATGGAAGGGCGAGCGATACATAGGTCCACAAGAGCCGTCTTTGGGCTAGACCATGCGACGTGCAGGGTCTCCTGTTCTCCTGTTCAGCTGGAAGGTGCCCCGAGGCTCAGGCAGGGACAATGGGGTGGGGTTGGGGGAGCTCATACAGACCCCACTGTGGACCAAAGGTCTGCGGGGCCACTCCACACACAGCTGCTTGGGACCTACATGGACCTGCATGAGGATAGCCTCTTTAGCTACAGTCAGATCCCAGGGCAGCTCCAGTTGGTGGAGCTCTGCTTCCTGGCATGGTCTTTAGACAACCCAAGACATTGGGGTGCCACTGGTTTCACATGGAGCAGCAGAGCGGGCGCAGAGGACATGCTCCCACGTGCCTTAGCCCATGTCCCCTCAGGGACAGGCATGCCCCTTCCTGCCCCCACCCCCCTGAGAGTGCAATTCCTCCATCAACAGGGAAACCCAGCAGGGGTGAGGCTTGGCCCAGCATAAGGGAGGCCCCAGGTGTGCGGCTGTCCAGGTGGGCCCCAGACCAGATGGGAACCGCAGGCTCTCCCAAGCACCAGCCTTCTGTGGTGATGAGCATGCTGGCCCAGCCACCTGCGGCTATCCCTGGGAGTCATGTGGACGCTGCACTGTCCAAGAGAAGTGTGCCCCCAACCTGCTCAGTGTGGGGGGCCGGGGAAAGAGCAACTCATTGAAAATGGATTGAAGAGAGGATGCAGAGGGTGGGAGAGAAGTGAACACAACCTGTCCTTCCGCAGGTGACAGCACCCAGACTCACTGTCCTGGTCTGAGGTTTCTGCACCCCCGTCCTTTCTGATATAGTTGCTGAAACCCCTGAAGGCCTTTCTCCATCTCCCTCAGTCCCGAGGGAGCGCTCAGTGAACTCTGCCTGATTAACATCTGCTCTTCCTTTTGTTGCCCTGACCTTGCCCACGAAGGGACGTGACAACGCCATTGAAGGAACAGTAAACAAGTACCCAGGCTGCTGCCCTGTTGTCCGAGGGGTTAATTTGCTTCTCAAAGACTCCCTAGTAGGAGACGCACCATTCATAGGTCCGTGCAACTATGCTTTGCTGAGAAAGATCCTCCATGGAAATAACCCTGATGTTATTAAGGTGTAAGCTGCATGATCTAGGATCCAAAATAATTTAGAATGTGCTTCTACTGGGATATCTCATGGTATTACACAGGAAGTGTCCAGGCACCAGCTGGGGGAATTATTTTCAGGTAGAACTCCCAGTAGGAAGTGATCCCTCTCTCCCAAGAAGGTTTCAGGCAGAACAGCATAGGATTTAGGCAGACAAACCTAGTGCACACCTTGCTTTCCCTCTTTCTAGATGTGCTGTCTTCGGCAAGTTGCAAACCTTCTTTGAGCCTCAGCTTCTTCATCTTTAAAACTGGACAATAATGTTATCCATGCAATTGGCTGTTGTAAATGGGTGCTTACAACAGTACCTAGCCCACAGCACTAAATGAGTGGTAGCCGTGGAAGAATTTCTGGCAGTGAAGATTGGTTGACAGTGGAATGATGCATTTAAAAAAGGGTGCAGATGCTCTTTCAAAACTGAGCATCTCCAAAGGTATCAAGAGCTCTAAAGACATCCATGACCTACCTAGTCATTCCATGTTTAGAAATCCATCCCAGGAAAGTAATTTACAATACAGTCAAAGACTTGTACACAAACATGATTTAACAGCACGACTTCTAAAGTGGGAAATGGGAAACAAATTTAATGTCCAACAGTAGAGGATGGCTAAAAAGAGTTATGAGAAATCCTCATTTTGGATTGTTAGACATGACAAATCAGGCCTTCAAAGAATATTGATGATATGGAAAAACGACCACAACACAGTGTGAAGTAGAATACAAAATTGTGTGTAGCCAGGGCCCCAGACTGAATCTAAGCTTTATCTAGCCCTGAGATTGAGGCCTGGGCATGCCTGGCAGGCTGGGGGCACTCCTGGCAGCCACCTGGAGTCTACTCGCATCCTCATGTGTCCTGGAAAAGAAAACCTGGCAGATTCTACCCTGGGATCCATGCTCAGCAACTCTGTGTTTTCTCACTGAATCCTGCTCAGAGACTCGATGGAGATGAAGAACCCAGTTTACACCAGCTGAAGGGAAAAGAAAACTGACTGGCTGATTTTCATGCAACTTCAAGCCCAGCTGGACCCAGGAGCTGGAAGGTGTCATCAGAACCCCCTGTCCCCAGCTGGCATTTAGAGACTGGGTCACCCCAAGAGGCACTCTCCACATCATGGCAGAGATAGCTGCCTGCAACCAGGATGCACCTCAACCTTCACACCCACTCCACCCGAAACAGTTGGTCCTGTTTAACCAGAAACATCCTGGGGACACTTAGATGAGCCTCTTGGAGACCCATCCCCATCCCTGAATGAGTCACGAGTGAATTCACCCCAAGAAAGAACAGGCCCTATCACTAGGAAGGAAGGAAGCATTTTTGGGGAGAAAACAAATCCTGAGGTTGATCACAAATCCTCAGTATTATTATTCTCATTTCACAGATAAAAGTTCAGAGAAGTTGAGGAGGGGAGAGAAAAAAACAGGAAAAAAAGTCGGAGAGGCTAAATAATTCGCCCAAGAGCCCCCAAAGAGCCAGGATCTTAACCCATGACTGTGGCCGCTGAAGCCTATACTCAAAACCACTCTCTCACTTTGCTGATGGGAAAGAGGAGAGAGCCAGCAGCCCAGCCTTGAAAGTGGGAGGTCACCTCGAGACCAGTTCCTGGCTCACTCCAAAGCTTCCCACCAGAATCCTAGAGGAGCTGCAAGCAAAAGTGGGAAGAGCTGTGTGCACGAAATTGCATGCCAATCAAGGAGCATAGCTGCAAGCAGCTGCGGCTAATTTCTGCTCATTAAAGCAAACCAGAAATGTACTAAGGGATATCAGGCAGCTCACAGGATCTCTGCATAGGTTGGACAACAAGGTTTGAAGGCTATGTAGCCTGGAAATAATGTTCAAAATCACTTTGCAGGACCAGGGGAGATACCCTGAGACCTCTGATGGGTACTGACACCCTTATGTGCTGCTGACTCCACCAGTGTAAGGACTGGCCATCACTGCTTCAACCCATTTCTGGAAGCCTCTAGAACTGACAGTGGGTATCTCTGCTACCCCAACACCCCCAACCTGGCATCCACACAGTGACAGACTTTTTGTTACTGGCTCTCACATGCATCTAATTGGCAGAACCCTTATCAAATGTCTGTTTCCCTGGCTGCAAGGGAGGCTGTGAAGGTAGGTTTCTGGCATTTTCAGGCTTTATAATGGGTTGGGGTTTCTCCCTTCCTCTGATACATGAAGTGGGGAAGGGGTATATCAGGATGCTGGGTGGCCAAAGAGAATGACATGTGTCACTCAAGTCTCAGTTGGAGGAGAAGAACCATTAGAGTGTGTGCGTGTTAATATGTATATGGAGTATTAATTTCCTAGGGGTGCTGCACAAACTGGGTGGCTTTGAGTAACAAGCCCAGGGCCATGCTCTCCCCGGCTTCTGGTACTTGCTGGCAGTGCTCAGCATTTGTGGTCTTGCAGCTATGCCACTCTCATCTCTGTCTCTGTCTTCCCACTGTGACTGTGCCTTCATGGGGCATGCTCCTCTGTGTATGTGTCTGTGTCTTTTCTCCTCTTCAAATCAGGACACCAGTCATATTGGATTTAGGGCTCATCCCAATCACAGGATCCTAACTTACAACTTATCTACATGTAAAGACCTTGTTTAGTCTGTTCTCACACTGCTATAAGGACATAAACTGAGACTGGGAAAGGAAAGAGGTTTAGTGGACTCACAGTTTCACATGGCTCTATGTCCTTACAGAAATATATAGGCCATGGAAGGAATCAGAGCCAAGCAGACCCTGCCTCATCAAACTGCCCACACAACAGAAAACAGAGTCCAGTTGGACATTCCTGAACCCTGGGAGGCCATCAGCACTGGGGCCTCACAATCATGGCAGAAGGTGAAGGAGGAGCAAAGGCATGTCTTACATGGTGGCAGGCAAGAGAGAAGTGCAGGGGAACTGCCCTTCACAAAACCGTCAGATCTTGAGACTTATTCACTATCAAGAGAAGAGCACAGGAAAAACCCGCCCCCCACGATTCAATTACCTCCCACTGGGTCCCTCCCACGACACGTGGGGATTATGGGAGCTACAATTCAAGTCGAGATTTGGGTGGGGACACAGCCAAACCATATCAGACATTAACCCTTAATTACTGCAAAGACCCTATCTCCAAATAGGTCACATTCACAAGTACCGGGGTCAGGACTTGACACATCTTTCTGTGGGACATGATTCAACCCCCATCACCCTCTCTGCTTTTCCATCTTCCCTGTGCTTCCTGGGCTGCCTCCCAAATAAACTACCTGCATCCAAGTTCTTAGCTCTGGTTGTCTTCGGGGGAACCCGAACTAAGACAGAGGGCAAAGATTCCAAAGAAAACAAAGAAGAGGGAGCAAAGCCCAGGGATGAGGAGAGTTAGGAATCAAGTTTCCTTTGGCCATTGGTGAAGAAACAAGTTCAAGTTTGGGGGGACTTCCAGGAGATGGAGGAGCAAGGAGGAGCTGGAGAGCCTCAAGCAGAAAGGAGCTTCCATTTTCAGAATCTGGGGTAGAGGAAGCAGGGAGTGGGGAGAGCTGGGGAAGCTCTGGCTTGGGCTGGGGCCACATCTGTGAGGAGGTGAGCAGAGAGAGGTGGAGCTAGTCCTGAGCCTGGGGACCTGGGTAGGGAAGCCCAGACCTTCAGGTTGGGTCACGTACCCCAGCTGATTCTGGCTGTGGCTGGGGAAACTGAGGCCCAGAAACGGCCTTGGCTCACAGCAGGGACTGGAATCCTCATCTTGATACTTCCCGTTTTCGCTTTGCCCCCCGCTGCACTGAGGGGCTTCCCTGGCAGGGGTGTCAGTATGCGGGCAGGTCTGTCGAGGCTCTGCTTACCAAGTCCACCTGTGCTTGGACCCTGGTGGAGAAGGACAAACCCTATGGTCAAGCACTGACAGTCTCCCCTGGTTTGGGAACATCCACGTGGACTCCGTTTTCTGTTGTGTGCGCAGTTTGATGAGGAAGCGTCTGCTTGCCTCTGATTCCTTCCACAGCCTATACAATTTCCGTCAGGTTTATTAATATAAGAGGGCAGCATCCTGTGTGCACAGATGACTTGTTATATTCACAGCTCTTGGGATGCTCCCTGCCCCGCAGCCTCGAACCCTCGATCCTGTCAAAGCCTGGAGCCCTTGGCTGCCCTGCCTGGCCAGTGTGGCTCCTTTCCCTGAGCTGTGATTTCAGCCTGGCCCTGGCCAGTGGCAGAGTCCATGGGCACATGGGGTGATTTGGTGGTGGGCAGCGGCCTCCACCTGAATAGGGCTGGTTTTGTCAGAAAACACCTTAAAATCACTCTCCGAGAAGAAAATATGTTTGATTTGGGGGCAGCAGGAAGAGTCTGGTGTCGTTTACAGTAGTTATATAGTTTTCAGCTCCTACTCTTTAAACCCTCTGCAGGAAGTAGAACAGAATTATCTGAAGCCTCTTTTCTGTTCTGCAAGAGTAGAATTTGTAATCATTTTGCCCGGACCAAAGCAGACACTTCTGTGAAATCCGCAGAGTTCACAGTTGTGGATGGAATTGCTCCCAAATGAATGGGTGTTTGAGCCACTCTATGAGTTCATTGTGGCTTCCATGGCAAATTACCACAAAGTTGGTGATGTAACACAACACAGATTAATTATCTTATAGCTCTGGAGGTCAGAAGTCCAAATCTGTCTCACCGGACTAACATCAAGGTATCAGAGGGCTGGTTCCTTCTAGAGGCTCGAGGAGACAGTCTGTTTCCTGCCTTTTCCAGCTTCCAGAGGCTGCCCTGGCCTTGGCCCCTGGCCTCTTCCTGTGTCCTCAAAGAGCATCTCTCTGGCCTCTGCTCCTGTGGTCGTATCTCCTTCTCTGCCTCTGAGCCCCAACTCTTCTCTCTTATAAGGACCCCTGTGATCACATTGGGCCCCTGAATAATAATCCAGGATAATCTTCCATGTCAAGATCCTTAATGTAATCACACCTGTGAAGTCCCTTTTACCATATAAGGACACTGTATTAGTCTGGTCTCATGCTGCTAATAAAGACATACCTGAAACTGGGTAATTTATAAAGGAAAGAGGCTTAATGGATTCACAGCTCCACGTGGTTGGGGAGGCCTCATGATCATGGCAGAAGGCAAATGAGGCGCAAAGGACACATCTTACATGACAGCCGACAAGAGAGCTTGTGCAGGGGAACTCCCCTTTATAAAACCATCAGATCTCATGAGACTTATTCACTATCACGAGAACAGCATGGGAAAGACCCACCTCCATGATGCAGTTACCTCCCACCAGGTCCTTCCCAGGACATGTGGGAATTATGGGAGCTACAATTCAAGATGAGATTTGGGTGAGGACACAGCCGAACTATATCGGTCACATAGGCTCAGTTCCAGGCATTAGGACTGGGCATTTTTGGGGGCCATTATTTGGATACCACTGCCAGCAAAGCCCTTCCCCTGGCTCAGCCTCTCCAATCCCCCTCACTGCCCTGGGAAGTGGAGGGAAAGGGTCTGCGTCCCCATTTCATGGAGATGTCCAGAGGTTGTAAAGTGAGTGTCAGAGCTCAGTGGAACCAGGGTGTCCCTATTCCAAGTCCAAAGCTGTTTCTGCCAGCTCACACAAACCCACCCTGTCGACAGGCTCCTGCCCAGTGACCAGGCATGTGGTCACTGGCTGCCAATGAGGCCCATGTTTTAGACCTGGTGCCACTATCTGCCTAAGGTTGCACCGTCAGTAAGTTTCTTAACCTCCCTGTGTCTCAGCTTTCTATAGATATCAACATTCTTCTCTCATAGGTTATTTGTGAGGGAAAAACATAATTCTCTAAACCACTTAATAAATGTTGGATATGTAGTAGCTGTCACTGTTATTAATAACAATAGGGCAGGCTCATGCCTGTAATCCCAGCACTTTGGGAGGCCAAAGCAGGAGGACTGCTTGAGCCCAGGAGTTTGAGACCACCCTGGGCAACATAACTGGGTTGGAACTGCATCAACAGGAGGGCTCATCTCGCTACACTGGACCCTGGTTATGGCCACTTTGATGAGCAAAAACCAGGACAACAGATTAATTGCTCTGTGATGAAGTGCACAGGCTGATGGGAACAGCGGGGCAGTCTTGGGGAGCCCAAGATATTCCCAGGGTGCTTGGTGCTACTGGGGGCAGTGACTCAGGGACCTGGCCCCCAGTGCTTTAGTGTCTACTGTGGCTATGTTTGAAATTGATGTTGGTGTTGGTGGTGGGTGTCCCAGGCCTGGGAATCTGGTTCCAGTGTGTCTCCGCCCCCTCCCCACCTCTATGAAGGTGAAGGCCCCCCAGGGTTAAGCCCAACTGGCTGCGTTTTAACAGGGTTGGGGAGGGGCCATCCCTGCACCATGGGGTGAATGGCCCCTCAGTTCTCCTGCCTTTCTGGCCTTGATCACTGGGCCCTTGTGCTGACCTGACTCTGTGCCCTGATTGTCTGGGCAGCCAGCTCCTTCAACCAAGTGCTGTCCTGAGGTTGTCTCGGGTCCATAAATGCCTTGTTAAAATCGCTGGGAACAAGAATACTTTATGTTGCTGGCGACTCCAGCCCAGGCCGTTAAGTCTGTCCCGACACAGGCTGGGGCTCCCGCGGCCCAGCTCCGGGGCTTTGTGTAGTCCCGAGGCTAAGCCCTTTGCAAGCCCCTAATTAGGGCTCCCGTGTCTCTGCCCCAGGCTGTGGTCCTCGGGGAGACCTCCCCTGGCCCGGCCTGCTGGGCTTGGCCCTGGAGTCAAGCAGTGCTGTCTCGGGCTTCCAGGGCTGGGCGGGGGCTTCTGGTTTACACTGTTCAGTACCTTCCACCCCTTCCTGTGCAGATTTCCTCCGTCAGCCTCGTGTCCCTTGATTCCTGTCCTCGGAAGCGACATTCTCCCACTGGGTGCTGCTTTTCTCCCTGTTTCACCATCTTCCTTGGCCTCATTCCCAGCTCAAATAAAGCCCTAATTCCCAGTAAGGAGGGGCTTTGACCATGACACAGGGCAGGCCATGGAGGGCCTGGCAGGTGGGACTGGACTTCTGATGCCCTCACACTGGAGGACAGGGGTGCGCTGGGTAGGAGTGTCCATGGGCAGTGAAGAGGGGAACTCAGGATCTTTCTCCTCTCAGGCGGATCCAGGCATTGGAGCGGGGGAAGGAGGTGGGCATGGAGGGGAAGGAGGTGGGCATGGAGGCATTGGAGGGGGGGAAGGAGGTGGGCATGGAGGGCATGGAGGGGAAGGAGGTGGGCATGGAGGCATGGAGGAGAGTTCAGACCCTGTTGCTGAGGTCTGGAGTCCAGCAGGAGCCCTCTGCTTTCCAGCTGTGTGACCCTGGCCAGTCCTGGCCCTCTCTGAGCCTGTTTCCTGATCTTGACTTAGGAAAATGACAAAAAGCTCTGTGTCGCTTGCTTCACTGGGCTGCTCCAGGGGCCGCTTCACAGTGTGTGACCTGTGCAGGCAGCACACAGGGCCCCGGCCTCAAGTTTCCTGCATTTGGGTTCATTCTGTCCAGTTGCTGTCCTGAAATGCTCGGTCATTTGGAAGAAGGGCCTGTGTTTTCATTTTGCATGGGGCCCCGTGAATTACGTAGCCAGTCTTGGCCAAGGGATGGCGGGGGGCTTGCTGGGTGGAAGGCTAGGGTGTCTGGGGGAGGCTGGGTGGTTGCAGTGGGGCCAGGCCTGGGCAGTCATGCCGAGTGTGTACGGGGTGGGCTGCAGCCGGCACAGGGCCCAGCACCACTGTAAGGGCTTTGACTTTTACTCTGAGGGAAGCAGGAAACCACAGGAAGGTCTGAGCAGAAACCCCTGACTTACTCTCTGGCCCAGAGCACTGCAGGATCCACCTGGCTGTCACGTGAAGAGGAGACTCCAAGGGCAGAGGCAGGGAGGTCGTTGGGAGGCTGCTGAGGAGCTCAGAGAAAGACGCTGGGGGCTTAGGCTTGCTGGGAGCTGGGATGGTGGTGGGAAGGGGGTTTTGGGATACACTTTCAAGGTGGAGCCAACAGGACTTGTAATGAATTAGGTGTCATGCAGATTTCCAACTGGAAGGCTGGCTGGATGGAGTTGTCATCCACTGGGGGAAGGCTGTGGAGGAGCATGTCTGGGGGAAAGATCAGGAGCTTGATTTTGAAAGGCTGGTATGAGACGTCCTGGTAAGAAGCTCCTCAGAACACCGTTGACAATTCCACCCCTCCCAACCCTTCCTCTCCCTGCTCCTTGAATTAGGAATGGTCTCCTAACTTGCTTTGCTTGATAGAGTGTGGAGGGAGGAGCCAGGCGTGATGGCACACGTCTATAGTCCTAGCTACTCAGCTACTGCGGCAGGAGGATTGCTTGTGTCTAGGAGTTTCAGTAGTGAGCTATGATTGTGCCACTGCACTCCAGCCTGGGTGACAGAGCAAGACCCTGCCTCAAAAAATAAAATAAAATAAAATAAAATAAAGAAAAAGAAAAGAAAAAACAGAGAATGTGGAGTAAATGAAGCTGTGCCAATTCCTGGTCTCACCTTGAACTCGAAGAGGCTTAGCAGTGTCCCCTCTTGCTTTCTTGGAAACCAGCTGCCATGCTGTAAGGAAGCTGAGGCAGACTGTGGGAGGAGGAGAAGCCACGTGGAGGAGAGCTGAGACCAACAGACAATCAGCACCAACTAACACGCAGGAGAGAAAGAGCTTCTAGTTCCAGCTGAGTTTCCAGAGAATGCAGCTGTGGGAGCCACTCTAGCCAACATCATACAGAGCAGAAGAACCATCCAGATGAGCTCCTGACCAACAGAATCACGAGAAACAATACATCACTCTTTTGGGACTCTAAGTTTTGGGGAGTTTGTTATGCAGTGATGGATTACCCCCATAGATGTCTGTTAGACATCCAAGCAGAAATACATCAAGCAGGAAACTGGATACGTGAGCCTGAGATTCAGGAGATCAATTCAATCGATTTGGGAGTTTCCAACATATAGATGACATTAAGCCTTGCAACTGAGTGAGATTAACAAGGTTGAGTGTGGACAGAGAAGAGAGGACCAGGGACTGAGTGCCAGGGCTCTTGGGTCTTTAAGTGGTCAGGGGATGAGGAGGAGCTGGTGTAGGGGAGAGCTGGGCCGTGCTGAGGCCGGGGGCCCTGGGCACACCTGTGCTGGCCTCTCCATGCCAAGCTGACCATACCTGGCATCCAGTCTCCCTCTCACTGCCTTTGCTCGTGATGGGTTTTCTGATTTATTCTTGCTTCTGTCTCAGACGAACACAAACACCAGCAGCTGAGAATGCCAGCTGTCCTCTAAGCCACATCCCTTCCCATCTTCTCTGA
The DNA here is from genome assembly GCF_000001405.40 of Homo sapiens. Lineage (NCBI taxonomy): Eukaryota > Metazoa > Chordata > Mammalia > Primates > Hominidae > Homo > Homo sapiens. The sequence continues at coordinate 124,365,527 of NC_000010.11, read as the reverse complement.
GTTGGGGTCCCAGCACCCTCATTCATCCTCACCCCATCGCAGCGCAGAGTTTGCTGATGATTCTGTGTCTCAAGCTTGAGGTTGAATCCCGAGTCCTCTGTTGGCCCCACTGCGGGTGGGAGGAGTTCAGTTCCCTGCAAGGAGCTGGGCTCCCTCACTAGGAACACTGGGCTCCCTTCTTCCTGGTGGAGAGAGAAGTAGCTGTCAGGTCCCAGGGCTCTGAAGGGGAAGAATGAGGTTTGGAATAGAAGAGCAGGCAGGTGGGGTAGGCAGAGAGCAGGCCGACGGGCTGGTAGGGCAGGCTGGTTGGACGCTCAGGCCTCGTGAGCTCTGAGGTCCTAGTGGCGTGACAACAGGGGAGACACAAGCTCCAGATGATGACTTCTTTGGGGAAACATCAAATTACACTTGGTATCCTGTGGGTAATTAAATAAATAATGGAATAAGGTGAAATGTGGGAGCATGAGCTCGTTCCTCCGAGTGTTATTATTCTGAATGTTACAATGAAAAACTGGTGCTTGAAGGGGTACATTTTATTTGCCTGGAAGATTCTAAGATGTGCTTAGCTCACTCCATGCTTTTATGAAGCAGGCTTCTTTATACCACGGCCAGGTGTGTGTGTGGAACGGCCTGTATTGTCAGGGAGCCTTCATGTCCCTTTGCTCAGCTGGCACCTGGGAGGCCTGGTTTGTTTGCACTTAGGTGTGGTGGCTCCTGTCCTTTCTCAGGCCCTCCCTCCCCTCTTCTCCCTCCCTGCTCCCTTCTTTCCCACCATCCCTTGCTTCTTCTATGGATTCCACAGGCATCCCTCAGCCCCTGTGCCATTGGAGGGGCACCAGCCGGTCCTGAGGCCCTGCTGCTCAGCCAGTAAATGAGTGCCATCCCTTGTCAGGGCACTAGCTGATCCTGAGGCCTCGCTTCTCAGACAGTAAATGAGTGCCACCCCTTGTCAGGGCCCCTTCTCAAGGTCCTGAGGCCATCTGGTTCCTCACCCACCACTGCTGCTGCAGGAGGTAGATGGCCACCCCTCCCCATCCAAGCATGCCTGCGAATCCCTGAAATCAGGAGCGTCTCTCTTTCCCCTTCACTCTGCAATGATCAGGACTGAAATCCAATGAGCAAGAAATAAGACTCCGAAGTTATTCAGACAGCACCTGGACTGTGGCTGTCACCTGGTCGACATCTGGGGCATCTTTTTCAGACTCTGTGCTCCCAGAGACTCTGGGGCTCACCCTCAGTGTATGCCGGGTTCCCAGGGGGGTTTGCTGAGAGGTGGAGTGGGTGTATGGGACAGGCAGACCCACCTGCCGCCCAGGCACTGCTATTGTTCACCTGACTGGGTTGCTCTGAGCCACCACCTCCATTTCTGGTTGGTGTCTCTGGCAAAGGGGTAGAGGGGTGGGTGGGTGGAAGGTCAGGTGTGCCAGAGGCCTCAGAGGCAGTCGGACAATGCAGATGGCCCTTGGAGACACAAGGGCCTGAGTCTAGCTGTGTTGTTGAGGAAGCTGGTCTGTAGACAGATGAGCCTACAGGTGCTGGGCTAGGGCTGGCGGACGAGAGAATAATGGAAGGGGCATGCTGGGAAGGCCCTTTGGTGCTTACCTGGTTGCAGGAAAGATCCCGACTTCTGCATTGCAACAAAGACCCCGAATTTGCGTGGTGGGAAATGTCTGGGTTGGTCCTCATCCATGTGACCGGTGCTGTCTGCACAGCGCACACCTTTCTTCTTTCCTGGGGTCCGCAGGTCCGCCGAACTGAGCTGACCACCCAGCTGAGGACCTGCCCCTTCCCCAGCAGCCTTGCACTTTGGTTTTATTTATTATTTTTTCCCTTCCTCCTCCCTCCTCCCTCCCATTTTCCTCCTCCCAAGAATACCTGCTTTCATGCTTTTATATTCTTCCGATCCACTTTCAACACATAATACACTTATTTTAAAATAAGTGACTCCTTGAAAATATATAGTGCTATTTTGCGGGTGTTTTAAAATTTACATAAATAGTATTGGCCCATAAATCTCATCCCTTTCTTCCTTGTTCCGTCAGATATTATGTTTTTGAGATTGGGCCTTTTGCTATGTGTAAGTCTGGTTCAATCCATCTGATGACTGCATGGACTTGCCAGTGTGTGAGTTTACTTAAAAACAAAGTCCAGGCCGGGCGCGTGTAATCCCAGCACTTTGGGAGGCTGAGGCGGGCGAATCATGAGGTCAGGAGTTTGAGACCAGCCTGGCCAATGTGGTGAAACCCCATCTCTACTAAAAATACAAAAAATTAGCTGGGTGTGGTGGGGGAGCTCCTGTAATCCCAGCTACTCGGGAGGCTGAGGCAGGAGAATTGCTTGAACCCGAGAGGCGCAGGTTGCAGTGAGCTGAGATTGAGCCACTGCACTCCAGCCTGGGGGACAGAGCGAGACTCTGTCTCAAAAATAAATAAATAAATAAATAGTCCAGGTGCAGTGGCTCATGTCTGTAGTCCCAGCACTCTGAGAGGCCAAGGTGGGAGGGTCTCTTGAGGCCAAGAGTTCAAGACCAGCCTGGGCAACATAATGAGACCCCCCTCTCTACAAAAACAACCAACCAACCAACTAAAAATTAAAGAAACCACAAACCTTTTTCGTTCCTGGGCGATGGCCTCTCCATTGCCTGCTACTCTTTGTGGAAAGCAATGCTGTGCTGAGCGTCCTTCTCTGTATCTTCTTGTGGGTTGTGCAAGAATGTCTTTGGGATGTAAACGCAGGAGCCGCATCTCTGTGTCGCGGGGGGATGCGTGCCTCTCACCTATGCTCCTGGATGGCTCTCTGCAATGCCTGCATGTTCTTCCCACCAGCGGGAGATGAGGAATCCCATTTCTGCAAACCACAGCTGCACTGGCTATCATTTGACCATCTATTTTCTGCAAAGGTGGCAGCAAGGTGCGATCTCCTTTTCATTTCCATGTCTCTGGTTACTAGAGAGGTGGAGCTCCTCATTTACTTTGTGACAACAGGATTTCCTCTGCTGCTAATTGTCTGTTCATAACATTTTTTCATCTTCTTCAAGGGTTGACTGTCTTCAACTTGCTGATTTATAGGAGTTACTTGAATAATTTGGGTAATAATGCCTCATCAATTTCAGGCATTGAATAAAAAGTTCTCCCAGTCTGTCATCTGTTTACTTTGTCTGTGGTATTCTTTAACAAGTAGAAAGCTTTTTTTTCTTTTTTTTTTTGAGATGAAATCTCACTATGTCACCCAGGCTGGAGTGCAGTGGCACAATTTTGGCTCACTGCAACCTCTGCCTCCTGGGTTTAAGCAATTCTCCTGCCTCAGCCTCCCGAATAGCTGGGATTATAGGTGTATGCCACCATGCCTGGCGAATTTTTGTATTTTTAGTAGAGATGGTGTTTCATCATGTTGGCCAGGCTGGTCTTGAACTCCTGACCTCAGGTGATCTGCCTGCCTCAGCCTCTCAAAGTGCTGAGATTGCAGGCGTGAGCCACCGTGCCCAGCCAGCAAGCTTTAATTTTGATGAAGTTGATTCTGTCATTTTTCTTCTCATAGTTTATTCTTTCAGTGACTTCTTTAAGAAACTCTTTCTGAGGCTGGGCAAGGTGGCTCATGCCTGTAATCCCAGCACTTTGAGAGGCCAAGGTGGGAAGATCGCTTGAGGCCAGAAGTTGAGGACCAGCCAGGGCAGTATATCGAGACAATGTCTATACAAAAAATAAAAACTAAAAAAAAATAGCTGGGTTTGGTGGCATGTGCCTGTGGTCCCAGCTACTTGGGGGGCTGAGGTGGGAGCATTGCTTGAGTACAGTACCGGAGGTCAAGGCTGCAGTGAGCTGTGATAGTGCCACTGCACTCCAGCCTGGGCAACAGAGCAAGACTCTGTCTCAAAATAAAATAAAATAAAATAAGATAAAAAACAAACTCTGAGACCATAAAACTTTTTTTTTCTTTTATTAGGTTTTTTTTTTTTTTTTTGAGTTGGGGTTTCACACTTGTTACCAAGGTTGGAGTGCAATGGCATGATCTTGGCTCACTGCAACCTCCACCTCTTGGGTTCAAGCAATTCTCCTGCCTCAGCCTCTCGAGTAGCTGGGATTACAGGCTCCCGCCACCGTGTCCTGGTAATTTTTGTAGTTTTAGTAGAGACGGGGTTTCACCATGTTGGCCAGGCTGGTCTCAAACTCCTAACCTCAGGTGATCCACCTGCCTCGGCCTCCCAAAGTGCTGAGATTACAGGTGTGAGCCACCACACCTGGCCTTTTATTAGCTTTATAATTAACTTTCACCTGTAGTCCTTAAACTGTTTGGAATATGTGTGTGTGTATATGATACATTGTATTATAATGCATTAGTATTATAATGTATATATTAGTATTATAATGTATAATGTATTAGTCTATTCTCACACTACTATAAAGAAATATCTGAGATTGGGTAATTTGTAAAGAAAAGAGGTTTAATTGGCTCATGGTTCTGCAGGCTGTACAGGAAGCATAGTGGCTTCTGGGGAGGCCTCAGGAAACTTACAATCATGGCAGAAGGCAAAGGGGAAGCAAACACATCTTACATGGCCAGAGCAGGAGCAAGCGAGAAAGAGCAGGGAGATGCTACACACTTCTAAACAACCAGATCTTGCAAGAACTCACTCACTATGATGAAAACAACACCAAGGGAGGATGGTGTCAAACCATGAGACCCACCCCCAAGATTCAATCACCTCCCACCAGGCCCTACCTCCAACACTGAGGATTACAATTGAACATAAGATTTGGGTGGGGAAACAGATCTAAACCATATCATATATGACATTATTTTATGTTATATGCACATACGTGTTTTTCAGCTTTTATATTCTTGTATTTGTGTACAAGGTGAACATTTTACAAATGCCATTGATAGTTGCATCTAAAGAGCTTTTAGTGTTTTTTTCTTCTACATAACCTACACCAATAATAAAAAAATCCCCCCCCCTTTTTTTTTACATTTTAAAAACATATTATTATTTTAAGTAGAGACAGGGTTTTGGCATGTTGTCTAGGCTGGTCTTGAACTCCTGGGCTCAAGCAATCCACCCACTTTGGCATTCGAAGTACTAGGATTACAGGCGTGAGGCACCACACCCAGTCAATTTTTTTGTTTTGTTTTGTTTTGTTTTTTGAGACAGGGTCTCATTCTGTCACTCAGGCTGGAGTGCAGTGACATAATCACAGCTCACTGCAGCCTTGACTTGCTGGGCTCAAGTGACCCTTCCGCCTTACCCTCCCATGTAGCTGGGACTACAAGTGTGCGCCATCATGCCTGGCTTATTTATTTATTTAAGACAAGGTCTTACTCTGTCACCCAGGTTGGAGTGCAGGGGCACGACCTTGGCTCACTGCAACCTCCACTTCTTGGGCTCAAGTGATTCTCGTGCCTCAGCCTCCTAAGTGCCTGGAACTACAGGCATGAGCCACCTGGCTAATTTTTGTATTTTTTGTAGACATGAGGTTTTGCCATGTTGCCCAGGCTGGTCTCAAATTCCTGGGCTCAAGTGATTTACCCACCTGGCCTCCCAAAGTGCTGGAATTACAGGAGTCAGCTACCACACTGGGCCTTCCCTATTCTAAAAGAAGTAAATAGTCAGGATAAACACTTTTCTTCATAATTCCTTTTGTCTTCTTACTCTTGCGATGCGGCCTTACTGGAGTTGGAGTTGTTCATTTTGGGTAGTTTACCTCTGTCTTTTTAGAAGTCGAATGCTTCAGTTGCTTATCTTTGAAGCAGCCTGATTATTTGCTTGCTTAATTCAGTGTAAAGAGTTCAGAAACCTGCTTTCCACTTAGAACTTGTTTCTTTCAATCACTTTTCTGTGTAGGAAAAGTTTGAATTACATAAGTATTTAATATGCATTAAACATTGAAAAATGTCATGAATATATGTGAAAATTATCAGACACACTGCAATACCCAGACCAGTGATTGTCCAGTAGCCAGCACAATATTTTGGTGGCATATGTGGCCAGTGAGTCATGCTTGAGCTAGGGGCTGTTCCCTGGCAGTGTAGCTTGTGTATGCTAGGAGCCAAGCTCTTCTCCACATAGCAAGCTCGTATCTCCAACATCAATTACTAAATAATTCATTTTTTCCCTCCTTGACTTTTGATGCCACATCCATCATTTTGGTCTGATCCTGGAATTTCTATTCTGTTTCTTTGATCTGTTTCTGATATATTTCTCTTGCCAACACTACTTGTTTGATCTTTTTTTAAAAAAGATCGTTTTAGCCATTCATGAATCTTTATTTGTCAGATGAATTTTTGAATTGATTTGTTACATTCCCGAAAATATGTGGCTGTGCTTTTGGCTAGATTTAATGTAATTTAATGTAATTGTTTTTAACTTACAGATTAGCTTGAGGGAAATCACCCTTGGCAGTGCTAAGTGAATAGGTCCATTTCACCACTGCTCACATATCATTTTGTACCCTTAGTAGATGCAAAATTTTCTCCATACAGATATCATGCATTCTCTGGTAGGCTAATTCCTAGACACTTTATATTTTTTGCTGCTATGACCAATGCTATTATATCTTTGGCTACATTTTTCCCGTGGATTTTTGCTGGAGTGGACAAGCATAGTTGTTTTTTGTAGGTTGAGTATATGTCTGGTAACCATGCTGAAGCCTCCTGTTATTTCTTACAGTTTGTTGTTCCTCTTGGGTTTTTATTTTCTTTCATGGCTACTGATCTATTCAACTTTTCTATTTCCTCTTGCACCAGTTTTGGCACTTTGTTATTTTTTTTTTTCCAGAAATGTATCCATTTCATCTGCTTTTAAGTTTTGGTTTGTAGCTGTGAATAATATTTCTTAATTATTTCACTTAAAACTATTGCTATGTGTGGTTGGGTGTGGTGGCTCGTGCCTGTAATCTCAGCACTTTGGGAGGCTGAAGTGGGTGGATTACTCGAGGTCAGGAGTTTGAGACCAGCCTGACCAACATGGTGAAACCCGTCTCTACTAAAAATACAAAGAAAAAAAAAATTAGCTGGGCGTGGTGATGTGCACCCGTAATCCCAGCTATTTAGGAGGCTGGAGGCTGAGGCATGAGAATTGCTTGAACCTAGGAGGCAGAGGTTGCAGTAAGCTGAGAGATCACTCCATTTGCACTCCAGCCTGGGTGACAGAGTGAGACTCTGTCTCAAAAAAAAAAAAAAACCACCCCCAAAATCCAAAATGATTGCTATATGTGAGTTATTTTGTTTTCATTTTCTATATTTGTATTTTGACTTTTTTTTGACATTCCTGTTTTGTTCTCGAGTTTATTGAATTCTGCCCTTGTCTATTTTCTTATGCCCTTTTTGCCTTGAGTTGACCGTTGTTTATTTTAAGCTCCTTGAGTTGAACTCATTTGTTTTCAGTTTTTCTTGTTTTCCAATTAAACGTATTAAAAGCTTTGAGTTTTCCTCTAAGAACAACTTTAATCATTACCCATGAATTTTTACACGTAGTACATTCATGATTATTCAGCATCTTTGCCATTTCAGCTATTCAGTACATCATCTTTCTCTATGACTTTCTTGTGAACTCGAGTTTTTTAAGTGACAGATTTGTTGAGTCTTCAGGCTTAAAAAAAAAAAAGTTATTCGACTTGAAAATGACCTGCCAGAAGGTGACGCCAGCCCAGAGGTAAGTGCGGCTGAGGGAGGTGTGGGAGGTGGAGTGTTTGCAGCCTCATGGGACCCCAGAGTCCTGACAATGAAGTCGTCTCCCCCATTCATCCAGGGTAGGGAAGGCTGCCTGTCACCTGCAGCAGAAACACATCACAGCCTGGGGCTGCGGAAAGGCTGCGGAGCTCTGTGTCTGCTCATGCCTCCACCATCAGGCGTGGGTGGGTCCAGAGCAGCCCATCAGGTCAGGTTCGGGGTGGGGGCTGGGTAGCGCCTGCCCGAAGGGGGCTCATACACATGTGGGTGGAAGCTGGAGGGCCGCAAACCTCTGGAGTGGAACTCATCCAAGGAGAGCGTTAGCATTAATAATATGAAGAACAACAGCAGCCGCTGAAATCTCTTAAGGAGGATAGTTCTGTGCCAACTACTGTTCTAAAGTCTTTGCAGGTATTAACTTGTTTAATCTTCACAACAGCCTACATGATAGGCGCTACTATATCCTCAAGTGCAGAGACTGAGGCCCAGAGAGGTTAAGAAAGTTGCCCAAGGTGATCAGCTAGCGATGAATAGAGCTGGGATGAAGTCCAGGGGTCTGAGCCGGTCAGACCTGGGTCCCTCCTGGTAAGTAACCTCCATGCTGCCCTGCCTCTCCAAAGGATACTGAGCGAAGGCTTCCCCTTTCTGGCAGAGGAGAGGCTCCCTCTGCTGCTTCCACAGTGAGCCCAGGTTCCGGGTTGTCCTTTCCTCGTCTCTTTGGTTGACTGACGCCTTGATTCCTGGCTGGGCGGAGCCGCACCCTCTTGGGGCTGGCTGTTTTCCATTTGTTTGGCCTCGAGAGAAGCCCCCCAATACACCACATGCCATTTGGATCTCTAGCTTGTATCAGAAAGCTCAACTCAGACTGGCTTCAGCAAAACATGAGATTTTATTGGCACCTGAAACTCAGCTATCATGAATGATTTGCTCCAGGGCTCAAATGATGTAACCAGGACTTGGCTCCTCTCTCTTCTTTTCTTGGCTCTATTTCCTTGGTATTGGCATGTTTTCATTCAGACGCTCTTCTCATGGGCACAGAATGGCTGCCAGAGTTCCTGGGGCTACATTGTTTTCCATTTGTGTCCAGTGGGAAAGGTTGAGTCTCTTTGAATTGCTTTCTTATGGAAGAAGGGGCCTTGTTGATTTTGATTGGCTTGGGTTCCCATTCCAAAACCAATCACTGAGGCCTGGTAAAATGGAAAATGCTGATTGGCTTAGAAAATAAGATCCACCTCTGGATCTAGGGGAGCGGGTCATTAGCTTGAAATGTGAAATGGAGAATGGAGAAGAGAACACATTGGACAAAGAGGAACGCTGGTCTTTCTAGAGGAAGAGCAGACCACGGATTCTGGGGAGGCAGCCAGTAGGTGAGGTCGTGCCCTGTCCTGGCTGCCGTCGGACATGTTTCTCTCTGATTACTGAAGTAACTAACACATGTTCATGATTGAAAACTGGAAAATGCAGGGAAAGACAAAGAAGAAATTGCAAACCATTCCTTATTCCACAGTTCAGAGATAACTACCACTAGCATTTGTGCCTGTCCTTATGTCTGCTATATTTCTCTGTATTTATATACATATATTTTGTTTTTTTAAAATTTTATTTTTACTTTCGTGGGTACATAGTAGGTGTATATATTTACAGGGTGCATGAGATGTTTTGATACAGGCATTTTATGCATAATGATCACATTATGGAGAATGGGGATCCATCTCTTCAAGCATTTATCCTTTGTGTTATAAACAATCAAATTACACTTTCAGTTATTTTAAAATGTTCAATTAAGTTATTGACTATAGTCACTCTGTTGTGCTATCAAATAGTAGGTCTTATTCTTTCTTTTTTTTTTTTTTTTAATTTGAGATGGAGTCTCGCTCTATTGCCCAGGCTGGAGTGCAGTGGCGCAATCTCGGCTCACTGCAACCTCCACCTCCCGGGTTCAAGTGATTCTCATGCCTCAGCCTCCCGAGTACCTGGAGTTACAGGCGCCCACCACCACGCCCGGATAATTTTTGTATTTTTAGTAGAGACGGGGTTTCACCACGTTGGCCAGGCTGGTCTCGAACTCCTGACCTCAGGCGATCCGCCCACTTTGGCCTCCCAAAGTGCTGGGATTACAGACTTGAGCCACCACGCCCTGCCTCATTCTTTCTATTTTTTTTGTACTAATTAAGCATCCCCCCTCTCCCTGCCCCCACCCCTAACTATCCTTCCCAGCCTCCGGAAACCATCCTTCTACTTTCTATGTCCATGAATTCAATTGTTTTGATTTTTAGATCCCACAAATAAGTGAGAATGCATGACATTTGTCTTTCTGTGCCTGGCTTATTTATGTACATGTGTTGAAAATAAAGCTCGGATCTAATTCTATTTTTTTCAATTTGCTTTTCACTTTAAAAATAAAAGGGGAATACTTTATCACTGTCATTACATATTCTCCCAGTCATTAAGTTTTTGACTGTATCATATTCCATCTTATTAATGGGTCGTCATAGGCCAATCATTTTAATTTCCTTGGAGAAAAAGAAAGTTTTGGTTGCATCAGTTCATTCATTCATTCAGCCTGTATTTATTGAACACTCCCAGCATGCGCAGTGCTGGCTGCTCCCCTGGGTCCTGCCTTCCCCGTGCCTGGCCCGAGGAGGGCGGGGCCCTGGGTTCTGAACGCCGGCCTCCCCAGCCTGTGGAGAATATTTCAACACCATCTGTAGCCTTTTGAACTCCACTCCAGTCAATGCCGATAACGAGAGCGATGAGCCTCATTCTTCTATGTGTTTTTAGAAAATTAGAAAACATCGCCATAAAAAGTTAAGAAGCACCGCGATGATTCAGCCACCAGCAGAGTTTACACTTCCGGCTCTCATCCCACAGCTGCCTCCCCCGAGGAAATCAAATGTGCTTCTCATTAGCGGAGCTTTTGAAGAGAAAGCTGAGCTCTGGGCTTTTTGAGATAAGGGAAAAGAGGGAGATGAGGCTGTTCAACGTGCGGAATGAATGAGCGGGTGGTGGGAAGCACGAGGCCTGCGGGGGGAGGGGATGGGGCGATCGGGAGCATAAAACGTGGTCCTCCCTCTGACTGCCTTCTCCTCAGTCCCAGGGACTCAATGAGCCAGTTTTCTGTCATCGTATTAACTTCATGGAATGGTTGAAAATGTCCCAGTTCCAGAGAACATGCCATTTCCCCCAGCTCTGCCTGGAAGCATCTGGGACCTGGGCTCCGGTCAGTGGCCTGGGTTTGAATCCCAGCTTCACCTGTCCTCAGTGGGGAATCTGGGGCGTGTCTGAGCCTCAATGGCTGCAGCTGAGACATGGGAATAATATCACCTACGCTAAAGGACCATAGTGAGACTCAAACGACACAGAAGTGCCTCCATCCTGTCTCCTCTATCATGGACCACTTCTTTGAGTCCTTCCTTTGCCAAACTCTCAGTCTTTGTCCTCTATCTTGGTTTGGTTTCCTCACTCCTAAAGCAGACCCTGAGACCGGCATTGGAGGGAGGGGGATGTATTTGGGAGGTGATCCTGGAAGCACCTGTCGTGGAGAGGTGAGCCCGGGAAGGCTCACTATTAGGGGCAGCTGACCCCTCTCCCCCGGGGGGTCTCGGGAAGCAGAAGCCTGGGGCATCCCACCAGAGGGGTGAGGTTGCTGGGAGCTTTCGCCGCCAGCAAATCTGCTCAGCTCACAGGTTGAGTGCCTCCCCCAGGCCTGTATTTCGCGGTGCTCTGGGCCTATAGATGTCCTTGGCAACCTGCATTGCCTGGGAATTCCCCTGATGGGCACAGGGCTGGTTCAAATCCTTGCGCACTTAGTGAGCACAGCTAAGGAAGAAGCTGGGACAAAGACAAGGGACCCAGGAGGGAGATGGGAGGCCACTCACGGGACGGCGGCCTGAGCTCTCAGTAAGTGGCAAGATTAGATTTCCTTTCACCATCCTCAGCGCTTCTTTGAGAATTTGCCTGTCTCAGCTGTGCTCAGAGGAAAAATGATTTTCTTCTCCTTCGCGGGGCTGGGAGTGTTGGTGGCAATGCATGAGAGCTGAGTGGGGGATTTTCTTTTCCTTCGTGGGGCTGGGAGTGTTGGTGGCAATGCGTGAGAGCTGAGTGGGGCAGTGTTGGCCTGGATCTCGGGGCCATGGAGCCTTCAGGGGCTTGAGACCACAGCTGTCCTGTGGTGGGGTGGGGGGGACTCCTGCTGCAGGGACACTGGTGATGCCAAGTTTCACCCAGGGTGGGTCGTGGCTTCCTCTGCTCCCCCAGCCTGTGCCTCAGGGTCTCTGGCTGCAGCATGGAGCTTCAGGGTGGGCATATGGTTTGGAGCCGGGAGGAACTATCCCCCGTGGTCTGGAATGTTGGGAAGACCTCATTCCTGCACCCCTAAACCCACGCGTGTGATCCAAGGGGACCTGTGCAGGATGAGGAGCCTGTCATGGGCTGCCCTGGGAGAGGCTCTTACCCACCTTGGCCAGTACTCTCTGCACCCATGGGGCTCAGGCTCGGAGGATCTCCCACGGGGACTGAGGGGCAGGTGGCCATGCCTGGACTCTTGAGGGCGGGATCTCCAGAAGCTGCCTGACCCAAGGAGGAGCCAGAGGAAAGGAGGACAGGAAGGGGCCGGCGGGAGGGAGCTGGGGTCGGGGGAACACTCTGAGGACACCTTCCCTGGACTGAGACTGCCCTGGAGATGGGCTTCTGGCCCACGAGGCAGCCTTGTGAGAGGAGAAGGAGGTCTGCAGGGCTGGATGTTCCCAGGAACCTCCCCATGTAGCTGGGGGTTTGGGGGGAGGCCTTGAGGAGTCAGGTCCTTGCCCAGAACAGGCACCCCAGGCGTTGGGCCAACAGGACCGGTGACTATGGTCTTTTATCAGGTCCAGGGACATTTCTCCACCCTCTTGTGCTATCCTTAATCCTTACCCAAGGATTATCTTGGCTGTTCAATTGCATTTTTTCTTTTTCTTTTTTTTTTTTGAGATGGAGCCTCGCACTGTTGCTGGGGCTGGAGTGCAGTGACTCGATCTTGGCTCACTGCAACCTCCGCCTCCCAGGTTCAAGCGATTCTCCTGCCTCAGCCTCCTGAGTACCTGGGATTACAGGTGCCTGCCACCACGCCCAGCTAATTTTTTTGTATTTTTAGTAGAGACGATGTTTCACCACGTTTGCCACACTGGTCTTGAACTCCTGACCTCATGATTCTCCTGCCTCGGCCTCGCAAAGTGCTGGGATTACAGGCATGAGCCACCATGCCCGGCCCTTCAATTGCATTTTAATAATGTCTTGGTCTTTCTGATTTAGTTGGAGAGGACACCCTGGGCTCTCAATGATAATGATAATATTAAGAAGACTGAAATAATTAACACGATGATGATAAGTCTCTTATTACATGGCCTTTAACTGCAAAATTCTTTCTTATGAATTCTCATTTAATCTTCATAAAACTCCAAGAAGTTGGTATTTTTGTCTCCTTTTTTTTTTTTTTTTTTTTTAGATGGAGTTTCCTTCTTTTGCCTAGCCTGGAGTGCAGTGGCATGATCTCAGCTCACTGCAACCTCTGCCATTTGGGTTCAAGCGATTCTCCTGCCTCAGCCTCCCAAGTGGCTAGGATTATAGGCACCTGCCACCATGCCCAGCTAATTTTTGTGTTTTTAGTAGAGATGAGGTTTCACCATGTTGGCCAGGCTGGTCTCGAACCCCTGATCTCAGGTGATCCACCTGCCTCGGCCTCCCAAAGTGCTAGGATTACAGGCGTGAACCACAGTGCCTGGCCTTTGTCTCCATTTTTATATTGCAGAAACTGAGGCTCAGAGAGGTTGGGTAACTCGCTCAAGGTCACACAGCATGAAGATGGCAGAGCTGGTGCTGCCTCATTGGCATGTTGGTGCCCCGCCTTGGGGTGTGTGTGCATGCATGTATCTGTGTGAGCATGTGTATGTGATCACTGCAGCTCCCTGCTGCAGTCCATCCTGGGTCCTGAAGATAAACAGGGGTCTCTTCCAGCTGGGTCCCCATGTTCCCTGGATACTTCTTGGTTAGAGAGGCATGAGGCAAGAGAGGGGCACTTCCAGAGGAGGGCACCGAGAACCCACTGTCTGGCCTGGCAGTTTGCCTGGGCAGGGCCTGCCAGAGGGCACCGAGAACCCACTCTCTGGCCTGGCAGTTTGCCTGCGCAGGGCCTGCCAGAGGGCACCGAGAACCCACTGTCTGGCCTGGCAGTTTGCCTGGGCAGGGCCTGCCAAAGGGCACCTCCAGCCACAAGAAGGAAATGAATCTGGCTGTCCAGAAAATGTGAGCAGGTGGGTGTCCAACAGTGCACTGATTACTTTGCATGAAGCAAATCTCTTCCCTTTGCTGAGTCTCCATTTGCTCATGTGTGAAATGGATGCCCGTATCTGGCAGGGAGGTTGTAAGGATTCACTGGGGTAACAAACATGACTGTACAGTTGACCGATAAACAACACAGGGGTTAACAAATCCATGTATAACTTTTAAGTTCCCCCAAGCTTAACTACTAATAGCCTACTGTTGACCAGTAGCCTTACTGATAACATAAGCACTCAATGAACACATATTTTGTATGTTATATGTATTACTTTATTCTTACAATAAAGTAGAGAAAAGAAAATTAAGAAAATCATAAGAAAGAGAAAATACATCTACTATTTATTAAGTGGAAGTGGATCATCGTAAAGGTCTTCATCCTCATTGTCTTTGCCTTGAGTTGGCTGAGGAGGAGGAAGAAGAGGGGTTGGTCTTGTTGTCTTGGGGTGGCTGAGGCAGAAGAAGCGGAGGAGGTAGATGAGAGGCGGGAGAGGCAGGCGCACTCATTGTAACTTCTATTGAAAACAAATCTGTGTATAAGAAGGGGTGACTGAGATGGCCCAGGGAGAGGGCAGGCTCAGAAGAGGGTTTGGGACGGACCTCGAGGAATCCCAACATTGAATGGACTGGACCAGGGAACCTGCCGGGGAGGGTAGGGATGGAGAAGGGAGCTGGAGGAGGAGACATGGGAGGGAGCAGAGCCCTGGGGGCCTAGGAAGAACAATTTCCAGAAGTCAGGGCGGGGCGTGGGGGCATTTTACAAACTAGAGCCCAGGCTACTTTAAAAAAAATTTTACTTTAAGTTCTGGAATACATGTGCAGAATGTGCAGGTTTGTTACATAGGTATACATGTGCCATGGTGGTCTGCTGCACCTATGAACCCATCATCTAGGTTTTAAGCCCCGCATGCATTAGGTATTTGTCCTAATGCTCTTCCTCCCCTTGCCCCCCACCCCCCAACAGGCCCCGGTGTGTGATGTGGAACCCAGCCTATTTTGACCCCTGTCCAGAGGTCCTTAGGACCCACTAGTGATCTCTAATTTCATCTCTAGGGCTCTGCAGTGACCCAGAACCTTTGCGTTTCTGCCCAGGCTGGAGAGGCACAAAGATCCTCACCTCTGGCTGGGTGCAGTGGCTCACGCCTGTAATCCCAGCACTTTGGGAGGCCAAAGTGGGTGGATCACTTGAGGTCAGGAGTTTGAGACCAGCCCGGCTAACATGGCAAAACCCCGTCTCTACTACAAAAATTAGCCAGGTGTGGTGGCACGTGCCTCTAATCCCAGCTACTTGGGAGGCTGATGCAGGAGAATTGCTTGAACCTGGGAGGTGGAGATTTCGGTGAGCCAAGATCACATCACTGCACTCCAGCCTGGGCGACAAGTGAGACTGTGTCTCAAAAAAAAAAAATCATTGTCACCTCCTTGGCTCGAAGCTGCAGTGGGGAGCTCTCCGTCTCCCTCCAGCCCTGCACTGTCCCGAGGCAGGCAGGATTCCTGAGGCATCAGGAAGGACAGGGCCATCTGACATATTTGTCTCACATGCATGCTTCACCTGCAGGGAGCCCTGGGTTGGCTTTCTAGGAATTTTGGGGGAACAAATTCGGGAGGAAGATGGAAGAGTGGCTGTCCTCAGAACCCAGAGGCGGGCTAGGCTGGGGGCTGGGTGGGACTGTGTCCTATTTTGAGGCAGGTAACATAAGAGGAGAAGGAGCTGGGGGGAAGGAGCTGTTGGGGTGCAGACCTGCTCTGGCCACAGGCCAGCTGACAGCCGTTCTAGCACTGTGCTGACCACAGGCTGACAAGCCCAGGAACACAGGGTCAGCTGTAAACCGGGCCTGACTTCTTTTCTTGCTGAGGCTGGCGGTTTCTGCACAGGGGTTCCCTGTCATTACCTGGGGCCTCCACCCTGCCCTGGAGCTTTGAAGTTGAGGGGCATCCTACCAAGGCCTGGTTACATGTGGCTGCTGTGGTGTCCCCCGTGGCTCCTGGTGCTGCCCGAGGCTGTGTGTGTGTGTGTGTGTGTCCGCGTGAGATAGAGACAGAAGGAGAACCAGCCTGGCTGTGCGAGCCGGGAGCTGGTCCCCTGCAGAAGCAGGACAGGGGAGAGCTTATGAGTTGGTTCCAGGTCGCTCTGCTAAGCCACACGCCAGGTTGGTGGCCAGCTCTCCCCCACTTCTCAGGGGCACACTGATATGAATGTGCAGTGTGTCCCTGCCAGGGACCATAAAGCTCTGCATGGCCAGCGGGGACCAAGGCGGACAGTGTTTGCCTTTCCCTCGAAAGAGAGATTTCCCAGTGCAGGTTGCCAAGGTGTGGGAAGCCTTCCCACTGCAGGGCGATTATGCAGCTATTTTCATGTGATCTTCGTTTATCATCCCCACTTTACAGATGAGGGAAGTGAGGCAGAGAGTGGCTTAACCTTACCTTGGATCAAGCTTGAACTTGAGGGTGTGGGAGGCCTGCCTGCTCAGGATGGATTTGGCCCCGTCCCAAGCCAGACGGCCACTTCGTGCTGCAGGAAGCACACGGTATCCAGGTTTCTCCCCAATCAAATCAATGACCCAATCTCAGGAGCACTCTTTGGGAGCCACTGGACCTTGTCCTCCGATTCCAGAGCTCTGGGTCTGCTCCAAGCTGCCCAGGCAATGATGAGATCAGGGGAAGGCAGGGCCATTCCCGAGCTTGGAGCATCCTTGGAGGGAGATTGGGCCTGGGCAATGCCTGGGTAGCTGGATCCCGTTTCACCACTTCCAGCTGTAGGATCTTAGGTGATTCACTTCATTGCTGTGTGACTGAGTTTCTCTATCTGTAAAATGATTATAGTACCTCCCTCATAGGGTTGCAGGGAGAAATATATTACCTGCAGAGGGCTGGGGGTGTCTGGGGGAGGTAGAACTCGCTGAATCTGAGCTGTTAGCCCACCTTGAGCCTTGGCACTGCGGTTCTGCTGTTGGAATGGCTTTGGTGCTGCTCTCAACCAGGCGGCCCTGGAATGTACAGCATCTTTTCAGGGTGGCCCTCCCCAACCCCCCACTCCATCTCAAGCACAGCCTCCTCTGTGATTTCCTTTCTCAGCACACTCTTTCCGCTTCCTTCTGTGCACTTATCAGGGCTGGTAACTTGTTTGTTAGTTTACTTGAATTTTGTCTGTAAATTCTGGAGGGCAGGGGCCTTGTTGGTCTCTTTCACAGTGAAGTCCTTGGAGTCTACCAAAAATGAACCTTTGTTGAGTGAGTGAGTCTAGGGAGGCCTTGCCCTGGGCCTGGGTTAGCAAGCTGCCTGGATGCTATGATAAAAGCTGCCATTAGGGGCTGGGCGTGGTGGCTCACCCCTGTAACCCCGGCTTCTTCAGGCCTCCGGGGCTTGGAGTAGGGGCTGTTGACATTTTGAACATGGTGCTCACTCCTGGCCTGGGACCTGCCCAGGGTTCCTCAGGCGGAGAGGGTTTGGGGCTTGTGCAAAGGAGTTGGCTTTGAAGACCTGGAGAGCGAAGGCCGGCTTTGTCACATGCATACTGCTGCCGGTAACTGTCACGCACACGTAGAGGGGCGTGAGGACTCAGTGGCGCCAGCTCTGCTCTTCCCAACGGCCGCCCTGGGCAGATGGCTCTTCCTTTTCAGGCCTCTGTTTCCTCCGTAGTACATGCCAAGTAGTGTGTGACATGCCCTGTGCACTCAATAGGGATCCTAGCCTGTGGGAAAAGGGCGTCTGTGCAGAAGCAGCACGGGAAAGAGCACAGGCCTGGGTGCAGGAGGGTGTGAGTTTCCACTCCACCGCCACCAGACACCAGCTGGAGATCCTGAGCGCCTTACCAGATGCCTTCAGCCTCAGCTTTCTTAGGTTTACATCAGCTGCTGTCTTGCAGGCTCGTGTGGATAAAGGAAATAATGGGCTTGACACGCGGTAGGTGCCCACCCATGACCCTTGGGTCTTAATTTTCTTTTTTTTTATTATACTTTAAGTCTTAGGGTACATGTGCACAACGTGCAGGTTTGTTACATATGTATACATGTGCCATGTTGGTGTGCTGCACCCATTAACTCGTCATTTACATTAGGTATATCTCCTAATGCTATCCCTCCCCCCCGACTACCCACACCCCACAACAGGCCCCATTGTGTGATGTCCCCCTTCCTGTGTCCATGTGTTCTCGTTGTTCAATTCCCACCTATGATTGAGAACATGCGGTGTTTGGTTTTTTGTCCTTGCGATAGTTTGCTGAGAATGATGGTTTCCAGCTTCATCCAGGGTCTTAATTTTCTCTTGCACACAAGGGTTGGAGCTGGAGACAGGGAGAGAGAGGAGACCAGGAGGCAGAGAGAAGGGCCAGCCAAGAGGCGATGGTGCCTGGATGCTGCACTGGGTGTGGGCATGGCCTGCTCCTGCTGTTTGGAGCGTTGTCTTTTCTGCTGTTTCCCTGTCACAAGGGTGTTTTCAGAGCAGGTGCCTGTGCAGCCGTTAGCACCTTTTCCTAGGTTAAGGGCAGCCAAAGAAAGCAGGGTTCGGCCAGGCATGGTGGCTCACTCCTGTATTCCCAGTACTTTGGAGGTCCAAGGTAGGAGGATCGCCTGAGCCAAGGACGTGGAGGCTGCAGTGAACGATGCTTGTGCCACTGCACTCCAGCCTGGGTGGCAGAGCGAGATCCTGTCTCCACAAAGGAAAACAAAAACAAGGTTGGCTGGGCATGGTGGCTCATGCCTGTAATCCCAGCACTTTGGGAGGCCGAGGCAGGCGGATCACTTGAGGTCGGGAGTTGGAGACCAGCCTGGCCAACATGGTGAATCCCCATTCCTACTAAAAATACAAAATTAGCCGGGCATGATGGCGCATGCTTGTAATCCCAGTTCCTTGGGAGGCTGAGGCAGGAGAATCGTTAGAACCTGTGAGGCAGAGGCTGCAGTGAGCCGAGATCGCGCCACTGCACTCCCGCCTGGGTGACAGGGAGACTCTATCTCAACAAAACAAAACAAAACAAAACAAACCAGGGTTTACCCATGTTTGTGGGCAATATACTGAGGTCTGAGTGTGCTGGAGGGAGAGTGGGAAGGAGGGAAGGCCAGCTGGAGTGGCAGGGACTCAAGAGGTGGCCACAGCAAATCACCAGTGTCCTAGCATGACAGTGCCATTCTCTCCGAGGTGTTTCTAGTATAACAGGAAAGAACCTTCCCATGGGGCTCAAGAGCAAGAAATAGATATATATATATATATATGTATAATTTCTTTTTTGAGACGGAGTCTTGCTCTGTCACCCAGGCTGGAGTGCAGTGGCACGATCTCGGCTCACTGCAACCTCTGCCTCCTGGGTTCAAGTGATTCTCCTGCCTTGGCCTCCCGAGTAGCTGGGATTACAGACTCTCACCGCTGCACTCGACTACGTTTTGTATTTTTAGTAGAGATGGGGTTTTACCATGTTGGCCAGGATGGTCTCCAACTCGTGACCTCAGGTGATCCACCTACCTTGGCCTCCCAAAGTTCAGGGATTACAGGTGTGAGCCACACGCCTGGTTATATATATATATATATATACATTTAAATCCAGCAAAGAAGTTAAATGAAATTTGGCTCTGAGCCCAGTTGGTTACAGGTTTGGCTCAGTCATTATGGGAACCGTTCCCCCACTGCATTGGGCCCCCGAAGAGACCTGGGCCATATGTGATCCTGGAAACAGAGTGGGGCCCTGTCACTTTGACTGCCCTGTGGGGTGTGCCAATGTGTATGGGGTCCTGGGCTGGCCACTGGTCTGTGCTCCAGGGACTGAGGGGATTCGCCTCTGAGGTCTTCTCCACAGACCTCCCGCTTGGCTGAAGAGTCCCTGTGTCCTTTAGTGTCCAACCTCCGCAGGCCCTATGAGGCTGGGTCCCGTGCACCAGGCCTACTGAGTTCCAGGCACACATTCACTCCTCACCCAGGTACTGTGCCAATCTCTTCCCCATCTCAGGTGAGCAGCACTCTCTCAGACTCCTGAGGTGAGCAGGATAATGCGCCTCCCTGACCCCACCACCCAAGAAGTCCCCGTCCTACTCCCCGGAACCTGTGAATACCTTACCTTGCGTGGCAAAGAGGAATTAAGAATGCTAATTAGTTGCCTTAAGATAGGGAGATTATCCTGCATTACTGTAGCAGTGAGAGAAATCTGACATAACTGACTCCATCTTGCATCTAACCTCACAATCTAACTGTCCTTGTTCATTTCTGCACTGAGCCAAGCTAACAACAGGAGGAATTTAGTCTACAGTTTAACTTTAAAGCAAGGATAATCATACTCCCTTCCCAAAACGAATCCCAACAAGACAAGGAGGGTATACATACAGGTCACAATGTTATGTTGAAGATTTATACAAGCACTGTGACCTGACCAAGGACAAAGAAATCTTGCAACCTCCTTGGACCCCTGCTGACCCCAGATGTATGTGGTCACTAGTTACCTCCTGACCTCAACCTTCTGCTGGTTCCCCTTTCCTATCATAAAAGGAAGCTTGGGATTCCTGCCTTTTGAGATGGTTCTTTAGGACAGGGGGCCCTAACCCCTGGGCCGCAGACTGGTCCTGGTACATGGCCTGTAGGAACAGGGGTGCACAGTAGGAGGTAAGCGGCAGGTGAGTGAGCAAAGCTTCATCTATATTTACAGTCACTCTCCATCACTCGCATGACCGCCTGAGCTCCGCCTCCTGTCAGATTTATGGTGGCGTTAGACTCTCCTAGGAGCATGAACCCTATTGTGAACTGCACATGTGAGGGATCTGGGTTGCACGCTCCTTATGAGAATCTAATGCCTGATGATCTCCCACTGTCTCCCATCACCCCCAGATGGGACCATCTAGCTGCACATGATGGTGAGTTGTATAATCATTTCGTTATATATTACAATGTGATAATAATTGAAATAAAGTGCACAATAAATGCAATGCGCTTGAGTCATCCACACCCTGTCCATGGAAAAATTGTCTTCCACAAAACTAGTCTCTGGTACCTAAAAGGTTGGGGACCGTTACTGTAGGACACTAATCCGCCATCTTCTCAGTTTGCTGCTCTCCAGAAGTCTCTGACTTATTGGGAGTTGTGCAGCGAGCAGAATGAGTTTGGGCTAGGTTGCATTATCTGATTATCTGGGTGGGCTCAATGTCATCACAAGGGTCCTCAGGGGTAGAAGTGGAAGCAGGGGAGGGGGACGGGGATGCCCTGTGAGAAGGACCCCACTCACCGTTGCTGGCTGTGAAGCTGGAGGAAGGGCCAGGAACACTGCGGCCTTGAAAAGTTGGAGGCGGGTAAATGGGTGCTCCTCCCGGGCCACCTGGGGGAACACAGCCCTACTGGCCCCTTGATCTTGGCCCAGTGAGATGGTGGTGGTCTTCTGACCTATGCAACTGGAATGTTACGAATGTGTGTTGTTTCAAGCCAGTACGTTTGTGGAAATTTGTGACAGCAGCACTAGGAGAATGAACACAGCCACCATAGGTCATCCATCTCCTTCCCAGGCCTCCTAACAAAGGCTGGATCCAGGGCCTGAAACACCAACAGTGGTCTCTGGGCCAGGGAACCTGGACTCAGGAGCAGAAAGGCCGGCTTCCCTCCAGAGGGGTAAATCCCCTTTCCTGATTTGCTGAGGGAACCACAGCTACTGTGGGCTCGGCTTGCTGCAAGGGCTTTGCTGCTGGAGAGGGGTGAGTCCCTCACACTCCTGCTGCTCTCGTCCAAACCAGCAAAGGGCTTTGCCTCCCCCAGGAGCCAGACGGGCTGAAGGGACAGCTGCCTGGAGGCAGCTCCTGGACTTTCATGTTCCCAGTTCAGAAATATCTCTGATGAATGAATTTGTATTTTGTTTATCCCCAAATGACTGAGACAAACACAATTTTAGAAGCTGAACACTTGGCTATAAGAAACATGTTGGGGGTGGAGCTTTGTGGTTCCGCCATCTTTGAGCTGGGCCTGGGTCTGGGGAGTCCAAAAGAGGCCCAGCCCCGTATGTTGGTCTGCGGATGTTGATAGCAGGGCCCTTGGGGTGGGGACCAGGGAGCTGTGCAAGACCTGGTGGCTTTGGGAGGTTTTCATTGCACGTGGCTATGCCTGTGCACAGCTCTGTGCGTGGTTTCTTGTAGGTTGTAAGGATAAAATTAGAAAATTCATGAGAGTCAGTGTAGCTCTGGCATGGCCCTGGGGCCAGTGTTCACGTAGGGACTCGATGCTGACCAAGCGTGTGGCCATGGGAAGTTACAGGATTTACTGGACCCCTAGTTTCTCACCTGGAAAATGGGCCTAAACTAGATCAACCCTCCCTAATAGGGTGTTGGGGGACAAGATGAAATATTTCACCAAAGACCTTGGAAAAGTGCCTGATATTGAATCTAGAAAACTGTCGTATGGGTCCCCCTAATCTCAGGTGAGGAAACAGTTTCCGAGACAGGATGAGGAGGTGCCTGTGGTCAGGTTTGCATCTCTAGTGGTGTTCCCAATGGATGGCAGCGTGGCAAGTGACCGAAAGTGAGGCAGGAGGGGCTGAGGGGAGAGATGAGCTTCTGGACTGGGGGTCAGAAAGAGGCAGCTGTCAAGGCCAGGTACCTATTGCAAGAGAAGAGATGACCGGCACACTTGCTGCATGAGGCATGGTGCTTGGCCCACAGTGAAGACTCCATGAATGTGTGTTGTTATGATGATGCTGTGTGTGTCTGTGGATCTCCCTCGATGGCCTGACCACCCTTGGACAAGGTCATTTGCAGTGACCTGGTGGGTGGGCAGACATTGGGGAACAAGCTAAAGTGGGCCCTGTAAATGGGCTTGTGTCTGTTGGCTCTGAAGGCCTGGCTCTTGGAGCCCAGTACCAGTCCCTTCTCTGGGGCGTTTGCCTTGATGAAATCAGTCTCTTCTGCTGGTCGCAGGTGAGCAATGCCTGGGCTGAGCAGGGCAACCAGGGGAGTTGACGCCCTAGAGAGTGGGTGACTCTGGCCATCTGCCTGAGGCCATCTGCTTCTGCTGGTGGCTGGTCATTAGGGAAGTGGCCCTGGGTTGAGCGGACTGGTGGCCTTGTTGGCTGTAGGTTTGAGAGGAAATGACCCCTGGAAGAAAAGGTCCGTGAGCATGGACACATTTGTCCTATTGGGAGGCGTCCACAGGCCTCCTGCTCCTGGACTGGACAGGCCATGCATCCAGAGATTGAGGCCAAAAGTCGATCCACATAAAGTCCTGGGCACAGCAAAGGGAGTCACACAAAGCTTTCAAACCGACGGCCCTCGGGGATCTGTAGCCAGTGTAGACAGCCCTACCCTGCGGGGCTGGAGATCTCCGTCTCTGCCGGCAGCAGAGCTTCAGGTGGGTCACTGGGCATGAGTGGCTTTTCCTGAAAATATTTTCTCAGTGGCTATTAGCGGGACCTGGAAAACTCTTGAGAAGCACAAATGGTGACGTGGGATGTGGTGACAGGGTGACTGACATGTGTGTGACATGGTGACATTGACTCAATGACAAGGTGATTGGGGATGGTGTGAAAGTGATGGTGTGACATGGTGGCACTGTGATGTGGTGACAGAGTGACAGTGATGATGTGACACTGTGACTGCAATATGGTGACAGGGCAATGTGGACACAGTGATAAGGTGGCACTGTGGTGTGCTGGTGCTGTCATGTGGTTAGGCTGTGACACGGTGACTCAGTGACACTGTGAAGGGTGACACGGTGTGATGGCTGTGACTGCCCTGAGTCAGCCCACAAGGTCTGGGGGTGCCTGTGGGTCGGAACCAGAAGAAACCCTGCTGCTGGCCATTCTGGCTTTGTTTGTGGCTCCCATCAGTCCCCAATCCGGCCAGGGAACACTCATCCTGGGGGGCCCCGGTGTCCTCACCCTCTGGCCTCTCTCTTCCTCTGCCCCCATGTCCTAACTCCCTGCTTTACCCCTTGGGCTGCCCAGGGCCTGGTGGCAGCAGGAGGGCAGTGCCTGGGCTAGGAGGCTGACCTGTCTCTCAAAGGTGTTGTAGCACAACGTGGATGCATTACTTCCACCAACGCCCGGAGACCCCAGCTCCCTGGGGTGATTGGGGCTGGGTGGGGGGTGTGCAGTGGAAGAATGAGGATGTGCGGGCAGCTTCTGTGCAGCCCGGGGGTGTGGCCCCATTGCCTCCACAGTGTTGCAGCCTCTGGTCCGAGCTCCTGTCTTGGGAGTCCAGGCTTTGCAGGCTGGTGAGCATTTTAGCTTTCATATCACCCTCAGTACAGGGCGTGCTCCTTGTCTTCCTGGGGCCACACCCTGGGGATTTCTGATTACCCTGAGGGGATGCCACACCACTGAATGGGCTTTACAATAGTCCCCGCCTCTTAGGGCTTTCAGGAAATGAAGCAACATAAAGTGCATGGAGCATCTAGTGTGACGGATGTGCTGATTGAGGGCAGCTGCTGTGGAAGGGGCCCTGGCCCCAGCTTGCACGAACACGCTTTAGCTGCGTTCCTGTGATCTGCCGGCAGCTCACAGCCACGGAGGCCCGGCTCAGGAGCGGGGCTGGCACTGGGATTTGGTTGCCTCTGTCTCTGGAGCATCCCCTGCAAGGGAACAGGACACTCCTGCTGGACTCCAGCTCGATGCTAAGGCACTGAGTGAACATCATGTAGTATTTAACTAAATTAATTCAGCGGCTGGTGCAGGAGGTCAGTGAGTCCTGCCTGGCCCCCCATCTCCAATGTTGATGGCAGCACTAGCTAGCATGCCAGGGGCTCTAACCACTGCCCTGTACCATGCAGTGTTTCACACTCAGTATGGAATCCAATCCTTGAGGCAGGGCTGCTGATGCCTTCTATTATTCATATTATTATCTGCAGTTGACAGCGGAGGACATTGAGGTTCAGACTTTGAGTGACTTGCCAAGGTCTCCTGGCACCTGCTCCTGGCCTCCTCTCTGTGCTGCCTTTTCAGAAGGGCTTTGTCACCTGGACACGGATAGCCCCTTCCTTGGACTTGGCTGCCTACAAGTGCCTTTCTGGGTCTTGGATCCCCCAGATGGCTGGTGGGGGCTCTTCTCCCTGCTTCTCTGGGCCTGTCCCAGGCCACTTGGCTACAGTTGCCTTGGCAAAGAGCTGGACCATCTGTGCCGGGAAAGGAGGCAAGGATACTGGTGTCACTCTGGGATGGTCTTAGACCACAGTCAGCAAGGTAACGCTGAGCAGGGAGATCGTGGTTGCTCTGGGGCCTGCATGGCTGCATTCACAAGGGTTTTGAGCAGCCTGGTGCCCCTTGCCAGTCATAGGGCAGTATCAGGGTCAGTGCTCCAGGCTCACTGCTGTGGCCTCAGCCTCCACCAGGCTGGCGTGGCTCGAGAACAGGATGCTCAGCTGTGGCCTGCAGCTGGCTTCTTGCTGGAGGCCCGTCAGCCCCAGAGGGTGTTTGCAAGAGCGTGCCTAGAGAAACACAAATGTTTTGAAAGTAAACAATTTGATGCAGCAAGCACATTGGGTCAAATCATGGGAAAATGGCAAGTCATGGCACAAAAATGTCTGTGTATGGAAACTGTACAGGGTCAGGGCGAGATTAAACACAGCTTTACAGAGCCAGCCTCAACCCCAGGCTCCTGTGAAAATCTGTCAGCCATGTGGCCACTGTGGAGCAAAGATTCACGATGGGGAAATGGGAAAGGACCTTCGAAGAGGGTGAGTTTCATGCAGCACCCACTATCCAGGGTGGGAACTCCCTCAGAGGCCAACGGTGAGGCCAAAACAGAAGCTTCTTCTCTGGACTCAGACCTGCGGTTAGATCTCAATTTAACCATTGGACAAGTGACTTCCCATCTCTGAGCCTCAGTTTTCTAGTCTGAAAAAGCGGTGACAGTTGTGCCATATTGGGTATAATTGGCCCAAACCTAGAAGTGAAGTTGCATGTGAATTGTGTACACAGTGCTGGCCCCAAGGTCCCTGCATGGTGGCTGTCACTGTCACTGTTTACATCAGTCGTGAGATTGCTGCCACCTGGCACCAGGTGTGTGTGTCAAGGGGACCCTGGGGCTCATTATTCCACTGAGAGGCCACTGCGAAACCTTGTGCTGGCAAGCATTGGGGTACCCGGGGGTATCTGTAACACCTGATGGCATCTGATGCGGGACTGGTGGGCCCTCAGGGACAGGAAGGGGCTGGCCAACTCTCCTCTTCTTCCTGCAGCAGCCTGCCTGGCTTGTGGCGTGAGTGCTCAAGACCTACCGGCTGGAGAGATGCATATCTGAGGTGGAGGAGGCGCAGCAAGCCAGCACATGTAGATCGAGCCTTCCCATGCCCCACTTGTGCTGTGCGCGATCCTAGCTCCCCATCTCTTATCCAGCTCCAGCCCACTTGGGGCAGCTCTGTGGTGGGAAGCTGCTGGCTCACAGCCATGCCAGTTCTCCACTTTCTGCTCACCTTGCATGGCTGGGGAGCGTCAGGGAGCTCTCTGGTCCCATTTAATGAGGAAGGGGTGTATGAGCCCCACCTGAGTTAAAAATGATCAGGATGGGGTGGGCACGGTGGCTTGCACCTGTAATCACAGCACTTTGGGAGGCTGAGGCAGGAGGATCACTTGAGGTCAGGAGTTTGAGACCAGCCTGGCCAACATGGTGAAACCTTGTCTCTACTAAAAATACAAAAATTAGCTGGGTGTGGTGGCACATACCTGTAATTCCAGGTACTCAGGGGGCTGAGGCAGGAGAATCACTTGAACCTGGGGGGCAGAGGTTGCAGTGAACCAAGATCACGCCACTGCACTCCAGCCTGGGCAACAGAGCAAGACACCATCTCAAAAAAAAAAAAAAAAAAAAAGGGCAGGCCAGCCCCAGCAGATGGAAGAGCTCAACTATGGCTCTCAGCCCAGTGTGTGAAGGAGAGGTGCCCATGGCTTCTGCACGGGGTGGCACACTCACAGTGACTGCTATAGACTGAATTGTGCCCTCCCCCTAGTTCATACAACAAAGTCCTAACCCCTAGTGTAATGGTAGTCAGAGATGGGGCCTTTGGGAGGTGATTAGGTTTACACAAGGTCATGAAGGTGGGGCCTTGATGATGGAAGAGCTTGCTCTTTCTCTCTCTCTGCCACGTGAGGACACAGAGAGAAGGCAGCCACCTGCAAGCCAGGAAGAAGGTCACACCAGACACCAACCATGCTGGCATCTGGACCTTAGACTTCCAGGCTCCAGAATCGTGAGAAAATAAATGCCTATTATTTAAGCCCCAGTCTGTGGCATTCTGTTACAGCAGCCTGAGCTGACTGAGACACAGACCCTCCAAGAAAAAAAGGGAAGGACTTCTGCTTGGGTGCCAAAAGTGTGCAGAGCTGCTCTGCCCGGGACCTGTGTCATCCTTCTTCCATCTCTTCTACACATGCTGGTTCCCTCCACCAGACTCTGGCCTGTCCTGTCTGCAGGGTGAGTGCTGGGTGCTGCCAGGTGTCAGATTGGTTTGTGAGGGGCTGTATTAGTCTGTTCTCACAGTGCTATAAAGAACTATCCAAGACTGGGTAATTTATGAAGAAAAGAGGTTTAATTGACTCACAGTTCCTTGGGCTGTACAGGAAACATGGCTGGGAGGCCTCAGGAAACTTACAATCCTTGCGGAAGATGAAGGGGAAACAAGTATGTCTTTACCATGGCAACAGGAGAGAGAGAGAGAGAAAAAGAGAGAGCGAAGGGGAAAAGTGCTACACACTTTCAAGCAGGCAGATCTCATGAGAACTCACTCACTATCGCAAGAACAGCAAGGGGGAAATCTGCCCCCATGATCCAATCACCTCTCACCAGGCCCCTCCTCCAACACGTGGGGATTACAAATCGACATGAGATTTGGGGGTGGGGACACAAATCCAAACCATATCAGGGGCTCTTGGTGACCCTGCCCTTTGAGCAAGGAGTCCCCCGTCAGTGCCAGGCAGGGCAGAAAGCGTGGTGAGGGGTGAACTGTTCCAACGCCATTGCTGAAAGGATTAGCCTGTATCCATTAACTTGCTTTTGCACCTTTGCCAAAACTCTTGGCCATATTTGTGTGGGTCTATGTCTAGGTGCTCTATTATGTTCCGTTGATCCATGTATCCATCCCTTCACAATACCACACTGTCTTGATTAATGCAGTTTTTATTTTTATTTTTTTGAGACAGAGTCTCGCTCTGTCGCCCAGGCTGGAGTGCAGTGGTATGACCTCAGCTCACTGCAACCTCCGCCTCCCGGGTTCAAGTGATTCTCCTGCCTCAGCCTCCCGAGTAGCTGGGATTACAGGTGCCCACCACCATGTCTGGCTAATTTTTTGTCTTTTTAGTAGAGAGAGTCTGATCAAACTAGTGATTTTAGCAAGGTTGAAAGAGAAAAGATCAACACAAAAATCAATCTCATATGCATGTTAGCCAGGCTGGTCTCAAACTCCTGACCTCAGGTGATCCACCTGCCTCCCCAAAGTGCTGAGATTACAGTCGTGAGCCACTGTGCCTGGCTGATTAATGTAGTTTTTAGTAAGTTAAAAAATCAGGTAGTGTGATTTTCCCAACTTTATTTTCCTTTTCAAAATTGCTTTGGGTATTCTAGTTTCTTTACCTTTCTATTAAAATTTTGGAATCAGCTTGCTTATATATATAAAGATCCTCGGCCCGGCACGGTGGCTCACGCCTGTAATCTCAGCACTTTGGGAGGCCAAGGCAGGTGGATCAAGAGGTCAGGAGATTGAGACCATCCTGGCTAATGTGGTGAAACCTCGTCTCTACTAAAAATACCAAAACTTAGCCAGGCATGGTGGCACACGCCTGTAGTCCCAGCTACTTGGGAGGCTGAGGCAGGAGAATCGCTTGAATCCGGGAGGCAGAGGTTGCAGTGAGCCGAGATCGCACCCCTGCACTCCAGCCTGGGCGACAGAGCGAGACTCTGCCTCACAAAAAAGAAAAAGAAGATAAAGATCCTTGTGGGATTTTTGATTAGAATTGTGTTAAATCTACATGTCTATCTGAGAATTGTCTTCTTACTTTTGTGAGTCTTCCCATTCATGACCATGGTATACCTCTTGATTTATAGGGAGGTGCCAGCTCTCTTGGTAACTAATAGAGTGAGAACTTACTTATCCCCACTCTTGTGTACCCCCCATTCCCGCAGGGATGTCATTAATCTATTCGTGAGGGATCTGTCCCCATGACCCAGTCACCTCCCATTAGGCCTCACCTCCAACATTGAGGATCAAATTTCAACATGAGGTTGGCTTCTTGGATTTGTTCCATCAGCTTTTGTGGTTTCCAGCATGCAGATTCTCTACATGTTTTGTTTTATTTATGCTTAGTATTTTTTTTTTGGAGATTTAGTAAAATGTATTGGTTTTTCAAATTTTGGTTTATAATTGTTCAATACTGGTATACACATGCATATGTGATTGATTTTTGTGGTGTTGATCTTTTCTCTTTCAACCTTGCTAAAATCACTAGTTTTATCAGACTTTATTTTTAGATTACTTGGGATTTTCTATGTAGATAATTATGTCATCTCTAAATGGGCAGTTTCGTTTCTTCCTTTCCAATATGTATGCCTTCGAATTATTTTTCTTTCCTTATTGCACTGGCTAGGACTTCCTGGATGATGTTGGATTGGAGTGGTGAGAGTGGACACCTTTGTCTTGCTATTTATTTGGGAGGAAGCATTCGGTATTTAACGATTAAGTAGGATGTTAGGAATAGTTTTTTTGTATTTGCCCTTCATTGAGTTAAGGAGTTTCCTTCTATTTCTAGTTTGCTAAGAGTTTTTTTCTAAGACATCATAAATGGATTTGAATTTTGTCAAATGCTTTTTCTGCACTAATAGTTATTGTATGAACTTGCTAGGGCTGCCATAACAAAGTACTACAGATTAGATGACTTAAACAACAGAAACTTATTTTCTCACAATCCTGAAGCCTAGAAGTCTGAGATCAAGCTCAACAGGGCTGTTTCCTCTGAAGCCTGGCTCCTCAGTTTGCAGATGGCCATGCTCTCCCTGTATCTCCACGTGGTCTTTCCTCTTCGTGTATCTGTGTTTGCTATGGTCTGTGTTTGCGTCCTCCAAAATTTCTATGTTAAAATCCTAACCTCCAAAGTGATGGTGTTAGGAGGTTGGGCCTTTGGAGACCTCATGAATGAGATTAGCGTCCTTATAAGAAGAGGCCAAGGCTGGGTGTGGTGGCTCATGTCTGTAATCCCAGCACTTTTGGAGACCAAGGTGGGAGGATGTCTTGAGCTCAGGAGTTCAAGACCAGCCTGGGCAACATAGCAAGATCCCGTCTCTAAAAAAAAAAATTAGCTGGGGGCGTGGTGCATGCCTGTGGGCCCAGCTACTTGGAAGGCTGAGGTGGGAGGATGGCTTGAGCCTGACAGGTCGAGGCTGCAGTGAGCTATGATCATACCCCTGCCTTCCAGTCTGGGTGACAGAGTGGAACCTTGTCTCTGAGAAAAAAAAAAAAAAAAAAAAAAAAGAGGCCAAAGCTAACTTGCCCTCTTTCCACCATGTGAGGTTACAGGGAGAGGTCAGCTGTCTGCAGCCTGGAATAGGGCCCTCACCAGAACCCAACCATGAGTTCTGGCACCCTGATCTCTGACTTCCAGTCTTCAGAACTGAGCTATGAATGTTTGTCATTTAAGTTACCCAGTCTGCGGTTATTTGTTATACTGGCCTGAACTAAGACAGTCCAAATTTCTTCTTCCTTTTGATATGGCTTGGCTGTGTCCCCACCCAAATCTCGTCTTGAATTGTAGTCCTCATAATCCCCACTTGTGGTGAGAGGGATCCGGTGGGAGGTAATCAAATCATAGGGGTGGTTTGCTCCATTCTATTCTCATGACAGTAAGTTTTCTCATGAGATATGGTGGTTTTATAAGGGGTTTCCCCCTTCACTTGTCTATCATTCTTCTCTCTTGCCGCCATGTGAAGAAGGACGTGTTTGCCTCCCCTTCTGCCATGGTTGTGAATTTCCTGAGGCCTCCCCAGCCATGAAGAACTGTGAGTCAATTAAACCTCTTTCCTTTATAAATGAGCCAGTCTTGGGTATGTCTTTATTAGCAGCATGAGAATGGATAAATATACTTTCCAGCAGGACAACAGTCATATTAGAATAGGGCCCACCATAATGATGTCATTTAACTTAGTTACCTCTTTAAAGACCCTGTTTCTGAATACATTCACATCCTGAGGTGCTGGGGGTTGAGACTTAAACATGTGATTTTTTTGGGGTAAATAATTCAGCCCCATAATAGATATGATCATGTAATTTTTCTTGTTTAAACCATTAATGTGGTGGATTGCACTGATTTATTTCCAAATATTGAAGCAGGCTTTCATTCCCAGGATAAACTGTACTTTTACTTATGACATATAATTCTTTTTATATTGCTAGATTTGATGTGATAATGTTTTCTTGAGAACTTTTGCATCTCTCTTTATGAGGGATTTCGGTTTGTAGTTTTCTTGTATTGTCTGGTTTTGATTGCAGAGTAATGCTGGCAGCATAAAAGGAGTTGGGAAATGTTCTCTCTGCTTTTATCTCTTGGAAGTGATTGTGTAGAATTGGGGTTATTTTTTAAATATTTTCTAGAACTCACCAGTGAAACCCTTTATGCTTGGAAATTTCTTTTTTGGAAGGTTTTTTAAAAATTATACATTCAATTTCCTTAGTAGTTACAGGACTATTCAGATTATGATTTCATCTCAGATGAGTTTTAGTAGTTCCTTTTCTTAGGAATTGTTACATTTCATCATTGTCAATTTTATGTGCATAGAGTTGTTCAGAGCATTCCTTTATATTATCCTTTTAATGCCTGCAGGGTTTGCAACGATATCCCTTCTTTCATTCCTGATATGGGTAATTTGTGTCTTTTCTCTTTTTTAATTTATCAGTCTTGCTAGAGGTTTATCAATTTTATTGATATTTTCAAAGAACAACTTTTGGTTTCACTGATCTTTCTTTCTTGCTTTTATGCTTACAGTTTCACTGATTTCTGCTGTCTCTATGATTTTTGCCTTCTGCTTGCATTGAGTTTATTTTGTCATTTTTTTCTACTTCATAAAATGGAGGTTTAAGTTATTGATTTGATACCTTTCTAATAAATGATTTAATGTCTCTTTCTGCTCCATCTTCCATTATTTCTTCCATTATTTCATGGGTCTGTTTCCATCACATGATATTTCTTTTGACCCAGGAGCACATTTTCCTGCTTCTTTGTATATGTAATAATTTTTTGTTGGAGAAAGGACTTTGCAATTTTATACTGAGTGCTGGATTCTGGTGTATTTTTTTAACCAGGGTTGAACTTTTTCGGAAGGGTGGTTAAGTTACTTGTTAAGTTAAATTTGATTCTTTGGGGTTTGTTTTTAGGATTTGTAGGTGGTTATCAAATATCCTTTATCCTAAGGCTAATTTAGCCTCTGCTTCGAAGGCCCAACCCTTCTGCATTCTCTTCCGAATGCACTCTGCAGATCAAGCTCCCTGCAGACAGAGTCCAGAGACTCTGTGTGTTGAATGAGTCCCTGCACTCTGTCTGCAGTGAGTATGATCAATTCCTGGACCTGTGTGAGCTTTTGAAATTGTTCATCTCACAGTTCTCCAGTAATGGCCCTTTCCCTGGAAGCTGTTCTTGTTGGCCTTGTGTGAGTATCACTCTATTCATGCCTAGATTGGTATTCAGTCCAAGACTCAAGGGGACCCCTATACAAATTCCTACTTTGTTTCTCTCTAATGCTCCCTTCTTTTGAGTACTCTCCTCATGAATCCCAGTTACTCTGACTTTCCTGAACACCAACCTCTGCCTCTTCTACTCCATGAAATTGTAGGTCTCTAGGTTCTTGCACCACAGACCAGAAATGATCTCTAAGCATAAAGCCTGAGCAATAGTGAGGTTTGCCTTATTCACTTCCCCTTTTCTCAGGGATCATAGTCCTATGATGCCTGTTTTCCAATGTCTGAAAAGTTTCCCATATTTTGTCCAGTTTCTAGGTCAAACTGATGAGATGGGAATTCCAGACACTCTTACTTCCTCATGGCTAGCTTGAAAAATATCTTTATTTTGTCTTTATTGTCGAATAATTCCTTAGGTATGCATACTATGCTAGTGAAAACATTTGCCCTCAGTACTTTGAAAATGTTGTTCCACTGGCTTCTTGTTTCTGTTGTTGTCATTGAGAAGTTTATTGTCCATCTAATTGTAGGTAATCTGTCTTTTTCTCTAAATGCTTTTAAGACATCTTCTTGGCTTGGATGTGGTTTTCTTTGACTTTATTCTTCTAAAGATTTCACATTTCCTGAATATATGTATTCTTGTCTCAAACAAGTTTTGGAAAATTCTTTTTTTCTAATATGGCCTTTCTTTCATTTTCTCTGTTCTCTTTGTCTTCTGGGACTCTAATTAGAAGTTTGTTCAACTTTTCTTTGTATTCTTAACCTTTCTTTCTTTGCTGTATTCTGGGTACTTTCCTTATGTCTATCTTCCAGGTCACTAATTACTTCTTCAGCTCAGTCTAATATCACACACACACACACACACACACACACACACACACACACTATATTTTATTTGGTTCTTTTTCAAATTCAAATCTTCCTGGTATCTTTTAAGAGTGTTATTCCTCAATTTTCTAATTTTATCTTTTATTTATTTGAACATTTTAAACATCTTTATTTTGCACATGGTATTCATTCTTCTGGGTGTCATTTCTCTTGTTCTTGCCTATTGTGTTTTTGTGTGTGTGTTGTAATTTTAGATTGTGAGCTCATGTTGGTGTGGGATGAGGTGTTGTGTGTACTCAGGGTATTTGTATTTTCTTCTTCCAGTTCCCCCAAGTGTTACTGTCTGGATGTCACTTTATAATTGTTTCTTGGCTTGCAGTCTCCTGCAATGCACATATAATAGAAATTTAAATCCCAAACCCGTTTGAGGGTATGCTTGCCCCCTCCTTCACCACTTCAATTTTAGGCCAAGAGAGACAAGCTTCTTTGTCATCTCTCTTTGATAATGGGCAGGCTCTTTTTCCAATCCACTACTTCACTAAAGATATGGACTTCTGAGGGTCCTGGCTGTACATGGAGGCTTAGCGGGGCCTCAGTGTAAGACCAAAGCCTCATATCTATCCCTATATGGTTCTTAAAACTTCAGCTCCTTGATTAATAAGATTCACAATGTTCCTAAGGTAGTTGTGGCATCATTGTCATCATTCTGGTTTTTATATTCCCATTTATGTTTGACTGTTAA
Source organism: Homo sapiens (assembly GCF_000001405.40). NCBI lineage: Eukaryota > Metazoa > Chordata > Mammalia > Primates > Hominidae > Homo > Homo sapiens. The sequence goes on along the minus strand of NC_000010.11, from coordinate 124,331,377 downwards.
TTTATTGTGAGCTCATTCAGGTAGGGATGCTGTTTTATTTTAACTAGCATTTCTGTGTATTTTATAAAGAAGATGTATTAGTTTCTCAGGGCTGCTATAACAAATTGCCACAAACTAGGTTGCTTAAAACAACAGGAATTCACTCTCTCCCAATTCTAGAGGCTGTAAGTCTGAAATCAAGATGTTGTCAGGGCCCTGCTCTCTTTGAAGGCTCTAGGAGAGCATCCTTCCCTACTTCTTCCTAGTTTCTGGTTGTTTCTGACCATCTTTGACATTTCTTCGTTTGTAGATGCCTCGCTCCAGTCTCTGCCTCCATTTTCATATGACCTTCTCTTGGGTGTGTCTGTGCTCAAATCTTTTTTTTCCTTATGAAGACACCAGTCATTGAATTTAAGGCCCACCCTCATTTAGTATGGTCTTATCTTATCTGGAAATAAGGTCACATTTACAATTTCCAGGTGGACATGAATTTTGGAGAGACATGATTCTACATGCACAGAAGGTTTTCAAGCTGCCTAGTCTGCCATAATTTTAGAGGTTCAAATCCTATGTGGGAAACTGGGACTAGTAGGCAGCTGGGTCTGTAGGAAGATCCCCAGGCTGGAAGGCACAGGCTGGGCTCTGGTGAGAAGCGAGGCGGCATGGCTCTTCCCTGAAGCTTAGGGAGGTTGGCTTCCCACCCTTAGGGCAGAGACGGTGGCTACCTTCCATCAGCACAGTGGGGGCCTCAGTTATTGGCAGGCTTCTGGAAAAACCCAGGGTCTGGGGAGCAAAGTACTAAACCAGAGACAGGACTAGGCTTTGTGGGTGGGTGGGTGGGTGGGTGGGGTTGGATGGGGGAGGGAATTTGGGGCACAGAAGATTCTAGAGAACAGAAGAGGTAGAGTGCAAAGTGCAGCTAGTTGTCATCAGTTCTTGAGGAAGAGCACAAATACAGAGCTCTCTCGAGAGATGAAAGGGATGAGGTTTGAAAGTGCTGGTGTGTTCATCATTTTCCTGGAACTTCATTTGGCTCATTTTACTTCCCTTGGTGGTGCATACGGGGCAGAGGCTGCTCACTAGGATGTAGACATCACAGGTGCCTTGGGCTTTCCTTTGAGTCCTGACAGAGATGGGCTTTTGTCTTTCCCTGGTCACTTTCCAGACACACGGAGAGCTGGCCTTTCACGGGTTCTGAACAGGAGGGAATCTTTGGGAAGGCAGAGCAGAGACAAGACTTGAGACATCATCCCAGAGTTAAGGGCCGTCGGTCTGAGCAGGGCCAGGTGATACTTCTCCCTGAGACTGGACCTGGACAGGACCCCATCTTCCATCCTTCAGGACCCTAACTTACTTTCTAGTGCCTCTCCCATTCCAGTCATGTGGGTGGGGCAAACTCAGTGCAACTGAAGGATTGACTAGGGCAGGGGATGGAGAAGAAGAATGGATTCTAGGGGGATGGCAGAGGTGTTAGAGAAGAATGGGATGATGGTGGGGAAGAGGAAGAGAGAGGAGTCTCTTCTGCCCATTCAAGATAAGCTCACTTGGCCCAGTGGGAAAATTAAAGGATCATTTTTCTTCAACCTCTGGACTTCGTGTGTGTTTAACGGTCTAATAGGAAGATTTTGGGGGCACAATCTCTCTCTTGCTTAGCAAAGGGTCCTGCACTCACTCTCCAGCATCATGGCAGGGGTTCTTTGTGCCCAACTGTGAGCCCAGCTCCGCAAGGTACTGGAACATGAGCTAAGTGTGACTTCATTCTTGTCCTCAAGGAGCTCAGATATGCAACACTGTGTTAGACCCTAATTTTACAAGTTCTCAGCATGACTGGGTTTTTGGAACATTTCTGTGGTTGGCTGAGTTCCCCCTCTCTTAGCTCCCTAAGGAATACCTCAAACATGGGAGGGAACTGGCACTTCTATTGTCCCATCTCATTAATAAGTTTAATTAACCCAAGGCAACATTTGCCAACATTAATTCCAGATTGGGGGCATGAAGTGAAGCATGCTGGCAAATTTCAGCCTCATGAGACTCCTCCAGCTTGCTCTTGATGGCCAAAAATGGATAAAACCTATACCCTTGGGTTCTGCAACTGGTGACACATACCTGGCCACTATTGCTCATGTGGGCTCACTGATCTGCAGGAGACAATGCTGCCTAAATGTATCCTTTCAGGTTTGTCACTGTGTCTTTCTGCAGAAGCATTTGCACCTCTCTTCTGTGACCCTCCATGTTGTGAGCAGGGGCCCGGATGCAGACCTGCACCAGTGTTTCCAGCTGAAATCCCGCGCAGAGGCAGTGTCCTGCCTTCCTGTGACCAAAGTGAGTCATTGTGGGGACAGACAGGCTTGTTTAGCAAGGCTCTGCCCGTGTTTCTCCTGGCTGCTCAGCCTGGCTCTGTGTGCAAGGAAGGATGGAAACAGTGCCCATGGCAACCCCTGTATGTTGGCTACTGCTCCATCTCACATTGAGCCATTTCCAGTAGTCTTTTAGCAGACTCAACCTAGCAGTTCTGGAAACTCGTCTGTGAATTCCACCTGGGCAAAGTCATGGAGCCCACCAAGGGAACTGGGGTCTGTAGACATGCCTTTGCCAGTAGGCCTGGGCCACTCTCTTTGGCTGTGGGGAGGCAGAAAAGTGATGGACTGCACCCATGACTGGGAAACAAAGCCTCACGTGGGCAGAGGGAAGAGTTCAATGTCAAATGCGTGACATGGGCCAGGGAAGGGCCATCCCACTGCTCCCTGAGAGGCGAGTCCAGCTGTGAGTGATGAGAAGGGAAGAATTGCACTGGGGCCAGCTGAGGCCGTGCAGGCTGCAGACCACCCCCTGCCCAGCTCAGCGACTCCTTAGTCTCCCTGCCTTCTCTAAGCCTCATCTGAACAGAGACTGGGCTCCCACTTATATGAGTTGTGTTTGGGATTCAGACCAACATGAGAAAGGGTGCAGAGCTGGAAAGTAAATCAGCATGAACAGTGAAAGCCTGGCTCAGTTAACTCTTCATTTAAGTACCAGAAAACCCAGCTCAAACTGGTTTAAGCAATAAGTGTTTGAGTGAATGAAGAAAGAAATGAAGAAGGCATATATTGACTTATGTCGCTGGAACATCCAGGGATTGATTGATCCAATGTCATCAGCACTCAGTTTCTCTTTTTCGCCCTTTTCTCCTGCATGTTGACTTCTTTCTCCGGCTCTATTTGTTGGCAAAGTGGCTGCCAGCAGCTCCAGGCTCGAAAGCATCCCTGGTTCAAGTACAGCAGAAAGGAGAGAAGGCCTCTGCATGGCATTTTCTCAAACAATTAAACACAGGGTTACCGTTAGATTTAGCATCCCACAACCAGGTATGTGTGCAAGAGAACTGAAGACACATATCCACACAAAAACTTGTACACAATGTTCATAGAAGTAGAATTCATAACAGCCAAATAGTAGAAACACTCAGACGTCTATCAGCTGATGAATGAATAAGCAAAATGTGGTCGCTCCATAGAATGGACTATTATTGTCAAGAAAAAGGAATGAAATACCTCTCTACAGGGATCCCTTGGTAAGGGTAGGGAAGGAAGAAGCAATTTCATTTTATTTATTTTATTTTTAAAATTATTATTTTTTGAGACAGGGTCTCACTCTGTTACCCAGGCTGGAGTGCAGTGGCGTGATCTTGGCTCACTGCAGCCTCGACATCCTGGGCTCAAGTGATCCTCCCACCTCAGCCTCCCAGGTACCTGGGCCTACAGGTGCGCGCCACCATGCCTGGTTAATTTTTTGTGGAAATGGACTTTCGCCCATTGCCCAGGCTGGTCTTGAATTCCTGAGCTCAAATGATTGGCCCACCTTGGCCTCCCAAAGTGCTGGGATTACAGGTATGAGCCACTGCACCCAGCTGGGAAGAAGGAATTTTCAAACAAATAGTCTTGTCGTGGGAGCAGTGGGCATGTGTCCCTTCTGGATGGCCCACTCTTCCCTCCCTGATAAGCAGAGATCTAGGCTCTGAGATGGGGCAGAAGTTCTGAAGGCAGAGACTGGCCTGGGAGTGGAGGTCTGTAGAGTATAGAGTGGGGAGGAGACAATGATCAGAGAGGCAGGATCCAAGGGTCAAACTGAAATCCAAAAAGGTGAAGACAGCCCAGTGGTCACTGATCTGTTGAGCTGAGCAGAGGTAAACCTGGTGCCCCAATAGCAGATGAGTCAGGGATGCCAGGCTTAGGTGGAAAGGTCAAGGTCAGAGATTGGGGTCAGAGCTGAGTTGTGTGGTGCCACTGGCTGAGTGGGGGTGAAGGGGATACAGATAGGACATCAGATGTGGGGTCTCCCTGGAAGACTGAGCTTGCCTCATTCCTTAGGAGGCAAGGAACAGAGGGATAATGCCCCATTGGAAGTGCTGGATGAGTAAATGGAGTCAAGGCAAAGGAGAAGCTCACTCTGGTCGGGATGATCAGGAAATGGTTCAGGAGGAAGAAGACTGAAGCAGCCCCTGGAAGGATCTGTAGACATTCAGTATTGGAAAGGTGGTGGGAGGCCTTCCTGGCTAGGAAAACAGCTTGAAGAAAGTGGAGTGTTGGCACTGGAAGGGGAAGGGGTGGAAGTCTTCACACCAGATGGGGGGAGCATAGATGTCTTCACACCCAAAGAGGAGACCATAGAAGTCTTCACACCAGACAGGGAGAGTGTAGAAGTCTTCCACCAGAAAAGGAGAACATGGATGTTTTCACACCCAAAGGGAGAGTGTGGAGGTTTTCATACCAGACAGGGAACATGTGGAAGTCTTCACACTAGGCAGAGAGAGAGTGGAGGTTTTCACATCCAAAGCAGAGACTGTGGAGGTCTTCACACTAGATGGGGAGAGTGTGGAAGTCTTTTCACTGGGATTTAGTGTGCAGTGAGAAGCACTGTAGCCTGAAGAGGGAACTGTGGATCCCAGGATTTGAGAAATAGGGCCCAAGCTTGAGTGAGCTGATTTCTGAGAGAGCATCCAGGCTGGAGGGCCTGGCCTGAGATGTAGCTGGTGGGTGGGACATGGAAGCCAAGTTCCCATCATCACTCTCCATACAGGTGGAGCTAGGGTCTTGAGTTGGGGTCTGGGGTCCTCTTGGAGAGGGACATGGTGGTGGGAAGCCATGTGTGCACAGCAGGGTGAGTGTGGAAAGTGGTCAACTCTCCCTGTACCCCCAGGAGCAGTGGGACCTGTCTGCCTGGGCTGCCAGGCGTACAGCCAGCTCCCATTGTAGGAGGGCCTGGCCTGAGCAGGGGCCAGCCAGCTGTGGGAGGCTCCAGTTCTGGGGCTGGGCACTGTTGGGCACTGGCCTGGAGGGTTTGGAAGCTCAAGAGCCAGCCTGAGGGGGGCCCCTCCCAGTAGCCAGGGCAACTAGGGGGCAGGACAGAGCTTTTGGGCAACACAGGTCCCTGGGAAGGACTGATGAACCCACTGTTCATTCACTCATTTAGTTTATTCTTTTAATCTTTTCATACCTTAATTTTTGCAGTCAGGCAGCAGATATTTATGAGGTGCTGTGTCAGGGTCTGTGGCAAGCAGATGAGGTCCCTGCCTCTTCCTGTGGTATCCACAGCCTGGAGAGGGAGACAGACAAGCCAACAGGCTCTTCCCTCCCAGAGTGACGGGAGCAGTGTGGGGCATTCAGAGAGAGAGGGAAGGGCATCTATCCCTGAGAGGGCATGGTCAGAGAGGGCTGCCTGGAGGAAGTGACAGCCAGGCTGAGACTTGAAAGACCAGTGAGAAGTGAGCAACGTGAAGTGGGTGGCGGGGAAGTCTGAAGTGCAGGGCACAGCCTATACAAAGGCTGGAAGGCAGGAGAGGGTAGTTCAGGGCCTGGGGGAGCGAGGACCCTGGCACTGTGCTGTGCTCCAGGACCTTGGCCTGGGAGCAGGTTAAATTTTCATCCCTCCTCTCTCCACGATCATAGCTACTGCTAATCCCTCCATTGGCGCTGATGGCCTCAGGCCTGGGGATGGGTCTGGGGTGTCAAGGCTGACTCCTGATGGGGCTAACTCTGGGACTGAAAGCCCTGTTGCGTCCTGGGGACCACTGGGGCCAGAGTATCTGCAGCACCTGGACAGATCCTGGCTCTGAGGAACCTGGAGAAAACATGGCATGCCTAGAAGGATGAGCGTGGCTGGGACTTACACTTGAGAACCAAAAGATGACAAATATTCCTGTCTAATTCCAGGATGGCGGAGGCAGGAGGCCAGGGTGGGAGGATCTGAGCCGGGTGTGCAAGTGGGTGCGCGCTGGGGAGGTAGCCTCCTCCGCGGGGGGGCCGCACCTGCCAGCAGCTGCGGGGGCCAGTGAAGGCCAATGAGGTTTATTTCCCTGCGACTTAACTTGCCTCACTCTCCTGAGCACCTTGGTGCAGATGAAAGAGGACGATGCATCACAGCCTCACTGGCTGAGGGTCAAACACTGTGCAGACATGGGCACGGCGAGCATAGCTGTGGGCAGGGACCTTCTCCGTGCACAACCCCCAAGCATGGAAGCACGCTCAGCTGTGCCAGAAACTGACCACAAATCAATACATCAATGTGATCAGCTGCCTCCTGCCAGGGAGGTAAGAATGTTCCAAGAAAGCAGGTCCTCTTCCAAGCAAGGAGAGGTTTTTCCATTTTCAGCCTCCTTGGCATCCCTGAGGCTTATGGCCTGCTATGTGCCTGCCTGGTGGAGGGGAAAAGGTCTCTTTTGATCACCCATAGCATTTAGGGAGCCGCCGGCAGGAAGGGCCAGGACTTGATGCTGCCTCTGCACGTGCACCGCTGAGCTTTATGCTTGGGTCAGTTTTGAAAGTCCTGCTCCCCATTGGCCGTGCAGCCCCATGCCTCTTCCACCATGGAGGCAGACAGAGGGGCCCCAGGGAAACTCCAGGGCCAGGCATGTGGCTGGCCGTTGGTGATGTGGGCTCAGATTTACTTTTTTTTTTTCCTTTTTTTTTTTTTTTTTTTGCCATGGAGTGTCTGAGAGTTTTTCAGTGGGCTTGGCTGCTGCACAAACCTGAAGAGGGAGGCTTTGAAAGAGGGGGTGGGAAGCTTGTGTCTACAGGCTTGGCTCTGGAAGATGGTGCATGGGGAGGGGGACACTGGGCCCGTACATCTTGGACAGGGTCAACTGCGGAAGATGGACACTCAATTGGCTGGCAGGGATAGGCTGGGTGAAGAAGACAAGCCGATCTGGGTCCAGGCTCTGCAGGGTGTTTATTGAGACTGTTAGACGCATTTCCTTTAAGAGGGTGCAGATGGAGCTGGCAGCATCTGGTGGATACCACAGGGCTTTGCAGGTGAGTGGTCAGACCAGGGAGGCCACGGGGTCCAGGAGGGGCCCCTGGTTCCCTGAAATTTATTAGAGCCCAAGCCTGGGAGGTCAGAGGGACGTCTTGGTGACATGCTGGGGAGCTGGGTGCAGTCTTGTGAGAGTGCAGATTTGGGGTGCATTCCAGCCCTGCTGTGTAACTTCCAGGCCCCTTGAGATTGGACTTCCCTATTGTGGGATTATGTAAAGTTCTTAACAGTACCTCTCTGCTCCTGAGTACCTACTGCGTGCCAGGCCCCTTGCATCTCTCATAGGATCGTGCCACATCTTGGAGGTGGGCACGGTCTCATTTCATGGAGGAGTCTGATGAGGCTTTGGGAAGGTCGTTAACTCACCCACACCTGGAGACCTGGAACTGTACCTGGTCTGTCTGGCTTCAAGTCTGGGCTCTTTCCCCACCCCGTGTGGCTTTAACATGTGGGACTGTGTGTAGCTTTGCGCTGGGCACATAGTGGGTGCTCAGTAGACATTAGCATGGCCCCTTTCTCTCCTTCCCTCCTCAGAGCCTCTTTCCTCCACCCTCTGGCTATGCTCAGCTCCATACACATTTATTGGGGGCCTCATAGGCGCAGGCAGCTGAGCCCAGGAAAAGACCCGTGCCCCCTTTCTGCAGGGCAGAGGCTGCAGGGAGGTGGCTCCCCACCCCGAAGCCCTGCTTCCCGCTCCCAGGGAGTGGCCATGTGGTGAGTTCTTGTAAACAGAATGCGAGTGGAAGGGTGACGTCATTAAATGACATCATCAGAGGTGATTTCATTAAAAACTGGGTGTGCCATCCCCATAGAGAGGGTTCCAAGGGCCAAGGGGAGGGTGGGGCTACAGGATGGACAGAGCTTGGATCCTGAACGAGCATGGGGAAGGCTGCCCGGCCAGGAGCATCAACATTGGATGTGACCGGAGACCTCAGCTGTTACTCTGTTAAGCCACTGAGACAGCAGCTAGCATCACCTTCACTAATCAGGGGGTCCTCAGAGATGGTGGCAGAAGACCCCCTCTCCCTCTGGGAGTTCACCAGTGTAGGAGGGGATAAGGCAAACATAAGACAGCTGTAACTAAAAGTGCATGTTGGAAAAGGACATGGGGGAGCTGGAGGTGGGAGAGTTCTCGTGGGAGATCAGGGAAGAATTTAACACCCGTGGCCAGGAAGAGGCCATTTCAGAGCTGCTACAGGAGAGGAAGGGAGCCCCATCTGAGAGCTAAGCCCAGGTGATATGTCTGAGGACCCCGGCGAGTAGAGGGGCCAGTTGGCACAAGACTGAAGAGGATGGGCTTGATTTTGTAGGCAGTGGGAGCCATACAATGTTAACGAGAGAGCATGACAGAGGCCCTGTGCTTTAGGCGGATCATTCCATTTGCTGTTCAGTGGCTGTCTGGAGCAGGAGATTTCGACGTGGGAGACCAGAAGGATTGGGGAGGGGAGGAGCTCTGAGAGAGTGGGCTCTCAGGACCTGGAGACAGAAGAGGGGCAGTGAATGCAGGCAGGCAGCCATGTGAGAGGCCTCTCTCCTCTCCTCTAGGCTGTGCCCCTGGTGTGGGGGTGGCACCCTTTGCAGAGATAGAGAGCCAAGGGAAGGAACAGCAGGATGCTGAGGGGGACTGTGCCAGAGTCTGTTGACCCCAACGTGGACAAATAGCCCTTCCTGTGGTCTGAGGCCAGGTCCTGGGAACCAGCCCCAGGGTTCTGCCCTTCTCTTTGGTACGGTCTGGAGCTTGTCACTGCCAGGGGCCGGTGCCTCGGGGTGCACTGGGTACTCGAGGGCCCTCAGAATGCCTGCGCAGCCCAGCTCATGCCTCCTGTCCCACAGACGCCCCGTGCATACTTTCTGGAGCTGGTGGAGGTTTGGAGAGGGAGTTGCTCTGCAGAGCCTGAACACGCGGGACCACGAGGTAGAGAAAAATGATGCCGCAAGCACAAACACACCAAGAACTCATCGTTTCTGTGTTGCCTGAAAAAATCTATAGACTTTGCTTTTCTGCATTTGTGAGAAATCTGCCTTGCAAACAGGTTTCAAAAATAATCCCTCTTGCAGATTTGTGTTGTGCTCACCATCTGCAGGGACAGGGTGTGGACGTGTGTGCATGGTCTGCGGGTCTAAGCCTGGGACAGAACAGGACAGGGCAGGCTTAGGTCATGTCAGGAGGGACGGGGTAAGACTTGGAGAGCTCTGCGGTTGGCTGTGAGAGGCAGTGAGTCACGGGGCCACCGCGCCAGCCATGGTTGGGGGCTGGAGGGGTGCTGTGCGTGGTCAAAGCCTGAAGTCAACTTGCTGATATCAACCTGGAAGTGTCCTCTGAGTCCATCCCGTCCTCTCCTTTCCTGCAGTCATGGCCCCGCTTAGGCCCCAGCAGCTCTTGCCTGGCTACGGAAATCTCTGAACTGGTCACCTGTGTCCAATCTCTTCTTCTACCACACAGTCCCCAGGCAGATAGTCCTGAAAACCCATCTGCACCTCTGGCCACCACACCGATGATGCTTAAAAACTTCCCTCCACCCCTTAATGTCTACGAGATGAATTCTAATATTCTGGAAAGGTGACGCCCTGCATCCGCCGGGTCTCACCTTATTCACGGAGCTCAGAACCTTTGCGGTGTCCTGGGCCTGTGTGCCGCTGCTTGTGTTCTGATGTGCTACTCTTTCTGCCACAAATATCTTCACTTCTCTCCCATCTCTTTGTCTGGGGCGGAGGGGTGGGGGTGGTGGTGAACCAACAAGGCCCAGCAGTAACTAGAATAGCAGTTCCCAGAGGAGATGGGCATCTTTGCACTCGAGTGACATGATGGCGTGCCACCGGGTGGAGTTGGTGGGCGCATGCATGCATGTGCATTGTGTGATGGGCGCACCTTTGCATGCACAGCCTGCCTCCTGGGAAGGTCACGTGGCAGAAACAGCTTAGGTCTGAGCCTTGCTTTGGGGTGCAGCCCCTGCAAAGTGTGCCATTCTTCCTTGGCTGTCCTGACTGTGCCCTGCTGCTGGACATCTAGTCACAACAGCCAACACCCCAAGCAGGAGACTCAAGAATTACTGCACATCCGCAAGCGCAGCCCCATGGACGTGTGGGTGTGGGAATCGGAGCAGTTGTAGTTTGCAGAGGCCGACCTTCAGACAAGCAGGGACCCGGTGATTTCTTGGTAAGCAGCTGCACCGGTCTTTTGTAGCATAACAATGGGGTTTGGAGAGCGGAGCATCTGAGTAGGCCTTGGCTGGGGAGCTTTTGTAGCTGGTTCTGTCTTTGCCAGCCACCTTCACTCAGCAGGCACAGAGGAGACCTCAGCCAGCCTCCCAGGGCCTGTTTACAGCCAACCCTGTGGCTCTTCTCACCAGGCGTGTGGCCGCGTCTCATTCTCACCCCAGCACTAAGAGGTGGCTGCTTTTATTCCCTGTGGCAGATGGGGACCTTAGGGGCTGAGCAAGAGGCCTCACAGGGACTGATGGCAAAACTGGAATTAAACCTGGGCATCTCTGACTCCCAAATCGTGTCCCCTTCTGCTACACTTGCTGTCCCGGAGGAGTCAGAGAAGAATGGCCTTCACCCCTAGCCCCTTGCCTATCTCTTTTACCTTCAGCCCCAGCCACTCCTCTCAGACCTTCTCTTCTAGGTACGGTAAGCTTAAGTCCAAAGAGGTGCCCAGCTGACAGTGCCCAACAATACATGCTCTGTGGTCATTACGTCCATGTTGTGGGCAGCCAGCATTTGCTGGAGGCACAGTCCATGCCTGAATGTGGCTGTCAACAAAAATGCCATAGATTCTTCTCCAGGCCCATGCCTCCTTGCCATGTGCTTTGGGAGCCCTCTCATTCTGACCCTGGACTTGGCCCCGTGACTTGCTTTGGCTGATGGAATGTGAGCAAATATGTTGTGAGTAGAGGCCTGAGAATGCTTTTGCACAGTGGGGCTGGCCTTTTGTTGCTGCTCCTGGAACTCTGCTCCCATGTGAAGATGCCCTGCAGACCTCCTGGGTGATGAGAGACCCGTGACCCAGTTGCATCTGTTGCCCACTTGCCAGCTTGCCAACTGCCAGGCATGTGAGCAAGGCCATTCTGGATCAATCAGCCATGAGCCGACCCACCAGTGGACCACAGATGCAAAAGAGAGCCCAGTGGAGATCAGCTGAGTCAGCCCTAAGCACTGTCCAGCTGACTCACAGAACAGAGAGCTAAATAAATGCATGTTGTTTTACTGGGTATATGCCCAAAGGATTATAGATCATTCTACTATAAAGATACATGCACACATATGTTTATTGTGACACTGTTCACAATATCAAAGACTTGGAACCAACCCAAATGCCCATCAATGATAGACTGGATAAAGAAAATGTGGCACATATACACCATGGAATACTATGCAGCCATAAAAAAGGATGAGTTCATGTCCTTTGCAGGGACATAGATGAAGCTGGAAACCATCATTCTCAGCAAACTAACACAAGAACAGAAAACCAAACACCATGTGTTCTCTCTTATAAGTGGGAGTTGAACAATGAGAACACATGGACATAGGGAGGGGAACATCACATACCAGGGCCTGTTGTGGGATGGGGGGCTAGGGGAGGGATAGCATTAGGAGAAATACCTAATGTAGATGACAGATTGATGGGCACAGCAAACCACCATGGCACGTGTATACCTATATAACAGACCTGCACGTTTTGCACATGTATCCCAGAACTTAAAGTATAATTTTAAAAAATTTAAAAAAATGCATGTTTTAAGCCACTAGATTCTGGGGTGGTTTGTTACACAGCCAAACCTAACTGATACTATTGCTGTGTAGCAATCCACCCCCACACTTAATTGCTTAAGGCAACCATTTGATCTTGCTCGTGGATATGCGTTGGGGATTTGGACAGGGCACAGTGGGAGTGACATGTCTCTACTCCATGATGTGTAGGGCTTCACTGGGAAGACTCAAGGCTGATGACTTGGGGTATTGACAGCTGAGGACTGGAGTCACACGGGGGCATCTTCATTCATGGCTACTCATCAACATTGTCTGTCACCTGGCATCTCAGCAGGAGCTGTCAGTTGGAGCCCCTACGTGTGGCCTCTCCACGTGGCCTGAGCTTCCTGACAGCATGGTGGCTTCCGGGTAGCTGGACTTTAATGGATGCCCGGGCTCCAAAGGCGAGGATACCAGCTAACAATGTGGAAGGCAGACACCTTTTATGCCTTAGCCTTGGAAGTCACGCTGCGTCACTCCTGCTGTATTCTGTCCATCCCAGGCCAGGGACAAGCCCTCTGCTCCCCAGAGATTCAAGGGAAGGGAATTAGATTCCACTTGGTGGGAGAGTGGTGAGGTTCCCAATGAGCATGTGTGGGAAAAGTGCACTGTGGTCACCTTTGGAAAATAGAATCCGCCACACACTGTCTCACCTGGTCCCCACAATAATCCAGTGTCGGTACTATTATTATCCCCAGTTTGCAGATGAGAAAACTGAGGCTCAACTAGTTGGTCATGGGCGCAAGGCAGCATAGTGAGTGGATGTTGGAACTGAGTCTGGCTCTAAAGCCTGTGCTTTAACCAGGGCCCTCTACTGCCTTTTACAGAGTGCCTTTTCGTACTTGTTTGCTGGCTCACTGGACTTCCAGCTCCTCCCTTTCAGCTTCCTGCTCTGTCTGCACTTTAGCCATCCACTGTCCAAGAAGCATCTGCGCTTCTCAGTGTCTCTCCTTGCTCTGTCGGGGGTCCCTGTCAGTTCTGGGAGTGGCTGATGCCTAGGCTGCCTCCTGCCCCATGAAGGCACCTGTAAAACGTGGCCATGTGGGCATGGCCCAGAGAATGGGAGGCGGGCAGAGCCCTGACTTCGAGCCCAGGTGGGGTTTGGAGGCCGTGCGAGAGGTGGAAGCAGCGGCTCAATGTAGGCTTCCAAGGCCATGCAGCGTCTCCGTGCTAAAAACAGGATTAGGTTGCGTTCCCTAATCCCGAAGTGACGGAAGTGAAAATGTGTGGACAGGTGGGGTGCGGTGGCTCACTCCTGTAATCTCCCAGCACCTTGGGAGGCCAAGGCGGGCAGATTACCTGAGGTCAGGAGTTCGAGACCAGCCTGGCCAACATGGTGACAGGGTGTCACCCTGTCACTACTAAAAATACAAAAATTAGCCAGGCATGGTGGCACGCACCTGTAATCCCAGCTATTCAGGAGGCTGAGGCAGGAGAATCGCTTGAGCCCAGGAGGCGGAGGTTACAGTGACATGAGATCACGCTGCTGCACTCCAACCTGGGCAACAGAGCAAGACTCTGTCTGTCTGTCTGTCTGTCTCTCTCTCTCTCTATATATGTCCAAGAAGCATCTGCACTTCTCAGTGTCTCTCCTTGCTCTGTCGGGGGTCCCTGTCAGTTCTGGGAGTGGCTGATGCTCAGACTGCCTCCTGCCCAAGCATATGTATACACACACACACACACACACACACACACACACACATATAGATACACACATACACACACATATATATAGAAAAAAATATATAAAATAAATATATAATATATATTATATATGTATATATATTATACATGTATGTGTATATATACACACACACATATATATAAAAATGTGTGACCACTGCCCTCTCTGCTACAAACACAGATCAAGTTTGAAGGTGCCTAGCCGGCAGACAACTGAAATCCTGAGAGGATGGAGATGGGGGTCAGATCTCTGCACTTCAAAAGACATTTGTTTTCTGTGCTACAAAAAGGATTATTACGTGAGTATTTGCAGCCCTGTTTCCACCTCTGACCCTCCTCCCAGCCCACTCAAAATTCTCCCTTTGCCCACTGGCATTATCCTCCTGTGGAAGGACCCATTCTGGGAGCAGGGTTCTGTGAGAGGTTTTTGTATTTTTATTCACATATAAAATACACTTGTGGTACGTGTTGATGGACAAAATACCCACTAGCAGGAGAATGGAGGATGGGTGTCACACAAACTACAGGACGCTCCATGAAATCTGAACTTCAGATACACAAAGAATACTTCCCAGGGTGAGTATGTTCCACAATTGTAAAAGCTCATGTGTCCTAAGCATACAGCTTGACAAATTTTTACAAAGTGTGACCAGCCCCCGGATCAAGAGACAGAATATTCCAGGCTCCCAAAATGCCCCTTACGTCTCTTTCCAGTAACTACCCATCCCGCCCATTCGCTTGACTTCTGACAGCGTGGATGAGTTTTGCCTGTATTTGGAAGATCACATACATGGCACCACCCGATTTGTGTAATTTTGTGTCTGGCTTCTTCTGCTCATCCTTATGTCTGTGAGAATCATCCGTGTTGTGCCCAGCAGTTGCTCATTTTGGGTAATATTGCTGTATGGGACCTGCTTATACTACAAAAATTATTGTTGGCTTTCTGAAATTCAAATTTAATGGGGCATCCTGTATTTTATCTGGCAATTGTATTCCATTCTCCTGTTGATGGACGTTTCGTAGTTTTCAGTTTGGGGCTATTTTTAATAAAGCTGTTATGAATATTCTAGTACATATCTTATGGTGAGCATATGGACTCATTTCTTTTGGGCATTTACCTAGGAGTGAAGTTTCTGGGTCATCAGGAACACATATGTTCAGCTCAGTATATCCTGCCAGACGCTGTTCTAAATGGGACCAATTTATACTCCACCGGCAGCCTGTGAAAGGTCCAGTTGCTCTACATCCTTGTGGATCTTGGCATTTTTCTATCTTTTTCATTTTAGCTGTTCTGCTGGGGTGTTCTGTTTTAACTTCATTGCTGTTTATCACTGATGATTTGTGGAGTTGAGTACCTTGTCCCATGCTTAGTGGCCCTTTGGGTCTCCTCTCTCAGGAAGGGCCTGTTCCAGCATGGTGCCCGTTGTTTGCTTGCTGTTGTTATTATTTTCTTGTGACCAGGTCTTGCTACATTGCCCAAGCTGGACTCAAACTCCTGGGCTCAAGTGATCCTCCTTTTCAGCCTGCCTAGTAGCTGGGATTGTAGACCACTGTGCCCAGTCGGCTCATGGTTTTCTAGGAATGTCTGCCTTTTAAGAAATTGCTTTGTAGGCATTTCTTATATGGTCTGGATACAAGTTATTTGTCAGATATACGTCAAATATCTTCTCTAGGGGAGAGTTTTGGAGAAGAGCTGAGAGAGAACTTCTGGTTAGTTGTGGGTCTTGCAGGTAACTTAGAGGAGGAATTGGGTGGGAAGAGGAGTAGTAAGAAGCGCGGTGGGTAATGAATTGCATGTCCTCTAATGGCCTTTGAGAGGCACAAGTGAAGACCAAAGTGTGTTTCCTTTGGCTGCCTTCTTCATTCTGAGAATGAATCATTTGGGGCCCTGTGGTATATTCAGATCTGACATGAGGGTGTGGATGGGTTTCCCTGTATTGAGCTTATCATGCATCTTAAGCTGGAAAGCACTTCCTAAAAACGTGTATATGTCTCCACACAGATGCTATTGCATATTTCTGTACTCTGAGGGCAGAGGTCACCCTTAAGGGAATGGAGATCCCTATTTTTCATACAGGTACAAATATCTAAGAACAGACATTAGATAAGAGTAAAATGTTTAGTATTTGAACACCAGTGGACTAAAAGTTACACTTAATTCATAAATCAAGACTGCACAGCAGATGATATTTATGGCAATTCTTGCTGGAGGAAATATTAAAATTTGTAAGAATTTTAAATGCTGTAACATAAAATGCTACAATCTCTGGTCATAATTGATGACTTCCTCTTAGATGTATTGAATAAATTAATTTCATTGCTCTACAGATGACATTAATATGCTTTTATAATTAATTTAGTTCTGAGAGCTGCTTTGGGTGCCAGGATTTTATTGGAGGGAGAAAATGGCTTAAAGAAGAAGGTGAGATGTGAAGAATAATTTTGAAATCAAATAAAGAATAACATTTTAATAGGAAGTAGCATGTTTGGCATGACCCTGTTGTAAAAGAAAATACACCAGGAAATTGCTCAGAGGCAGATATTAAGGTCTTGAATGTGTGCATGTTTCTGATATTGCTGCATTTTCATTGGGATTCTGTATTTGTTTGTTCTCATGCTGCTAATAAAGACACACGTGAGCCTGGCTCATTTATAAAGGAAAGAGGTTTAACTGACTCACAATTCAGCATGTCTGGGGAGGCTTCAGGAAACTTACAATCATGGCAGAAGGGGGGGCAAACACATCCTTCTTCACATGGCGGCAGGAGACAGAATGAGAGCCAAGTGAAGGCGGAAGCCCCTGAAAACCATCAGGTCTTGTGAGAACTAACTCACTATCATGAGAACAGGGTGGGGGAAACTGCCCCCATGATTCAATTATCTCCACCTGCTCCCTCCCAAAACACGTGGGGATTATGGAAACTATGATTCCAGATGAGATTTGGGTGGGGACACAGCCAAATCATATCAGATCTTCATGTCCTAGTCTGTGGGGTAAGAATGGAGTATTGTAGAAAGCCTCCCTCTCTGGTGGGGGTTATGGAGCTATCTCAGAACTTAAACCTTCTGTGTCTTCCAAAGCTGCTCTCAATAGCAGGATTCTGAGGGGCCCAGGAAGGGGCACTAAATTATCAGGATGCCAGCTTCTTAGAAAGCAGGCTCTTTCCCAGTGGGTTTCTTACAATGAAAACAACCAAAATATAACATAGAGCTCATTAAACTTGCCAGCCACTGGGCTAAATTATTTGTATTTATTTTATTAATAATAATTATTTCTTTCATCTTAAAAATAACCTTTAACTTACTAAGAATGCATGCTTATTGGATATTCTTTAGAAAATATAGTTCAACAAATTCAGCCATAATTTCACCCCCAGAGAGTGTCATTCCCAACGCTCTGGTTTAGGATGGCTTTGGAAGCTGGAGCCCTATACACTGGGTGGATATTAGGCCAGGCTTTTTTTTTTTTTTTTTTTTTTTTTTTTTTTTTTTTTTTTTTTTTTTTCAGAAGTTTCCCTTCCAAAATGTGGGAAGGTCTAGTAGTTTGCTTGGAGAGAATCTTTTCTGTTTTCTTCTCTCTCAAGCGCTTGAGTATAAGACCTAGTTATTGCCTGATTTGAAAAACTGTATTTGATTAAAAAGCCCTCAAAACGTGGTCAGTTCAGATGCAACTGTGGGAAAGAAAAATGATATTTTTCTATTTCTGAGAAGCATGAGTTGAGGGCTCAACACACGGTGAATGCCCAGGAGCCGATGTTAAACAACTGAAAAGATCAATTGAAAAGAAGGATCCCCAAACACAATTTCCCCTGACTTAATATTTCAACTAATGAAGTCAACCCTGACTGAGCACAGGTTACATGCCAGGCACAGGGAGGGCGCTGGAGGCTGCTGCATGGCATCTACCTGTGTGTGTGTGTGTTGGGAACACATATGAGTTCATGTGCAGCGGTGTGTGATGTGTGTGTCTGAGTATGTGTGCCAGTGTGACTTGTGTGTGCGAATGTGTGTTCATGTGGTTGAATGTATGTGTGTGTGCAAGTGTGTGAGGTGATTGTATGAGTGTGTTTTCACGCATGTGGGTGTGTGACTGTGAGTGGGTATGTGTGTGTGTGTGTGTGTAGGAGGAGAGGAGGAGATGCAAAGGGAAACAGACACTGCTATGGGAGCCCAGGGGGCTTGCCAGGGAGAGTGCACGAGACCTGCACATAGCACCCTCTTCCTTTGATTTGCAAAGCCCTCCTGGACCTCCCTTCCTGCCTCTTTTCCTCCTCTATTGCTCTAAATTCTGAAACCAGAATTGGTTGGGGTTCCTCATACAACCTCTTGACAATCCCACCCTTCCAAAGGAGGATAAACTGACTTTCAAAGCCAGTATCCCCAATCTCAAGTCCTGGTCTCTCAACTGGACTTGGGGCAAAATGGTTACAGAGCATGGTAGGCAGCCTTCAAGATGGCTGTCTTCTGAAATTCAGGCTCTTGTGGGATTCCTTCCCCTCGAGGATGAGCTGGACCTGTTGATTCTCTTCTCTTCAGATTCATAGAAGGTGGCAGAAAAGACAGAATGTGTCTTCCAAGATTAAATTACAAAAGGACTTCCATCTTAGTGATCTCTCTCTGTTTCAGATCATAAGCTGCCATGTTGTGAAGACACTCAGGTGGAAAGGCCCTGTTGCCATGTGAGGCACTAACTCTCAGTACCTCAGAATATGACTATAATTGGTGATAGGATTTTTAATGAGATAATTAATTTAAAATGAGGTCATTAGGGTTGGCCCTAATCTATTTTGACCGGTATCCTTGTAAGAAGAGATTAGGAACAGATAGGAACAGAAGGAAGACCCTGTGAAGACACAGGGAGAAGATGGCTGCCTGCAGGTCAAGGAGAGAGGCCTCAGAAGAAACCAACCCAGCAACACCTTGAACTTGGACTTCTAGCCTCCAGAATTAAGAGAAAATAAACATCTGTTGTCTAAGCCACCCAATGTGTGGTATTTGTTATGGCAGCCCTAACAAATGAATATAGGCCCAATACCACGTCAGTGAGCTTGGAAGCAGATCTTTTGAGGTTCAATAGCCTCATGAGTGAGCTTGGAAGCAGATCTCTCAGCCCTCGTCACACCTTGAGGTAATCACAGCCCTGGCTAATGACTCTCCTGCTGCCCGTGAGAGACCCTGAGTGGGAGGTGTCAGGGAAGCCACATCTGGACTCTTGATCCACACGGTGCCTTGGCTCTCCTGTGAGATAGTGAACGTTGGTTGTTTTAAGCTGTTAAGTTTTGGGGTAATTTGTTATACAACAGAAGAAAACGAATATGCCTCCTCATCCTTCAGGGCTAGCATGACTTATATTTCATTGACGAAACCAAGGCACTTTTGAGGATGAAAAGAAATTCTAAAATAACAAGAAATGTATATATTTTGGAAATATTTATTTCTTGACTGACAAGTTGTTTTTTATTATTTTGGTTCTATAAATGGTTCTACAACAAACTATTTTCAACAATCAAATTCTTTCTAAAACCAAAAGTGACAGCTGGGCGTGGTGGCTCATGCCTATAATCTCAGCACTTTGGAAGGCTGGAGCCGGAGGATCACTTGAGCTCAGGAGTTCAAGAGCAGTCTGTGCAACATGGCAAGACTCCATCTCTACAAAAAATAAAAAATAAAGAAATTAGTTGGGCATAGCTGTGCTCGCCTGTAGTCCCAGCCACTAGGGAGGCCGAGGTGGGAGGATCGTTTGAGGCCAGGAGTTCGAGAAACATATTATGGTTAATGAACTTGAAATTATTGACATCTGTACTACACTCTTCATTATAGATCATAATATTTTGAATTGGGAAAATATTCTCTCTAGAGATGTTGAGGCCCTAATCAGCTCAAGGGAAATGAAGGATATTTTCAATGCTAACTTTTTGACACTAAAATGTGAAACTCTTTCAGCCTAAATATTTTACCATATACTGTCTTTTTGCCTCCTTTCAGAGTAACTTTCTTCAGCAAATATTTTTACAAGACAAAATTCATCAAATAAGTCATATCTATTTGTGATTCTTTCAAATGCTTCATTAAATTTGGAAGCTGCAAAGTTGTAGGCTTTCTCAGTTTCATGCCCTCCTGGAACAGCATATTTCTTTCTAATTAAAATAGAAGCTCCATCAAAAGAGTCTTGTCACAAGTCAAGATATTCTGAAATATCATTATAGAATTTCCACATTGAGGTCTAATTGTTTAATGTGCTGAATTTCTCCTTTGTTTTTTTTTTTTTTAAGGGATAAATTTCAATGTCTTTTCATTTATAGGCTTTGTTTTCAATTAATGCAATTCTTTCAAAACTTCAAAGATGGAAAGTCCGTGTGTTGAATAATCTGATCAAACGTCTCCAATTTTTTGAAAACCATGTATCCAAAATTTAGAGGACTCATCTACAAAAAAGTTTAATATTGTCACAGGATACTCAGATTGACTTCAAAAGCTCAAACTTTTCTAAAATCTGATATGTGGCAGGCAGCAAAGAGAGAAAGTACACAAGCCATGCTGTAGCATGGTTTTTTTTCATCTTTAATCAGCTTTGTCACAAAATTTTTGTTATACAGCATATATATAATTTCTAAATGTTGGCAACTACAGCTTTTACTTAAATTGTTAGACTATCACAGCCTATTTGGAACAAATTATAAATTATATGTGCACCATTACCAATTCCAAGTAAATTTCCACTTCATAGGTTTTTAAATTTAGTAAGAATACTGTTTTTACCATGACATTGTACTTTACCAAAAGCTGTATTTTTATTATCATTGCAAAACAAGTACTATTTAACCTCAATGTCAACCTTTAAATGCAATTTACAATAGTATAGCATAGAACTTTATTTTTCTTCCTGAAATTTTTAATTGTTTTTCTTTTCTTTCTTTTTAAGAGATGGGGTCTCACTCTGTTGCTCAGGCTGGAATGCAATGGCACTATTATAGCTCACTGCAGCCTCTGTCTCCTGGTTTCAAGTGATCCTCCTGACTCAGCCTCCCCATTAGCTTGGACTACAGGTGCTTATCACCATGCCTGGCTAATTTAAAACCTTTTTTTAGAGATGGGATCTTGCTACGTTTTTTTCTTTTTGACAAGAGAGCAACAGTATATACCTCTATTATATCTTTAAACTATCTAGTCTCCAACCCTACTTTTTGTTAAAGAAAATAAGAAAATGTTCTCTTCTTGAAGATTCCCCACCCCACCGCTGCCCCTACCCCCCACCCCCAGGGTTCTCTTACCCCTTGTTAGGATCTGGATGGATTTTTTTTTCTAGTTCTGTTATCTAGAAGTTTTTCTTTGGATGCCTGGGATAAGTCTACTTTGTTTTTAGAATTCCCATATCTTTTTTCTTGCTTAGATACCTTCTTCATTTTGCTGGAGAATATCCCGAGAGAGCATTTTTCAAAAAGAATATTCAGGATGTAGATTTTTAAGTATTTTTGTGCCTGAAAATGTTATTTTGCCCTTGCACTTATTTAATAGTTTCTATTCAAACATACAATTGTAAGTTTAATTTCTTTAATGAGAACTTGGGATCATTGCTCTAGTCTTCTGGTTTTCAACGTTGCTGATGAGAAGTCACACACCAACATGATTGTCATTCCTTTGCTAATAATCTGTTTTTCCCATCTGGAAGCCTTTAAAATATTCTCCTTGTCCTTGGAGTTCCAGTTTTCATGACAGTTTATCTGGAGGCGGGTCTTTCTTCATCTATTCTGCTTGGTATCTAGAAGGTCCTGTCAACCAGAAGATTTGTAGATTCCTGCAGCACTTGAGAGATGCTATACTCTCATTTGTATAATTTCTACATTTTCTCCATTTAATTTTTTTTTATAATTCCTAGTAAATTAATATAGAACTTCATAGATTGAGCTTATATATCTCAGGTGATTTCTCTTGTATTTTTCTCTTTGTTTTATTGATATATATTCTGAGAGATTTCTTCAACTGTATGTCTTTTTTCATGAACTTTTTCTTTTAGCAGTTTTATTTCTGAGAATTCTTTCTGGCTTTCTCATTGCTCCATTTTAAGCAGAGCCTGTTTTCTTTTTAGGGACACAATACCTTCTTGACTTTCTCCAAAGGCACTAACCTTTTAAAAGTTCCTTTCTGTTCTTTGCATTCTGTTTGTTTGTTCTTACCTTCCACATGGTTGGTGTCCTTCATTACCTGGTTTGGTTGCCATATTTATGAAGAGAGAAGCGGTGGGTGATGAACATTTGGAGTTGGTGGGAGTTTCGTCGCCTTTAGGGCAGATGCAGTTTGGTACCGGGGGGGCCTTAACAACCTGAACATTTGTTGATTCCTTCAGCACCCGGGAATGCTATTCTATCGTTTATGTACTTACACATTTTCTCCACTTTCCCCCTAGAATTCCTACTAAATTCTAGTGTTTCCCCCAGAGCCTTCTGCTCAGAGTGGGAGTCCTGAGAGCTCTCTGATGTGGGCAGTGCCTGTTGCCTGGTTGGTTTTACACTGGTGTGAACAGGCAAGGAAAAGGCAGGCCAGTGAGGCCCCACCTGCCAGGCACTCTCACACACACACACAAATGCATGCACGCATGCACACACACACACACACACACACACACCCCACACACCACCCTCTGCTGCAGGGAGGCCCATCATCATCAGATGGGGGTCTGGGGCTCAGAGCTGGGGGCATAAAGCCCGTGCTGGAATTAGGACCCTGGTGATTCTGCAGCCAGACCGTGGCATTGTGAGGAAAAGGGCAGGGAGGCTTACGGAAGCCTGGGTGGGAGAATGGAGAAGACTTGCGGGCTGAAGGGAGAGGAAGGGGGGAGGTTGGTGAAGGGCCATCACACATATAGAGCACGCGTGTGCATGTGTGTGTGCATGTGCATGTGTGTTTGTGTTTGTGTGTGTGTGCATGTGTGTATATGGAGGGGGTAGGGGAGAGCTGGGCAGGGTGGAGGGAAAAATGCCTCTTCAACTCTGGGCCAGGCTCCAAGGAGCCCTGGAGGCAGATAGGCTGGAATTCCTCACCCAAGTGCCACCCTCTTTCTCCCCTGACAATGGCCCAGGAGACGCCCTCTGTGTTTAGGGCAACTGGTGCCACCCACACTGTGCTCCAGTGAAGGTCGTGATGCCCTGTCACATGTGTGAGCTCGTTTCTTCTTAGCTCTTGTGCCCTGAGTCGGAGCGTGGACCTAGGCATTACCCAGACTTCGGTGTGGCCCTTGGCCCTGCTGGTGACCTCGGGCAAACTGCTTAACCTCTCAAAGCCTCCATTTTGTCATGTGCCACTGGGACAATCACAGTTTTTGTCACTTAACTTTGCTAAGCCTCAGGTGCAGCGATGTTAAGTGGGGCTGTGATGCCCGCGTGTCACGGTGGATGTGAGCATGAGAACAGTCATGGACGGGAAGCGTTTGTGGTGCCCTTGTGGTGTTCTTGCTTCAACTCTAGAGTTGAGGAAGCTCACCCAGGGCTTGGGGCTCCCTCAGCATCACCGATGGACCCGGGTTCCATGACTGTGGGTGGAGAGCGAGGTCTCTGGATCTTGGGAGCTTCCCCTTCTGTTTTGCCTGTTGAGCTGGACAGAGCCTCAGAACAGCCCAGACTTCCATGTTGCAGAATCGCTTTCCAAACGGGGAATGTGTGGTGATTCCTGACACCTTCCCCAGACACAGGCAAGGCTTTACGAGGGGGTCACACCTCTGCTGAGCCCTGGCAGAAGGGAACTGGCTTTGACTTGCCCAGCATAACAGAGCTTGACTGCAAACAGCGATCGTCCGTTTTACAGCCCAACGGCTGCTTGGAGAAACATGTTGTGATGCAGAGCTTGCTGGGTTCCTGCGCACGGTTCAGAATTTGCAAGTAAAACGGATTTTGTGTCATTCACGCTCATCTGGAATTCGAATCAGCTCACCGCTGCCCAGCTCCCTGCTGGTGCTGGCTGCGGCTGGCGCTCGCTATGCCTGGTGTGGTATGCTTGCTCTGCATACCATGCCACACTCGGGGGAGTGTGGCAGCTGCATGTTGGTCCAGTTACGGTTATGGTTACGGTCACAGTTACTGTTTGCAAAGGGTTTCCACTTGCTGGCTTGTGTATAGGCCTCCCACAACCCTGTGAGATGGACAAACTGGAAACTGTGCCCATTTTCCAGGAGAGCCAGGGCCAGCCTCATGGGCCTGAGGCCTGTGCAGTTGCAAAGGGCCCTGTGATCAGGCCCTGAGCTTCTTGGGTTAATGCTCTTCTGCCATCATCTTGAAATTTTAATAATTTTATCTTTGAACTGGTGTTTTGCAGGTGAAGTCTAATGGGACCATGGAGTGGGCACATGAGCTGGAGATTCATGCAATAGACATGCCTGCTGTTCCTTGCTGCCTTGTCAGCATGTGGTGTTCTTGATGCCCCATGAGCATAGCATTCCAGGGAAACCATGATGCATGGAAGTGTGACTCAAAGTGAGTACAAGGGATACGTGTTGCATGCACAGCTGAGTGAGCAAGGGCATAGACAGCATTGACAGGCCACGCTTTCCATTCAAACCAGAACTTGCTTAGAATGCGGAAAAAAGGCAGTGATGTTGGAAGAAACACAAACGACCAAGGAAACCTGTCATGCCTTTTCTTACTCATGTCACTTCCCTGTGTTAGTCAAGCACTTACACTGAAAGTGATGACACAGAAGGAAAGGGGAAGACTGGGCAGCCATAGTTCCTTTTTGCTTCACTTCTTCCTTACCCATCAGTAAGGCAAAGGCAGAGAGTGTTGGTAGAATGTGATTCTATCCAGGAGTGAAATAAAAACAGAAAACAGTTGAGTTTTTGTGTGTGCAGCATTTCTACTGTTCTAGCAAGGACAAAAATATACTTGTGTGTACAAAATATCAAATACAAATTATAATTTTGTTGATTTCACATATGAGTTAAATTGTTCTTATATTTGTATCTAAAACTGGTATTGTGCAATATAATGATGAATGGTAAAATTCGTGTTAGTAATTAAAAATTTTAATTTTTCTGTACTTAGAATGGCATCAAATAGCAAATAAAAAATATCATGATAAGATGAGAGAGAGAGACTGGAAGAAAGAAGAAAGCTCTGTATTTTAGTAACTTCAATGATACCTTTTTCCTGCTTTTTGAAAAAGAGGTCCCACATTTTCATTTTGAACAAGGAGCCCCACAGTTGTGAGAACAGCCTGACAGAGGGCATGGAGACTGAGGATAGGAGGCCCACTCAGATCCCAGAGTTATTCAGAGGTGAGTTGGGGTAGAATGCTGGACTCTGGACTTTGATGGAGTCTAGGAGCAGGATCAATGATGGTGGTGATGATGGTGGTGGCAATGATGATGATGATGATGATGGTGTTGAAGATGATGATGATGGTAGTGGTAATGGTGGTGGTGGTGGTGGTGATGATAATGGTGCTGGTGATGATGGTGATGATGATTATGATGGTGATGATGGTGGTGGTGGTGATAATCATGATGATAATGAAGATGGTGGTAGTGATGATGGTGGTGGCAATGATGATGATGATGATGGTGTTGAAGAAGATGATGATGGTAGTGGTAATGGTGGTGGTGGTGATGATTATGATGTTGATTGTAGTGGTGGTGATAATGGTGATGATAATGAAGATGGTGGTGGTGATGATGGTGGTGGCAACGATGATGAATGATGGTGTTGAAGATGATGATGATAGTGATAATGATAATGGTGGTGGTGATAATGGTGATGATAATGAAGATGGTGGTGATGATGATGGTGATGACGGTGATGGTTATAAAGTAACATTACAGAGCTAAGCATGATATATGACACATGCAGTAGCTCATTCATATTCTTGGCAATCTTGAGAGGTAGATATAATTACCTTCTACTTTTCAGAGGAAGAAACCAATGCTTTGAAAGGTTGAGCAACCTGTCCACATCACTTGACCGGCAAGCAGCACAGCCAATGACCGTGGACCCATAGACCTCAGCCACCAACTTCTGTGCTGTCCTGCCTGCTAGGTGTAACATACCTAATTCTTTTGCCCCTGTCTCCTTGGATGTCAGGCTCCTCCTGGTAAGAAACAGGGCCCTTTGTTTTATTTATTTTTCTTTTAAAATCATGGATCATGAGATTCCTCTTCTGGGCATCCTTTAACTGATAACACTTCCTGTCTTGCCCTCCAACATTCTCCACACAGCAAGAAGACAGAGTTATCTACTAAAAAATGTAAATCTGATCATGTTGCTCCCTGCTTAAAAGCCTTTGATGGTTCCCAGCACACTCAAAATGAAACGCAAACTCCCTGAACACAACCTTCCTTAACTACCCATGTGATCTGCCTCAAGGCTTCTCTCCACCCTCATCTCTGTCCCTGCTCCTTGAGTCACTGTGCTCTAGCTGCACTGGCCTATTTTTGTTCCTCCAATCTGCTAAGCTCTTTCCCACCCAGGACCAGCTGATATTCCTCCTTCTGCCTGGGATACTGTTCACTTCCATCGCTCTTTGCTTGGCCAACTGCGGCTCATTGTTTACTTTACATCATAACTGTAAATACAAGATTCCACATTTGTTTTGATCACCTGGCACATAAATGATGCTTGGTAAATAACAAATTACTTCATTTTCTGTTATTTAGCCAGCACTAGCCAAAAAAAGGAAAAAAAAAAAATAATGAGGATAATATATGATGGGTAATGAAATGTCCCAACTGTACAGAAGTTTTTCAAAGTGGTGATAAAGTCTCCTTTGCTTCCCTGCAGCCCTCCTTGGCCCCTCCCTGTTGGGTGTACATCCTTCCAGACTGTTTTCCATGCACTTCGGTGCCAGGATGATTATCAAGATGCCACTTTCTTTGCCATCCTTGTATCCTTCCTCCAGATATACAAGGTAGCCAAACCTTTATGAATGCAGCAGGGGTTTGCTAACAGCTTTTGGAGATCAGGCCACACTCTACATATAACAATCCACCATGTAACTTAGCCAGGAATTATTTATCAACCCCCCTTCTTTGAAGAGGATGGGGGACACAGAGAACACAGACGTCACCCAGGCATTTGCTTCAAAAGCCAGGTAGCCAGGAGCTGTTGGGCTTGGTTATCTCATGGTGGCAGGCCTCTAAGGGGGGATGTGAACCAACGTGAAGGAGGTGTGTGGGTTGGGCTGGCAAGGCTCAGGGTTTTGTGGTTCTAGAAGGGGCAGGAACCTGGGCCCTACTCACACACATCCCCTGGAGGGGCTGTGGTGAGGGAAGGCTTTTGGAAGGACATGGATGTCGGGGACACCCAGAGAGAGGGACTGCAGGTGCCCAGGCTCCTGGTTCACTAGGATATCTGTTCCCAAGCTTGGCACAAAGACAGCAGAGCCATCCACCTTCATAGGATCACCTGGGTTGGATCAACTGGGTAGGATCATCTGGGTTGGATACAAGTGCGGAACCCCCAGAGCTGTTGGCAAGCCCTTAGAGAGGACTGCTGGGGCCTGACGATGCAAGACCCCTTCCCTGAATTTCCTGGAGGTCTTTGACCCTGGAGGGACCACTCAACACAAAGGCATTGTATTAATCATCTTGTTGAATGGGGGCTCCTAGACAGGTTTGTGTTGATTTAGGGCAAGCTAAGAAATGTGATATCTTAACACCTAAGTAACATAATACCACTGGACTGGATGACTTGCGGTCCCTGCCAGCTATGGCCCCCTTGGCAGGCCACATCTGGAATCAGCTCCTGCTTTCTGGGGTGGTGTGGGGGTGGGGCGGCAAAGGTGCCTTCTTCTCAGGGCCCCATATTTGTGGCCTGGGCTCCCTGCTGAAGGCCCTACCCCAGTGGGAGGTGGGATTCCATAAGGGGAGGCAGAGACCAGGCTGCAGCCTATAGAGGAGGGCCGTGATGCTCCCCCTGCTCTGGTAGAGACTGCCTTTTGCAGGTAGGCTGCCCACAGCTCCCTGGGGTGCTCACATGGTGGCTACTGGGGTTCAAACCAGGGAGCTGATAATTTCCTGGAAGCTCCTCCCAGACAGAGACATGAATGGCCAAGTCAAGGCCACAAGCTGGAATGTGAACCAGCACTATCTACCTCTGAAACCTAAGCTCTTGAAGGAGGAGGCACTGTAGAGGCAGGGAGGGCATTCTTGCCCTCTTGGAATTTTCCTGGCCGCCCCGAAGGGTGCCTTGGCCGTATTGTGGTAGACCAGCCCTGCACTTCCCGGGACACATCTTAGTCTTGGGCATGGAGAGTGGGATGTTAGGACTGGGGAGCCCTCCTGAACCTGAGGCCAGCCTCCTCTTTCCAGTAACCTCATAGATCAGCCCACGTGGGGCTCTCAGTCAGGCTGGGACTTAGGCTTATTGGGATCACCAGGGGGTGGCCAGATGTGGCACAGTTCTGGGTGGCCTCAGTTTTCTGTCCTGGACAATGGGCTTGATCATCTCCCGGGACCTGTACCAGGATGAGCCTGGCAAAGCTGTTTTCAAGGCTGGGCCAAGAGGCTGAAGTTTCCAGGTTCCTCTGGGTCAGAAACTGTTCAGAACATTTTGCCAAAATGCCAGCCGGCTCTGTTCAGGACGGGGCAATGGGGATCACTTGCCAGAGACAGCCCCTGACTCCTCAAGAGACTGGGTTGTGTGGGAGGGGAGCCCAGTGAACCCTGGGAGGTGGGCAAGTCCCAGGATCACGATTTCTCATGTCCAGGAACAGCCTTCACTGCGAGTGCAGAGGGGGCTCCGGTCCTGGTGGGCCCAGTGTCTGAGATAGTGGCCTTTGTGTCATTGCAAAAAACTTTGGCTCTCATGATAAAAGACACACATGCTTACATAAAATTTGGAAAATACAGACAAGTATAAAGAAGACAATTCAAATGACTGTAATCTCACCACTCAGGGGTTACTACATTTGGAGTTTTGGTGTATTTTATTTTAGGATTTTTAAAGTGCATGTTTGGATAGATTTATGAAATCAGGACTGTACAACTTCAGGCCACACTCTACATATAACAATCCACTGTGTAACTTAGCCAGGAATTATTTATCAACCCCCTTTCTTTGACATTTAAATTCTTTGTTCTTTGCTCTCATAAACAACGAGGTGACTTTGACATTTATAGGTGTTTCCTTGGGATGACAGCTCTTTGGATATCTATATATTATTGTGGAAAATGTTCTGCCCATTCTAAAAGTTCTTGAGATATGGTCTCAGATTATTTTCTAGAAAGCTCATATGTCACCAGCAGGATACCACAGGTGTCAGAACAGCTACAAAATGCAGAAACAGGACATTTGGGGGGATCCCTAGTGTGGGTCCAACAGCCCTGGCCTTGGTGGGTTCCGGGGTGCACCTCTCATCTCTGGGCCGTGGCTCTATCCATGATGAGCCTGAGTTATCAAGGAAGCACCATCCATGGAGGTGCTGGATCAAGGCTGAGTGGGTAATATGACTTAGAAAGCTTCCCTCCCACAGTTAAAGCGTGCTTCTGTTTCAGCCCAAGGTTAACTCTGCTATGAGGAAGGACTTGAGCTCTAGGCCTCCCAGAGGGTTGATGGTTATAGGAGCAGCCAGGCCTGGACCAATGTGACTGAAGCTAGCTCTGACTGGAAGGTTCCATTTGTGCCCAGACCTTTGCATCCTGACAATATCCCCACTCCACGAGCACAGGGCATCTTTTCACTTTGTGCTCCAGGGCCCCAGGGAGCCCACTTAGCCACGTGCCAGTCCAGCCTGGGAGCGTGGGTGAGCCCAACCCCCTGGAATCTGCCAGCACTGACCGCGGGAGCTGGCTCTGACTCGCATTGGATGGGGTGGGGCAATCTCGGGGCGTTCTGTGCATCCCTTCCAGAGGAACCAGGTCCCAGTGACCCACAGCGGCAGCTTCAATGAAGCCTTTGGGTATTATTGGCTTTTTCTCTTTCCTTTTCTTACTCTTTCACTCACTCCCTCCTGCTTCCTGGGCTCACTTTCCCCTCACCCCAAATCACCTGCACCAAGTCCTTGTCTGAGGCTCTGCTTCTGGGGGAGCCCAAACTTAGGCAAGGGTTTACTGCATGATCTTGGCTACACAGAGACCAGCCAGGACCTATAATAATGGGGCTCACGTTGGCCATTTGAGCTCTTCCTGGAAAGAACTGTGAGGGTCTCCACAGCCACTATGCCACTCAAACTGCAGTGAGAGCTGGTGTCTGGGACAGCCACCGAGTGTGCCTGTCACAACTTGCTGGGGCATCACTGACCAGGTGCATCGGTGATGGTAGCTAATTTTACAATGTCCTCTTAGTAATAAAACAGACCGATGTATTATGAGTGAAACATAAAGTCTGTATGAGCTTTGAAGATCAAACAAGAGATGCTGCAGAAATTTCAGATTTTCAGAGGGCTGCTCTGAGTTCCTGCTCCTGAGGGCCCCAGGGGATTCAAGTTTACCGTCCTCTGCCAGGGGCTCCCCTAGGACCAGAGGAAGGGCTCTGAATGGTCACTAATCCTGACGAGGACTTGAGTTTGCAGAGCACGTCCGTATTTTTGTCTCACAGCACCTTGTAGTACCCAGTGAGGTCAGTAAGCAGCATCGGTTACTTTTATCTTCATCTCAGGCAGAGAGAGGTTCAACACTGTCTGAAGACTCAGCCAGCCAGGGCTCACCCAGGTGGCACCCAGGTCTTCAGACAAGGTCTGTTACTGAAACACCAGGGGTTCAGTCTAGGTTCTGCTGCTCACCACACAGAAAGCCAATCACAGAGACAATGATTGTTGCCAAGGAAGAAGGCTTTAATCGGGTGCTGCGGCTGAGGAGTTGGGAGATCAGTCTCAAATCCATCTCCCTAACTGACTAAAATAAGGGGTTTATATAGCAGGGAAGAAATGTAACTACGTATGGGAAAACAGGAACTCAGGAGGGCTAAGTAGGGAATCATGATGAACGAGGGGCCTGGTGTTTCATTGTCTGGATCTGGTGAGTTTCAAGCTTTAAGCCCAGAAAAGTCAATTTCAATTTCTATGTTTATTAAACAACAACAACAACAACAACTGTCTGTGGGCCTATTGGGTCAGTTTCACTCCTTTCAGAATGCCACACGGCTGCCTGGGGGGAGGGGGAATTTGGGCTTGGCCAAGACTGACCAGCTGGCTACGTTAGGAAGTTTGTGATTTGCTGGAGAGCTACGCATCCACAGTCCTGACCCGGGATGAGAGCTGATCGTGTCTGTACTGGGAGAAGGCTGCTCTCAGACATTTGTTCAAGGGCAGCATCACCTGAGTGCCAAGGGGTTGGTCGTGAATGCCACTATGTCACCTTTTGCCAGAGGAATGTTCTGTCTTCCTTTCTCTCATCTGGACCAGGACTTGTGTGTGCACTGGGGAAGGAGTCTTGTGTCCTCCACAGCTGGCCCAGCCTGTGTCACCCTGGCCTAGCACCTTGTTCTTTGGCTCAAGTACCCTGGGCCCACGGATTGCTTCAGGGGCCTGGGAAGAGGAGGAGGAAGCAGCAGAGGTGGCGACTGGGATGGTTCTAGAAGCAGACTCATTGGTTTTGGAAGGCTGCACACGGACTTGCTCCCCTTTGGGGATTGGGGAAATGAGGTGAATTTCAAGCTTTAAGACCAGAAAAGTCTTAATCCATTGCTCACCTAGAAATCCATTGCTGAGAAATCAGTTGCTGAGTTGGTTCAGGCTATGTGGGGAGGGGGCCGTCATCCCGCAAGGGGACCTGAATTTGTTCCTCCCTCTGGCCTTGGTGGGTGGCAGGAGGCTGGTGCCTTGGTTCTGCCTGGGCAGATGCAAGCCTGGGATGTGCCTGCTTCCTCTCTGCCCCACCTCCCTTGGACTGTGCACGTTTCCATTGATTACAAAAACAGTTGCAGCAGGTTCTGGCAGGGCTGGTGCTGGTGGGAAGAAAACTGTTTCCAAGTCTCTAGAATGTTGTCAGCACATGAACCATGACCGCACCCCTGCTGGGAGAAGAGTCAGTTTCTGGGGATTATATTAATAATAAATGGCAGCCATTATCAACCCTGATCCTGCAAAGGTGATAATAACAGCTATGGCGAACACCGTGATTGGTCCTTCTCAGCACTGGCTCATCAGTGATCTTATGATGGGCTCTGTTATTGGTTCTGTTCCACAGATGCAAAAACCCGGCTTAACAACGTAAGTGACTTGCTCTGAGTGGCACAGTCACTAAGTCGCAGCCCAGGGTCCTGCGGCTCGATCTCTGCGCCATCACCTGCCACATCCTGAGCCCTTTTTCTGTGCCAGGCCTGGCATTCAGACTCCACAGGCATCATTTAATTTTCATCTCATAATGACTTTCAGGGAAGGTACTGTTGTTGACATCATCTTCATTGGGGCTCAGAGAGGTGCAGTGATTTGCCCTAGTCACACAGCTAGTGGTGGACCAGGCTCTAGACCCCTAGCCTGTCTGACCCCAGAGCCCTTGTTCTTTATCACTGAGCTGTAGCTCTTGCAACCAAGAGGCCAAAGCAGCTGAGATCACGAGACAGGGGTGATGCATAGGCCATGGTTCCACCTTCCACCCTCCACTGGTCACTGGGCAGAGGCCATGTGCCCTGTGAGGGCTGCTCAGGCAAGGCTGAGGCATGCCTCTTGGGTGGCAGTGCACAGAGCAGCACTGGGCACCTGACATGCCGGTCCATGTGTGGCTGGGAGCTGTGACATGCCAGTCCATGTGTGGCTGGGAGCTGTGACATGCCGGTCCATGTGTGGCTGGGAGCTGGCCATGAGCCTCTGGGTTAATGTTCAGTTGAAAAGCCTCCAAAAAAAAGCACAATAACCTGGACAAGCTGACTAATAAGGATTTTTTCTATAATCGTAACATCATCATCCTTCCAACAATGGATGGATTCATTCGTTACGTACTAGCATTTTTCTGTTCAACTAGAAAACCACTGCACACCTAGAAAATACAGAGATAGCCATGAGCCTTCAGGGTCATTTGCTTTGCACATCAAGGCATTTTTTTATTCATCAAATGTCCTTTGCATGGGGGCTGGGGTCCCCATACCTGCCCTCAAGGAACTCATAGTTTACTGGGGGAGATGCAGAAGTATTTTGGGTAGCTGTAGAACTAGGATTATATTGATCGATTGGATGATTAATTGAGTCAATGAATATTTTTTGAGCATCTACGATGTGCATGAAATTGATATTTAAATTATTCATCTTTTGCATTCATTTATTAGTTTTAGAATTGGAAAGTGGCTTGCGATATGTATTCTATAAAAACCCAACAGATTTGTGACCTTGTTCACTTCTGGGATAAAGATGATCTTTCCTAAACCAGAAATTAGATGGAGGCTTTGAGTCATGCTCCATAATATCATATAAAAATATGAGAGCTTGACTCTACCCCTGCGTTTCTCCCACCGTGTGCATGTTAGGATCATCTGGGTAGACTTCATAAAGTGGCCATGCCATTGTCTTGGCCTCACGCCTGCAGACTCTGATTTAATAAGTTTGAAGTGGGGCTCTGGGGAAAAGGGGTGCTTTGAAACATCCCCAGGTGGTTTTCTGTGCTGGGCTCTGTGAACCATTGCTCTATACCAGCTGTTTTCTTTTTTTTTTGTTGTTGTCATTGTCGTTTTTGTTTTTGAGACAGAGTCTTGCTTTGTTACCCAGGTGAAGGGCAGTGGCATGATCTCTGCTCACTGCAACCTCCGCCTCCCAGATTCTCATGCCTCAGCCTCCCGAGTAGCTGGGATTACAGGCGTAGCCATGACGCCTGGCTAATTTTTGTATTTTTAGTAGAGACGGGGTTTCACCATGTTGGCCAGGCTGGTCTCAAACTCCCGACCTCAAGTGATCTGCCTGCTTCGGCCTCCCAAAGTGCTGAGATTACAGGCGTGAGCCACCACACCCGGCCAATACCAGCGGTTCTTAGAGTTTAATTTCTCATGCTTAGGCTGTATGCAGTCCACTAAACCAGAATTGTCTGGGGGTGGCATCCAGTCATCAGTATGTGTTAAAGTTCCCTCGGTGATTCCAATGTGTAGCTAAGAATGGGAACCACTGGTCTGCACCTCTATTATAATCATGAGTGGTTTAAAGATGGCATCACAGAGGATGTGACATTGGAGCTGGGTTTTGGAGGATGAATAGGAGTTTGCTAGGATCCTGTCAGAGGTAAAGGGAGCACTCTAGGTAGAGAAACCAGCACATGCAAAGGCAGAAGAGCAAGGAGAGTGGAGATTTGGAGTACAATTTGGCTGGAGCAGAGGCAGGGGTCAGGATAAATGAATGCTGCAAGTCAGACAGCTTGGCTGCTTCCTACTTCTACGGTGAATGGCTGGAAGCGTCCAAGTAGGAAGCTACTGGACCTGCTTGTGTCATGGACATCCCTGTTGGTGATGAGTTGCCCTGCAGTGCAGGGCTGGAGGTAGGGATACCAACAAGGCGCTTGTTCAAAGGCCCAGATGGGAGATAGGGAGGCCCTGAACCAAGCCAGAGGTCAGGAGGCAAAGGGAGAGCATGCGCGTGGGAGACACCGCTGAGAGGGTGGGTGGTTTCCAAACACGTCTGCAAATTCTTTGACACTCTTCCCATGGAGAGGTGGTGTTGATGTCTCCTCCTTTTCGATTTGGGCTGACTTCCTAGGTGACATGAGGCAGTGGAAATGACAGCACATAACTTCTGAGGCTAGGTCCTGGTTCTCTTCGGACTTTTACCCTTGGAGCCTGAACATCCATC
The DNA here is from genome assembly GCF_000001405.40 of Homo sapiens. NCBI lineage: Eukaryota > Metazoa > Chordata > Mammalia > Primates > Hominidae > Homo > Homo sapiens. The sequence continues at coordinate 124,296,997 of NC_000010.11, read as the reverse complement.
TAAAGAAATCTGACTGCCCTGAGGCTGCCATGCTGGGAGGAAGCCCTGGCCACACAAAGAGGCCTGTGTATGTGCTGTGTTCTGACAGTCCCCACTGAGATTCCAGCTGACAGCATCGTCTGTCAGACAGGTCAGGGAAGATGCCTCCAGATGATTCCAAACCCCAGTCCTTGAGTCCTCTCAGCTGAGAGCCTAGACACTGTGGAGCAGAAACAGGCTGTCTCTGTGGTGCCCCGCCTGGATTCTTGGCTTACAGAATCCAACCTTTGAATACAACAAAATAGCTGTTTTATGCTGTGAAGTTTTGGAGTATCTTTTATACAGGAATAGTTACCCAAACAGATGAGCCCTGGGACTTGGTGGCCGGCTAGATGCAGGGGTAAGGTGGCGGGGGGTGCCCCCATATTTCTAGCTGTCTTTGTACCTGTTGGAGTGGAGAGGCCCATGGGATGCTGGCTAAAGGTATCCAGGGAGGGGGTAGAGGAGCTCAGTGGTGACCAAGGTCCACGTCATTCCCCAAACCATCTAGCCAGATGGATGCACTCCAGGTCCCTCTTCAAAGAGCGATGCATGTTCCTTACAGCTTGCAGCTGTTGCCCATTAAAGTGTGGCCCACAGCCCAGCCGGCTCAGCATCACCTGGGCCTCATTAGAAATGTAGCCCTCAGGCTCCACCTGGTGTCAAGGGCGACCTGGGAGCTTGTTAAACCTCCACGTGCCAGGGCCTTGCCCCATGCCCACTGACTGAGCCCTGGGCAGGCCTTGGAACCTGTGTGTCTGACTTACAGGGAGGTGTTGGGGCCATAGGCCACAGGGGCTGACTGGGAACCGGCATGGGATGCCTTGCTGTGGGCCCAGGGGCAGCTTTAGAGAGTGGAGCCCACGATGGGGACTCGGGGCTGTCACCTCAGGGAGTCAAAGAGCAGTGTCTGCTCCTGTGGCCTTTCCGTGGTTCCTAGTGGTGGGGGCCTTATCAGCTCCAGGGTGGGAGGGGCCTCTGGTTGCTGGTTGTGTTTAAGGGCCAGCCTAGGGGCCTTTGCGAACTTTTCCAGGTGAAGAGACAGCCCAGGGGCTGTTTCCCATTCCAGGAGCAGACACTTAGCAGTGCAGGGCCTGTTTCCCTGCAGCCATTTGACCCAGGGACATTTTGAAGAGGCCTGAAACCTAAACTGTTAAACGCTCAGCTTTGTTTTATGATCAAGTGTTGTGAAAGGTGAAAGATGAAATCCTCACCTGATCCCTGCAGCTCACTGTGGTGCGGTGACAGGGACAGAGCAAGAGTCCACGTGAGCTGTCGATGGTGGAGCTGGATGCACCCGCTCGGTGGCCACATCCAAGCAGCAGGCAGCCTGCTCTGCCCGCGGGGCACGGGAGTCTGTGTGTGTCTGTGACTCAGTGGATGTCAGCGTGTGTGTGTGTGCATGCACAGACGTGTAGCTTCTCTGAGCTCCTGAGGCTGCCCCAATTGCTGGTTAGAAGCCCTTCCTCTTTGCTGCATTGCACTTGCAGTTATTAGGCTGTGCTACGCACCCTACACGAGGGTAGATGATAGATGGAGAAAGAACGTCCTGGAGACAGCCTTAGGTGGAGCCGCCTCTCCTAGCCCCACTACACAGGTGAGGACGTGGAACTCCAGGGAGCTCAGGAACTCACCAGCATCTCCTGATTAACAAGCGGCTCCACAGCAGGCTGGTTTTGGAGATGAATGCTTGGCCATGCCCTTGAGCCCCAGTAGTGTTCCTGGGCCCCAGGAAGTGCCCCTGGGCATCTGCTCTAGGTCAAAGAGCAGGATCCATGGCCCAGATTCCAGTCCCGGACTCCTATCTGCCTCCCAAAGCCTCTCTGTCACTCATTAATGTCCAACAGGACACTCCCTATAGATTTACAAATGGGACACTGAGAGCTACCTTGGACGCCTGCATGATCCACAGGTGAATAGGGTGAGGCAGATCTGTGCAGGTGAGATTGACTGCCCTGCTGAGCCAGGGATCTAAGTGCTTGGCAGTGGATATTCTCTGTACTTGCAGAGGCATGATGGCCGGGCGCCGGGCCAGACTTGGTGTCCCTGCATGGGGGCCCACCTGTGCCAGCCAAGCAGGGTGGAGAGGACCGCTGCTTCCAAGATGTCACTTTGCCACTGAAATGTGCTGATTTAAAAAAATCAAAGAGAGGGGTTTATTTATTGCTGAAGTCATTTCAAATGGAATTAGACACCTAAATCAAATTTGCTGCGGGATGTCTTTCTTTTTTTAACCACCTCCAGAGCAGTGTTGGCATTAACTCTGTACACACAGAAAACCAGGCCCGCTGAGAATGCCAGAAGGCCTTGGAGTCATGCAATGAATTCAACCTCTTCCTTTATTATTATTAAAATTATAAATTAAAATGTGGTAGGACGTGGGGGCACTCTACTTTCAATGGAGCACGTCTGCGTGTAATGTGGGATCCCAGCAGTTCTTTCCGGGGGAAGGTAGGGGGTGGTTTATTATTATTGCCCGAGTTTTAGGAAAAGAAACACACTCAGATATTGAAGGATTTACACACAACCAGGGATGGAGGAGGCACCACGTGCCCAGGTCAGTCAGCTCCACATCTGCGCCATGTCCTCCAATCTGATGACACCATGAACAAAGCCACCTTTGATCCCTGCTAGGCTCCTTCTGTGTGTTTAGATTCTGTCATTAGGAGCTAGTATGGGAAGAGGAGTGGGTCTGGGCACCAGACCTTTCCCTGAACTCCCAACAGCGTTGCGGGAGCAGTGGGGGTGGAGGGGTGGGGTTGCCAGATAAAACGAAGACGGCCTGGCCACGTGCACGTTGCAGGTAAACTGTGAATGCTTTGTTGGTATAAGTATATTCCAACTGTTGCATGTGACATACTTATATTAAGTGGATTTGCTTCTCTGGAATGCAAATGTAACTGGGCATCGTGTATTTGTGTTTGCTAACTCGGGCACCCTAAGGTGGCGGGGCGGGGGTGCTTCTCTCGCTAGTCATTCCCTCTCAACACCAGAACTTCTCACTGCCAGGAGAGCAGGGCCCGTTTTCCTGGCCTGCCCAGTCTTCCCTCCATGCCCTCGAGGGAGGCTCTGAGCCCGCTCTTATCTCCCTAGACAGACTCTGGATCACCGATGGGAGGTGTGGGCGCCAGATGCCTCTCACAATGCTCTGCAGATGGACGTGGACTTGGTCCTTCCGGCCACGACTTGGCCAAACCCCTTTTTGCTGTCATTCAGTAGCCTGGCCTCTTTGGAGAGAAGGGTTAGGGTTGGTCCCACTTTAGCCTTGGGCGAGTCACTTCACTTCTCTCTGCCTCAGTTTCCTCACCTGCAAAAAAGAGGGTGGGCATGGGGCCTGCACCCCCAGGGTTGCCTTGGGAGCAGATGCATTATGATTGAAAAGCTCTTGGCACAGAGTCCTGCACTCATGAAGCACTGCTGAAGAATTTGTTAAACATGATGAATCCCACAGGACCAGCCGGATGCCCTGAGCAGGGAGCCGGGAGGATGCAAACCCCAAGCCCCAGTGGCCTGCGGGAGGCATGAGAGACGGTGCAGGATTTCTGGGCATGGATAAGTGTCTTTTCTCAGAAAACATTTCAATGTGTTTTCAAAGAAACGTGATACCTCCTGTTTATCTGCTGCTTAGAATTTCAGGTTTGGAGGGATTTATTAGGCCTGGATGGCACTTTCTTTGCAGAGAAAGCATTGCTGTTTTAAACGCGTGGCCTTAAATTAAAGCCCTCTGAGATACTGGACATGATTCCAGCCCCGGACAGGCTTAGCAGCCTCCTGGCTGGGCCCTGGCCTGGATCCTGGGGGCCTTCTTGGACCTCATCACAGGCCCTGGCGCTGAGCGGGGATGATTGGTTCCAATACTCTGTGCCCACCAGGCCGTGAGCTCCCTGCGGCAGGAACCTGGTCAAAGCCATTTCTGATTCCCACCTGGGGCCTGGCCTTGCGTGAACTCCCCACTGTTTGCTGAAAGAATGGAGGACAGGCAGGCGGTCTCAATGGGGTCCTGTGCTCCCCCAGTGGAACTCCCACTCCCTCGGGTCCACGAAATTTTCTTTGACACCTCGAGATGCTGCACAACAAATCTCCTTGCCTAGGCATTATTGGACCCTCAGCCATACAAGCATGTTTTGTCTTTTTGTTTTTTGAGACAAGGTCTCACTCCGTCACCCAGGCTGGAGTGCAGTGGTGATACCACAGCTTACTGCAGCCTCCATCTCCTGAGTTAGAGTAGTCCTCCTGCCTTAGCCTCCCAAGTAGCTAGGACCATAGGTGCACACCACCATGCCCAGCTAATTTTTGTATTTTTTGTAGAGACGGGGGGCCTCACCATGTTGCCCAGGCTGGTGTCAAATTCCTGGACTCAAGTGATTGGCCTGCGTCGGCCTGCCAAAGTGTTGGGGTTACAGGCGTGAGCCACTGCACCCGCTCATTTTTTTTCTTTAAACAAAGGAGACTTCAGGAGGGGTGACAGCAGGTGAGACGGCGCAGTGGCCTGTACGATAGCAGACTATGCGCCCGCACAAAAAATGACACTTTCTGCCCATTTATGTAAGGTCAGTCTTTTAATCCTCGAAACAACTCTCTGATGTGGGTTTCATAATTATTCCCTTTTTTTTTTTTTTTTTTGAGATAGGGTCTGTCTCTGTCACCTAGGCTGGCATACAGTGGCACACTCTTGGCTCGCTGCAATGTCCACCTCCTGGGCTCAAGCCATTCTCCCACCTCAGCCTCCCGAGTAGCTGGGACTACAGGCACGTGCCATCAGCTTGGCTAATTTTTGTATTTTTTGTAGAGATGGGGTTTCACCATGTTGCCCAGGCTGGTCTCAAACTCCTGAGCTCAAGTGATCTGCTCGCTTCATCCTCCCAAAGTGCTGGGATTACAGGCGTGAACCACCATGGCTGGCCATTATTCGCATTTGACAGATGAAGCAGCTGAGGCTCAGAGGTTAAGCGCCTTCCTCAAGGTCAACAGCCAGCATGCGTGCAGCTAGAACTTGAACCCAGGCCATCCTGCTCTGAAGTGTGCGCTCTTAAACACCTCACCATGGAGTCTACCTCTAAGCCCACCAAAATATTTACTTTCTGGCTTTGCACCAGAGGCCTCCTGAGGGCAGGTCCTCCTCAGCACACAGCAGTGATCATTCCACTCAGCAGCCTTCTCTGAGTGCCTTCTCCATGCCAGCTTCTGAGATGTGCATAGGAGAGGGAGATTGCAGACACAGTTGTAGCCCTAGAAGTTCCTGTAGGCTAGAGGGGAGACAGGTGGGGCCAGAGCCATGAGTTGTCGTCACCAAGGGGAGGTGGCAGCCAGGTCGCAGATGCCCCCGCTCCAGCTAGATTAGCAAAGGGATGCCTCCTATGGCCTCCCACCTCTGCCTCGTGTTCCTCCCCTCCTGCCCCAGGCCTCTCCCACGCCCTGAAGGATGGGGCCTCAGCTGACTGGCTCATCCCTGTTTCACAACCACCTTCCTGTTCCCATCCCCGCAGCTGGACGGAACGGCCCTGCCCAATGGGGGCAGCTTCAGGGCCCTGACAACATGTAACCTTTTGCTTTCTGCAACCCCAATCACCCACGAGCCCATCCTTCAGGGACAAGGACCTTCACTTTGTGGCATGTGCCTTTCATCCTTCTTACTCTGTCTTTGTCTATCTGTGGGTCTCTCAACACATGTAGTTAGATCATCTTGAGTAAGATGTTTAATTCCTGGCCAGGAAACCCACAACCAGAGTAGCGGAACCATCAATAATCACAAGATTGATTGCATCAGTTCCCGGGTCAGTGGAAAGAATGATGGCCTTGTGGGGAAGCCTGGGCAGCTGGTGCCATAAGGCGAGCTCCCTCAGACTGGATGAAGGACACGGCTTTCCCCATCGTGGCAGCTTTTCTGGGACTGGGGGAGCTGGCAGGGGTTGGCTTCTGTCTTTGAATATCCTGGGAGCTCCTCTCATTCTTACTGTCAGAATGTGACATGTTCCATCTTGAAGCTAAACTCTACAAGAATATAAACTCTTTGAAACCAGACACAGTGGGTAATTTGGGGGAACACATTTCAATTTCGAGATGGATTATAATCATGGATATACTTGGAGCACTTCATTTTGTCTGTCTACATGGGTTACACAGAAAGCTGGTTACCATGGAGAAGGTTCCAGTCATTTACAAATGGCCATTCAACCATTCTCCATTTGACAGTTACTAGCTGAATGCCTACTATGTGCCAGGCTCTGCACCCAGCCGTGAGGACTGAGACATATTGACTCTGGTGCCTGCCCTGGTGGCCCCCACCTGACCGAGGACCATCCCAGCCAGGGCCAGCTGGGTCCTTCCCCACGCTCAAATGCAACGTGCGGTTGGGGTCATCTGGAGGAAATGACTCAGCAACTGCATTAAAGCACAGCTCGCAGCCCATGGGTTGAGCATCTTCTTTCTGCCCCTGCAGGAGGAGGGTTAGAGGGAGTGTTTAAGAGCCTGGATTTAAACCCCTGGCCCTGCTACTTCCTGGCTGGGTGGCCTTGGGCAAGTTACTTAACCTCTCTGCACCTCAGCTTCTTTAGAAACATAGGGCTTTCATATCCACCTCACAAGGATAAAAGGAAACTGCACATAAAGCACTTCGCACGCAGCTGTCACACTGTGTGTGCACACGACAGCTGGCAATGACTGTTGTTTTCATTATACCTTCTGCCCTGAAGAGTGCGGTTTCCCGCGAGCTCCCGGTTCTGATCATGCTGCTGCCCATCTTGGAGGTGCCAGCAGGCTCGCTGCCAGTGGACTCCTCTCCTGCCATGCAGGGCCCTTTGCTGCCACCTGGCCCCAACCAGGCCACCCACCTGAGGCTCTCCCAAAAGGCAGACATGGAAAAGAAAATACCCCTGGAATATGCTCTGGGCTTTCCTGTTCCCTGCCCAGCGGCAGGCTGTTCCTGCTCTGAAATGCCTTTCTGCCCTTGCACTCTCCCTTGTTAACACCCTCTGTCCGGGCGTGTTTCTGGAGCCACACTCTCCAGGAAGCTGTCTTGGGTTTCCCCTCTTTTGTAGCACTTCGTCTGTCCCTCCATGGCTCCTCTCAGTTGGGTTGAGAGGCCCTCCAGGGCAGAGACTGGGTCTTCCTGAACCTGTGCATGGTGCAAGCAGGGGCTCCTGCGCTGCTGACCCTGCCTGGGCTGGGACAGGGATGGCCGGACACTGGCAGCGGTCACAGCAGGGTGTGGAGGGAGGCAAGGAGGCACCGGGACAGCTGAAGGACTAAGGCAGTTGCTTCCACTTGCTGGTGCTTGGCCAGCTCGGTGCCCCAGGGCTGAGACCCTGGTTGGGTGAACAGCGTTGAGCGAGAGAGCTTGTGTCTAGGTTTGTGTCCCCATTTGTTCCTTGAAACGAGCAATGACTTACGTGGTCAGGGTGCTGTTGGTGAACGTTGCCAGTTTTGTGACCATCCCCCGGCAGGAGGACTGACCCTGAGGGCTAAGCTTCCTCTGAGGGAACACTGCTTCTGGTCAATCTCCAAGCAGCTGGCCTGTGCCCTTCTGCCATGGGCTGCGTTTTCCTTCTGGCTTCAGTGAGTGGGGCTGAAGTTGGAGCTCATGGTTGGGAGAAGCGGGATGGAGGTGCAGGTCAGGAATCTCAGAGCCTCCTCTGCATCACCCAGGCTGGAGGGACTCCTCAAGAGACTCCCTTTGCTCCCCGCCCTTGTTCTGTGGCACCCTGCTCAGATCACAGCAGGGCCTGTGTGGCCAGCGCTCTGCGGACACCAGGGCTTTGTGAGATGCCCTGTGGAAGAGAGTGTTTGTCTTCTAAGGAGTTTGGGAAATCCCTTTTGCGGAGATTCATATTCCCCAATAAATAGCACTTTAAAGGCTCCTGATAAGTCCTGCAGAGAAGAAGCTTGCTGGTCTTTATTTAAACCAGCGTCGACAAGCTTTCCTGTAAAGGCCCACCTAGTAAATATTTGAGGCTCTATTACAACTGCTCAGTTTGGCCGTTGTGGTGTCAAAGCGGCCCTGGACACACCTACACCAGTGTCCCCATCAGGCTTTATTGACACACACAGGAGCAGGGCTGCTTTTGGCCTGTGAGCTGCAGTTTGCTGGCCCTGATGGGAACCATCATCTTTCTCCCTTTCCTCCCCCCGCTCCTCTTCCCTCCCTCAATGTTTTATGGAGGCCAGTGATGTGCTAAGAGCATGTTTGTGTGCAGCCACTTGTTCTCAAGTCAAGGTGCTTATATTTCACGCGCAGGATCCATTCTTTAAGTCACTGTGTCATTCACAACTTGAATAATTCAAGACCTATTTCCCGCAGCACAGACAAAGGACAGGGCATGATTATTCACCAGCTTCGTGGTGCTGACACAGGCAGGACAGCAAGCCCCGATCACAGCTTATTCAGCCAGCAGGTTGGCAATTACACGATTCTTGCTATGTTTTGAACGTTTTAAGAGGGGAGATTTGCATTGTTTAGTATTTTGTGCACAGGGAGGTTTCCTTGATATTTTTGTTTTTTAAATTTTAAATGTTTATGTATTTTCATTTTTGAGACAGGGTTTTGCTCTGCCACCCAGACTGCAGTGCAGTGCTGTCATAGCTCTCTGCAGCCTCGACTTCCTGGGCTCAAGCAATCCTCCTGCCTCAGCCTCCCAAGTAGCTGGGATCATAGGCATGCACTACCACACTCAGCTAATTTTTTAAATTTTTTATGTAGAGATGAGGTCTCCTTATGTTGCCCATGCTTGTCTGGAACTCCTGGGCTCAAACGATCCTCCTGTCTCCGCCTCCCAAAATGTTGGGATTACAGGTGTGAGCCACTGCGCCCAGCCTCTTGACATTTTTAAGCCACATTTTCTCAAAAATTTAAATCACTTGGAGTGTACCACACACCTATTATTAGCACCCTGAGGGCTGTGGGTCCCATGGCACCCACTTTGGGAACCATCGGTGTGGCCTTTCACAGTGCCAGAGTGCTTCGACGGGGCAGCCGCTGCTAAATCAGACCCCTGCACCTGGAATCTCCCAGTTGAGCAAGGCCTGAGTGCTGGGCCCAGAGCTGGGTAAGCCCTTGCACTGGTGGCTGCAGTGGGGAATGGCCTCCTCTTTCCTGCTCTTCTCCAGCCTTCAGCCCATGCGTCCCAGGAAGCCTCGGTGGGGTCCTGCAGCAGGGTGCTTCCGGGCCTGGGGACCTTCGAGCTAATCTTTGACATTGAAGGGCTTGGTGGGGCTGGTTCTCCTCGCATTTTTATCACTACTGAGTCAAGTGCCTTGGAAAAGATTAAAGAAAGTTCCACCCTTGGCTTTTACTTAATTTCCTTTTGTTCACATCTGCCAACAACTAAAGCAAAGAGGAATTGCCTTCTTGAAGGTGCTCTGGTCCTCAGTTCAGATGCCCACAGAGCTGTCCAGGAGCGCGGGCACCTGGTGACAGGAGACCTCTTAAAACACATCGATGGAGCCCTAATGTGTGCAAGGCCCGGGCCAGGCCCCCCACACCTCCCGTCTTTCAGTCTTTATTGCGATTCACTAGCAAGGCTTTGTTGTTCTACTTCTCAGATGAGGATGCTGATGCCGAGTCCAGTGGCTTACTTTCCCAAGGCCACATGGCCAGTGAGTACCAGAATCAGGGAGGAATTTAGACCTCATGGCTATAAAGCCACACTCCTTCCTGGTTCCTTCTGAGACCAGGGCATGTTAGTGGCATCCTGCCAACCTCTCTGTGAATTTAGGTCTCTCAGAATCTCCTTGTAGTAATAATAATTGTTCCGTCCGGCCCTGCCTGGCAGGATTCTAAGCACTTCCATTTCAGAGGAAACGCTGATGTTTCTGCCTGCCCAAGTTGCTATCATCTATTCTTTGGGAATGGCCCCTTAATACTCCCTTGAAGAAAGCACCCTCTTTTCCTCTGAGTGGGGTTGTGTGGTTGACTCCATCTCCTCTACCTCCCTCAAATCATACAGATTGGTTCAGGAATAGGGATGTGGCCCAGCCCAACCAGTGAGACCCAGCCTTGGAAGTTTTGCTGGAAAGAGTTGCTGTTGCTTTGTGGGGGCTGCCAGGCTGGTAGAAGCTAGAATGCTGGGGAGCATGTTTTCCACCTGCTGGAGGATGTCTTCTCGAGAATAGAGCTGACCTAGGGGGAAAGCAGAGTGAGGTGGAGGGAGGTGAGCTCTACCCATCACTGGAACACCTGGATCCAGCTGAGCCTGAAGTAGGATCATGGACTTTTCAGCTTCATGAAACAATGTATTTTCTTTTATGTTTGAGGCTGCTGGTTTGGGTTTCTATCTCTTCTGTCCAGTCATTCAGTCTCCACTGAGAGGCCCCATAGCATGGTGGTTAGGGAAGATCTCAGAACCATGGCCAACTCTGCTACTTACTACCTGTGTGACATTTGGCAAGTTATTCCATCTCTCTGTGCCTCGGTTTTGCAGATTTGATGCTCAAATCTGTGAGGGGCCACCCCAGGGGCTCCTCCTCCCTCTCTGTTCATGCTCCTGTCCCTGAGCAGAGCCCTTTCCTTTCGCATGCAGTTCCAGGCTCCTGCGAGGCCTCGAGCGGTTTCTCATTCAGACCCGGTCCCCTCATCCCTCCCATGCCCACCTCTAAAGCTCCCAGTGAAAACAGAGCTACCGTTCCCTTCCTGCAGGGCAGGGGCCAGGGCACAGCCACCCCCGCAGTCACTGCTAACCTGTTGGGGTTGGCGATGACTTTCTGTCCCAGCGACAGCAGTTGCATTAAAAAAATGAAAACTCGTTTTTAGCACCAAAGTAGTGCATAGACATAGTTTTCTGTTTTGAAAAGTTCAAACAGCATAAAAGGATGTAAAAATAGAAAATACAAGTTTCTCACCTCCTGGCCACCCCAGTCTTATTCCCCAGAGATAACCACAGCTCGCAGTTCCCTGAGTATTTTTGCCGTGCCTCGGCAAAACCATGTGGCTCTGTTTGCTTCTTTCAACTGAAAATAGCCTTTGGAGAGCCTTCATATGGGCGCTTCCGGCTCTGCTGCACGGCTCGCTTGTGTGTGTGTGTTTTCCTTTAAAAACTGTGGTAAAATATGCATAACAAAAAAATGTATCACCGTAACCGTTTTTAAGTGTACCGTTCAGTAGTGCTAAGTACATTCACATCATTATGCAACCAATTTCCAGAACTTTTTCATCTTGCAAAACTGAAATTTTATAACTGTGAAACAACAATTTCCCCTTCCCACCTCCTCCCAGCCCTGACAGCCATCATTTTACTTTCTGTCTCTATGAATTTGACTACCCTAGAGAGCTCATATATGTGAAACTATAGAGTATTTGTCTTTTTGTGGTTGTCTTATTTCACTCAGTAGAGTGTCTTCAAGGTTCATCCGTGTTGTAGCATGTGTCAGAGCTTTCTTCCTTTTTTTTCTTTTTTTTTTTTTCTTGAGACGGAGTTTCGCTCTTGTTGCCCAGGCTGGAGTGCAATGGCACGATCTTGGCTCACCACAACCTCTGTCTCCTGGGTTCAAGCGATTCTCCTACCTCAGCCTCCCGAGTAGCTGGGATTACAGGCATGTGCTACTATGCCCAGCTAATTTTATATTTTTAGTAGAGACGGGGTTTCTCCATGTTGGTCAGGCTGGTCTCAAGCTCCCAACCTCAGGTGATCTGCCCACCTCAGTCTCCCACAGTGCTGGGATTACAGGCGTGAGCCACTGTGCCTGGTGCTTTCTTCCTTTTTAGGGCAGAATAATATTGTATTGTTTGGATATGCCACCTTTTGTTTATCTGTTCATCTGCGGGCGAACATGTGGGTTGCTCCCTCCTTTTGGCTATTGTGAATAGTGCTGCTATGAACATGGGTGGACAAGTAGCTCTTCTAGACCCTGCTTTCAATTCTTGGGTGTGTACCTAGAAGTGGAATTGCTGGATCATATGGTAGTTCTATTTTTAATTTTTGGAGGCACTGCCGTACTGTTTTCCATAGTGGCCACGCCGCTTTACATTCCCACCAGCAGTGGACAAGGGTTCTAATTCCTCCACATCCTTGCCAACGCTTGTTATTTTCTGGTTTTTGATAGTAGCTATAATGATGGGCGTGAGGTAGTATCTCATGTGGTTTTGGTTTGCATTTCCTAAATGGCTAGTCTTGTTTTGCGTGTGTTTTAAAAGATATAATTATGAATATTTTCAATACACTCAAAAGTAGAGATAGAGCCGCCACCCAGATTCAACAGTTAGTAAGATTTTTGCCCTATTTCCTTTCTCTGTCTCCTGAATGATTTCATAGCAAGCCCCAGACACAAGGTCTCATTGCCGCAGAATCCAATGAGCATTTCTAAAACCCTGGATATCTCCTTACACGCCAGCATCACTATCAGCCTAAGTGTTTCTTTGGTATCACTAATATCTAGTCCATAATCAAATCTCCCTGATTGTTTTGAAAATGCATTGTTTCAGTTTTCATAGGGGCCTTCTAGAAGATCTGTGTCTGAGCCCAAAGACTCTTAACTCCATCAATCTTTCGCGAGACAGGTGGCGGGGAGGTTGGGAGCACAGGACACACAGTCAGATCAGATTTAAATCCTGGTTCTGTTGTTGATTGGCTGCTAGGTGGCCTTGGCAAGGTACTTATCCTTTTGAGCCTCAGTTTGTTAACCTGTGCAATGGAGAGAGCCACGGCATCCATGGCCCAGAGATTAAATGCGATAGCATGTGACATGCTTAGCACTGCCTTGGGCACATAATGAGTGTGCAAGACTTGGGAGCTGCTCCTGTCGTTACTATGACTTCAGTGTAATTTTCACAAAGTCTCACTCCCACAGAGAGTTTTCAGACATCACGGAAGTCCTGCAGGAAGGAGAGCAGAAGGGGCTCCTATGCCTGCGCCCCCATCACAGTGAGTAGAGGGTGCTCCATTGTCCTGGGGTCGGCCTGTGTCTGGGCCCTGTTATTCTCTCTCGAAGACAGAAGCAAGCTGCTGTCCATATGCTCGGCTGCACTGGGCTTAAATAAAAAATGATAAACTCTGCGGCGGGAAGGGGATGGCGTCTTATTTGCAGATCAAATACATTTTGTTAAGATTGGTTTCTGCCATTTCCTCCGCTCTTGATCTGATGGCCTTCTTGGTAATTCAGTAAGTGGTTACTCTGGAGGCTGACAGGCAAATGGGAGCGGGATGGGGAGAGTGGAGCCCGAGGGAGATGGGCACTGTCTGAAATTGATTTATCCTAATTGGGTCCAGAGCCAGCAACCTTTTAGACTGAAAGGGAATCGTGGGTGCTGAGGCTGAAGGTTGCAATAATATTTAGTTTAACCTGAATAATTTTACAAATGGAGAAATGAAGGGTGGGGAGGAGAGAGGGGGTGTCCTGAGGCCCTGCAACCATTTAAAGGTTGAGCAGGGACCAGAGCCCTGGGCAGTCAGACAAGCGCATCCACCTCAGGCCCTGCCTCAGCCGTCCTTATTAGGTGACAGGAGAGAGTGGGCCATGTCCTAACCAGCTGTGTGACATTGGATGCTCTGGGGCTCAGCTTCCCCATCTGCGCAAAGACGAGATGGAGCAAGGAGGGGTCCAGGCAGCTTCTCACATCCTCTGCCTCCCTGCAGGTTAGCCCATTGGTGATAGGACCTTGCCTCTGCAAATTGCCCCCTTACACATGAGCCAAGGTGTACTGGCTTAGAGTTTACCTGGTGCCTTTTGAGTTTTCAGCTTCCTCTGATGGGGCTGTTATGAGGCTTCACAAATGGGACACTAGGTTCTTTGCCAGGTCTGTGTTGCTGATGACCTTGTACCCCTCATTCTTCCTTTGTACTCCCCAGATCTTCATCTAGAAGGGAACGCAGGTCCCAGGTCCAGCGTGGTCACTGGCTAGTTGGGAGAAGTCGGGCAGCCAATCTCTTTCTGAGCCTCCTTGGCTCATCTCTAAGGGCACCAGGAAGTACCAGAGCCCAGGTGTTAAGTTCACAGGCTCTGACTGCTGGGGGCACAATCCTGGCTTGCTGAGTTCCTTGGGCAAGTACTTGGCCCCTCTCTATGACTCAGTTTCCTTATCTATATAATGGAAATAATCATTAGTACCTACCTCATAGGGTCATTGCAGGATGTCCAGCAATACTGCATGCAGACAGCCCAGTACCTGCTTCCAGGTGAGCTCCGTTAGGGAGCCAGTGCTTTCCTGGACAGCAGAGAACTGGGCTTTGCTATGACTTCAGGGGCCAGGTACCGAGCTCTGAACGTCACTGTAGCACCCCTCAGAGCTCGCTAAGAGAGGCCGTGGAAGTGTGACCCATGGAAGGGCATTGCATTCCTTTAGCGAGTCAGAGTTCACCAAATAAGGGTCATGTGGCTTTAGCTCCTCTTATCAAATCCTCAGAGATACAGCAGTCCACGGGCTTCTAAAAAATGAACTTGCAGTTGCCTTTCAAAACCTAGAGGCGTGGGAGAACACAGGGGGCCTGAGGGAATGGCTGTGCAGGGCGTGTGATAGCACTGGCCACTGAGGGCCTGTGGCGCGGGGGATCCTGCGAGGGCTTGGGCCTCCCTGGGGCGGCACGGCACTGCTGTGGCGAACCCCGGCCTCCTCTCTCTAGCTGGAAGATGGACCTAGTGATTGATATAGTTTGGATGCTGGTTCCCTCCAAGTCTTCTGTTGAAATGTGATCCCCAGTGTTGGAGGTGGGGCCTGGTGGGAGGTGTTTGAATCTGGGAGTGGATCCCTCATGAATGGCTTGGGCCATCCCCTTGATGATGAGTGGGTTCTCGCTCTGAGTTCACCTGCGATGTGGGCATTTAAAGGTGTGTGGCACGTCCCCCCCCACTCTCTCTCTCTTGCTCCCGTTCTTGCTATGTGAAGTGCCTCCTCCTCCTTTGCCTTGCGCCATGATTAGAAGCTCCCTGAGGCCTCTCCAGAAGCAGATGCTGCTATGCTTCCTGTACAGCCTGCAGAACCATGAGCCAATGACATCTCTTTTCTTCTAAATTACCCAGTCTCGGATATTTCTTTATAGCAACGCAAGAACAACTTAGTACAGTGACTCCTGGCTGGAAGCCGTTGCCCATGCCTTTGCCTGCACCTGACACCCGTAAGCCGAGTCCTCTGGAGGGGTGGGTGGCTGCTGTGGATTGTTCTGGGGTCACTGACCCGGCATGGGCCCCGCACCAGGAAATAGCCGAGAAGCAGGGTCCGTGGGGGCACTGGGATGGCTGAGTAAAGCCTGAACAGTGTCTTTCAAGGGCAGGCTCAGCATATCTGAAGATCCTCCCTGAGGGAATTTGGAAATCTTTCTTCAGAATGGAGCGTGGGCTTGCTGGGAAAGGAGCATCCCCTCCCCTCAGGGCCCTGTATTTAGGCCCAGTTCCCACTGGCTGTGTGGTCTTGGGAAGGCCTCGTCCTGTCTCAGGGTCACAGTTTCCTCTTCTAGAAAACAGGGAGAACAGGAATGCCCACTGCCCAGGGTTGCGGGAAGGTCAATGGGATAACGTGGACAGAAACACCTGACATGGTCTGTACTTTACAATTCACCTCTCCTCCCTTCCTCCTCACTTCCCTGTCCTCCCTCAGGGCACCCAGGCTGCGCCCATGGCCATTTCCCAGCCCACTGCATACTGGGAGGCCAAGATGGCGGTGCCATTTGGGAGATCATCTCTAAGGCTGTACGAAGGGTACCTGACCTCCTCTTGCCATGCTAGGTCACCAGACATTTTTCATTCACTCAAACAATGAAATGACAGGGACCCCCTTTCTCTCAGAGCCCCTGCCAGTGCCTTCAGGGAGGGACACTGCCTCTCTGCCTCAGCCAGGCCATGGGCACCTCAGCTGCTGGGTCTGCATCCCAGGAGGTTTGGCAGCTCTTCCTGTGGATGGGGCAAGGCTGGAGTGGCCAGGGGAGTGGCCCGGCCGTACCAAGGCTGCTGTGTGTTCCAAAAGCCATATCCTCTGTTGGGGTGACCTTTCCTATCTCCGTAACCTAAGAGTCCAGGTCGCCCAGCCTGGAGCCACAGAGGGTTCTTTGCCAGCAACTCCTTGCTGGCGGTGGCAGGACAGTCTCAGGTCCCCATGTCCTGGTGCTCAGGTTAGTCTCCTCAGTTCTCCCAGTCCCTGGAAACACAAGCCAGCTGGAATTTTCCATCCACTTGAGTTTGCTTTTGAATTATTACATGTCATTCACAAGTGCAATAAAACACGTGGGTTTTCTTTCTTTTTTTGAGACAGTGTCTCGCACTGTTGCCCAGGCTGGAGTGCAGTGGCGTGATCTCGGCTCACTGCAAGCTCCGCCTCCTGGGTTCACGCCATTCTCCTGCCTCAGCCTCCTGAGTAGCTGGGACTACAGGTACCCGCCACCACGCCTGGCTAATTTTTTGTATTTTTAGTAGAGATGGGGTTTCACCGTATTAGCCAGGATGGTCTCGATCTCCTGACCTGGTGATCCGCCCACCTCAGCCTCCCAAAGTGCTGGGATTACAAGCGTGAGCCGCTGCGCCTGCCCAATACGTGAGTTTTCTAACACAGCCTTGTTTCTAATTTTCGTTTTCTTCCTGTGGAACAAACATGATGAGGTATCGTGCACTAGTCAGACGAGATTCAATTCCCAGCCCAGCCCTGCCCTTCCTGGCTGTGTGGCCTCAGAAAATTCATTGCCTTTCCTGAGGCTCAGCTTTCTCCTTGACAAATTAGGGCTAATAATGCCTGCTGAGGATGAACCTGAAATGACAAGTGTGAAAAGCTCACATTGCACCTGGCACAGAGGTGCACATAAACACTCGGGACATGTCAGACAGTGAATGGCTGAGCAGCCCACCCAATTGCAACTTGTCCTCTGCATGGAGGAAGCAAGAAACAGGAGGAAGCAAGAAGTGTGGGTCTGACGCAGAGTCAGTGAAGCCCTGCAGACAGAGCCAGGCACGTGCTTGGGTGGCGAGGGGCAGGACACGCAAGTGAGGATTGTCATCCGAGGTCAGATACAGGCATGAGTCCAGCTCAGAGTGCAGAGCACCCTGGAGCACGACTCAGAGACTGGTCTGCAAGCTCTGGCCCTTTGCTTCCTTGCTTTTTGGCTTGAGGTCAGCCACTTAATGGGTGTGTCCTTTTCTATGAATGAGGCCATTTCTAATGGCTGCCCACGGGGCAGGAGTGGGGACCCAAGAGCCACGGGGAGATGATGTGTGAGCTCCTCATGCCTGGAACTCAAGTTTTGCCCAGTTGGCTCACACTCAGGGTCTGAAGCCCATCTAGCTGGGGGTCTCTCGAGGTAGGTAAGGACTGGTGAGGCAAGAACAAAGGCCCCTGGCTGAGGAGGTGAGTGGGGCTGAAGTCTGGCTCCTGCTGTGCTGGCTGGCAGTGCATCCTGAATTGGGGCTGTGTCTGTCCAGAGATGGGGCACCATATTCTAGGTTAACACAGGCCATGTCTGTTTGCCGAGCTGTGTGCTCATGGTGTCTCCACAGACAGGGCTGTGTCTTTTCGTGGGCATAATAGGGACCATCAGTGGCCTGAGGCCTGATCTTCTCTCCTTCAGTCTCCAGGGGCACTGTTTAGCTGCCCTGTGCACATAGGGCCCTGGCTTATGCTCCATCTTTCACCCTATTCTGCCACTTAGGTATGGGGAGGAAGCTTAATACCATCACCATTCAGGGAAAGTAAATCTTCCCAAAAGAGTCTCTTTTCTGATTGTAAAAGTAATACATACTTATTGTAGAAAATTATGAAAACACAAGTAAGTCTAAACAAGGAAATGAAAATCATGCATAGTCCCACTACTTAGAGACACTCTGAAATGTTAAAAAGTAGTTGTTTCTGGTTGTATTATTTTCTCTCCATATTTGAGTATCAGAATCATATTGCGTATGGTTTTGTGTTCTGCTTTTTAAACTTAATATTATATCACAAGTGTTTTCTCATGTTCTAAATATTCTTCCATGCCATGGTTTTGTAACTGCCTGGTATTTTGTCAAATGGATGTGTTATAATCGAATCAGCCAGTCCAGATGGGTTTCAACTGTACACAGTCTTAAACACCAGTGTTCACTATACTACACATCTTTGTACTTGTGCAGTTATTTCTTTTAGGGTACCTTCCAATAAGTGGGCTTAGGGGCTACAGGGTATGGAGGCAGCCATGAATTGGGCCCCAGTAACCCCCACCTGCTGGTATACACATTCCTGCTGTGTAATCCCTTCCCCTTGAGTGTGGGCTGAAATCTAGTGACTTGCTTCTAATGAATAGAATTAGGCAAAAGTGATGGAATATCACTTTCAAGATTAGCATACAAAAAATGGACTTGCATCTTGCCTATACTCTCTTTCTTGTTTGACTTGGGGAGAATTGACTGCCATGTTATGAGCTGCCCTATGGTGAGGTCCACATGGCAAGGAACTGAAGGAGGTCTGGCCAACAGCCTGGGGAAATGGAGGCCCTGGGTCCAAAGTTGCATAGGAAATGAATCCTTCCAGCAACCACGCGAGTGAGCTTGGAGGAGGATTCTCCCGCAGTCGTGCCTTCAGGTGAGACTGCAGCCCTGCTGAGGTCTTGTGAGGGACCTTGAGGGGGAAGTAGTCCTCCAAGCTACACCTGGATTTAGGGCCCACAGAAGCTATGAGATGATGTTTGTTGTTTTAATTCTCTAAAGATTTGTTACGTAGCAATAGATTAACTACACAAAGGATATGCACATTCTTTTAAATGTATGTTTCCATTGTGCCTTCCTGAAAGTTAACTCCAATTCCCACCCACCTCTCCAGCAGAGGGGAGTGTTGATGGATGAATTTTCAGGAGGGGATATTGCTGACAGCCAGGGCCACTGCCTGGACCTCTTGTTCTGAACAGCCTCTGTCTCCAGTGAAGTCTATCTAGGGAGTGTGGACATTTTCCCAATGCCCAGGCCTGTTTCCAGTGAATTATCTTAGAGCTTGTGTCCTGCCATCTTTGCTGAGGTTCTGGTTGGCTTGTTAAGGGTGAGGCGGTCAGGCCGGGTGCCTTTTCTCTCTAATGGACTCCCAGGGCATCTGAGCACATCCCAGAGAGCCATTTATCAGTCTCCATGGTCTATAGCCTTTATTTTAATTTTAAGAGAACACAGTTTGGTTCTTCAGGTTGGATTAATGTGTCTGCATTTTAAATTCCTTTTAGAGCCCAAGGTACTTTCTTGCAGTCTCAATAATTTTGGAATTTAATAGAAATGAAGAAAATTCCATGGCCTCCCAGAAATACACTGTCCCCTTTGTTGATGAGCAGAGTGATGGGAGGCCTAGCTGTGCACCTCTTTCCCACTCTGCTCCCCATTTCTCTGCTCTGATATCCACAGAGGAACACTCGGTATGGCTCCCCTGACCCCACTCCACTCCTCTGGGAAGGTGAGACCCTGCACCGAGTGGGCTGAAGGGAATGAATGACCATCTTCAGGCTCAGGCCCTTCCTCAGGAGAGCTCCATGCCTCCCCCTGGCGTGCTCTCACTGGCCAGGCTGTGGTGAGGACTAATGGCCCCTCTGGAAAGCTCTGATGGATCCATAATCAGTTTGGTTCATTAGGGCCTGCTGCTTGGGGAGGCTAATTGTACACTTGGAGACATGGCAAATGAAGCTCTGCTGTGGGACTTTGAGATGAGGAGACCTCTTGTGTAGATACTGAGGCTGTCCTGAGAGTCTGATCCTGGCCCCATTCCTTATAAGCTGGAAACTTGGCTATGGGAAGCAAATTAATATTGTTTATATTCTTCATTCATCAGCACATTTGGAAGCCCTAAGGATGCAATTCTTAACTTTTTCTGAACTCCACTGAAAATATAAAAACTGCACACATCCAGGTAAACGCACAGATCTTATACATTGTTTTGGGGGTGATTGGGTGTGGGTGTGGCAGGCTTCCTGGGCCTAATCACCCCCCACTTGGAAAGTTCATGGATTCTCCCTCCCCTACTGATGGGACATCTTGGAGGTGATCCTTCTGTTAATTTACTCATTTCTCTGTTCCCCAGTTTATTTAACAAATATTTATTGAGCACCTACTATGTGCCAGGGAGTGAACATTTTTGTCCTCTTAAATGTCGTGCATTTGGCCATGTGACAGGAGACATTGACTGGGATGTGAGTTCATTCTGAGGCCAAGAGAAAACACAGGGTATTTTAAGTATCTTCTTTTTATATGAAGCAAAAGATACTTATTTCAACCTAAATTCTAAGTCTCCAAATCCCAACAGCTTACAAAAATGTTAGAGTTGTCCCTGGCACTGGCCTGGCAGGAAGGGGCACCTACCTTTTCCAGCTGGACCAAAGGATTAGAAGAGAGTGGGTGCTTGTGATGCCTCTTTTGGTGTCCAGCTTTTCAAAACAGAGTCCCGAGTGCTCAAAAACTTTCTCTCTTTATAGACTGGGTCTGTCATGTCCCGGGGGCTGCCCATCACCATTGCATATCCTCCATGTGGAGCCCCAACTTGTAGGACTTGAGTGAGACTGGGGGCTGTGAGCTGGAGGTGAAAAAGTCTGTGCCAGGAGAGCTGGAAAAGCAAATGCACGGGGGTATCCACTTCTGGCCCAGATAAAATAACCCAGACCAATAATCACAGTAAATAAATCCCACCAAGTGTTTAAGGACATAGGAAACCAGTTCCACACAAACTGGTGTGAGAAGGGCAGACTTCCCAACTCATTGTATGAGGCCGGTATTGCCCTCATGTCAAACCCTACAAAAATATTGTAAGAAAAGAAAACTACGGACCAGCATTCCTCATATATACAAAAATTGTCAACAATTAAAGGATCCCAACAATATATTGAAAAGGCACAGGATTACAATATTTTTCTAGGAAGTGTTTTTGTTGTTGTTGTTTTTGAGACAGGGTTTCGCTCTGTTGCCCAGGCTGGAGTGTGGTGGTGCAATCACAGCTCGTTGCAGACTCAACTTCCCAGGCTCAGGTGATTCTCCCACCTCAACCTCCCATGTAGCTGGGCAAGGTTTTTTAAAATTGAAAACCTATAATTGTAGTTTACTCTGTTCATAGGTTAAATACAACATATGACCATCGTAATGGATTAATAAAAAGCATAATTCAAGATTCTATATCTATTCCTGATTACAACTCTCAGATACTTAGGAAAAGAAGAGAACTTCTTCAACCTGATAGAGTAATTTATAGAAAACCTGCAGCCAACATTATTCCTACTTGATGGTGAGAGATGGGCTACTTTCCTCCTAAGTTCAACGATAAGGTGAGGATGTCCACTTTCACCGCTTCCATTCGATGTTAGATTCAGGTAAATAGTTCTATCCAGTGCAATAAGGCAAGACAAAGAATAAAAGGCATCCTGTTCAGAAAGGAAGAAGTTAAACTGTGTTTACTCCTAAACAACATGCTTGTGTCGTAGAAAATCTTATGGCATTTACAAAAAAGCTATTTGAACTAATAGTTGAGCTTAGCAAGGTTACAGGATAAAAGATCAATATATAGTAATCAATTTTATTTCCAAATACTAGAAATGAGCAAATGAAAATTGAAGTTAAAAATATTTCCATTTACAATAGGTAAAAATGAACTGATGTTTCAACAATATTGAGTTTTTCAGTCCACCAGCATGATATAGCTCTTCATTTATTTAGGTCATTTAGGATTTCTCTTAGCAATGATTTACAGTTTTGAGTATACAGATCTTTCATATCTTTTGTAAGATTTACCCCTCTGATAAGAGGAATATGCCTCCAAAGATGTGTAGAGCTTAATCATCAGAATCTGTAAATACGTTACATCACATAAGAAAATGGCCCTGGAAGATGTGATTAAGGATATTGCAATGGGGAGGTTATCCTGGATTATCCGTGTGGGCCCAATATCATTGCAAGGGACCAGATAAGCGGGAGGCAGGGGGTCAGACTCAGATAGATGGAGACGTGACTTTGGAAGTAGGGGTCACAGTGATGCCAGGCCATGAGCCAGGATGTAGGCATCTTTGGGGTCATATTCTTCCTATCACAGGAGTACATTTTACAAAATATATGAAAGACAAGTATACTGAAATCTGTAAATCACTGCTGAGAGAAATTCTAAATGTCCTGAATAAATGGAGAGATATATCATTCTGGTGGATTAAAAAACTCAATATTGTTGAAATGTCATTTCTCTCCAAATTGATCTATAGATTGAACTCCATCTCAATTGAAATCACAGTGACATTTCCATAGAAATCTATATGTTGACTCTTATTTAGAAATCATGTGGAAATGCAAAATATCTAGAATAGCTAAAACAATTTTGAAAAAAAATTTGGTGAACTATGGTATCAGATTTTAAGCTTTATCATAGAGCAATAGAAATCTGAAATATGGAATACTGGAATAAAATAGACATAAATGTCAAGGGCAAAGAATAGAGGGCTCAGAAATTGGCCTATACATATACTGTCAATTGGCCTTCAATAAAGATGAAAAGGCAATTAGGTGTAGAAAAGATAGTCTTTTCGACAAAGGGTGATGGAACAACTGGATATCCATATGGAAAAAAAGGGAAACATAATCTATTTCTTATACTACATACAGCATTAAAGTGGATCATGGACCCAAGTGAAAAACCTATAATTACAAAACTTCTAAAAAAACATAGGAGGACATTTTTGCAATTTTGGGTTAGGGGAAGATTTCTTAGATATGGCACCAAAATCACAATCCATAAAACTAAAACATCGATAATTTAAAGTTCAAATGGAAGAACTTTTGCTCTTCAAAAGACACTGTTAAGAGAATGAGAAGGCAAGCCATGGATTGGAGAAGAGTATTTTCAATCATGTATTTGATAAAGGACTTATATTTAGAATATATGAATAATTCTAAAAGCTCAATAATAAAAAAAGTCTAATTTAAAAATGAAAAAGGTTTTTTAATAGACACTTTACCAAAGAATATATATGGATGGCAAATAAGCACGTGAAAAGATGCTCAACATCATTAGTTATTAGTGAAATGTAAACTACAACAAGAATAAGATACCACTCCCCAGATTCACTGTATGAAATGTTGGTGAGAATTGAAAGAACCAGAACTTTTATACACTGCTGATGAAATGTAAAATGGCCCAACTGCTTTGGAAAACAGTGTAGCAGTTTCTTAAAAAGTTAAACACAGCTACTTTATGACTCGGCTATTCCATTTCTAGGTACATACCCATGATAAATGAAAGCATATATCCATAAGAGACTTGTGTGAAATATTTGAAGCGATAGTCAATAACTGCATACAACCCAAATTTCCATCAGCAGATGAGTGGGTAAACAAATTATCGTATATTCATACAATGGAATATTATTTAGTTATAAAAATGAATGAACTGTTGATATGTGCAACCACATGGATGAATCTTAAAGTGATTATGATAAGTGAGAGAAGCCAGACAAAAAAGAGTACAAAATGTAGGATTCCACTTACATAAAATTTTAGAAAATGTGAATTCATCTATGTGACAGAAGTTCTTCTGATTCCTGATCCTTTGTATATTGTATTTCCTGTCTGACCACCAGAAGCTTTCAGCATCCTCACTGTTCTGAAATATGACAATGGTGCACTTTGGTGTGGCTCTAATTTTATCCTTTGTGCTGTAATCTCCACGAGCCCTTTCAATCTGGAAACTTGTATCCTTCTGCTCTGGGAAATGCCCTTCATTTATTGGGTTAGATGATTTCCTCCAGGGATTCCTCTGTTCTCTCTTTCTGGCACTCCTATTGTTTTGATGTTGGACCTTCCCAACCATTTCTAATCTCTTTTCTTCTGTGTTTTTTTCTTCATTTTTACCCCCTACTATCTTCTGAGCAATTGTCCCTTGGGTGTTTGAAGATAGCTCTTGATTGTGAAGAAGGAAAGGACAGGAGAATGGGAAGGAGAGAGGGAGATGAGGGGTGGGCAAGGTGGGGTAGAAGTTCTTGCAAACCTCAGGAGAGGGGCAGGCAGTGGAGATGAGCCCTCTGGGCCATGGAACAGCCTTGGAGGTGTGGTAAGAAGTGCCGAGGGTTCCCCAGGTTCTGATCCGGCTCTTCTGGGGGCACCACATACCCAGAGAGACTGGAGTTGCTCCAGATAGTGGGGGCTTGATCACAGCTGTGCTGGGCTGAGAGATGGGGTGAAACAACCAGAGTCTCTTTCATCACTGGCCTCCAGGACCATAGCATGGCCACGGAAGAGAAGGTTGATCCTTTCCCTTCCCCACAACAGTATTCCCTGGAGAGAACAGTCCTGTGTCCTCCAGCCACCTGTCACCCAACCTTAAGGGTCCTCCTGCTATCCTGGTTGCTCTCCTTTTGCCACATCTCCTGACCCAACCACATCCAGAATGGTATTTTCATGCAGCTGGACTTATTTCAGTTGCAGGCCTCCTCCTTCCCCCGAGGCATTGTGCCTGTGCCCAGGGGATGCCCTTGCTGTATCTGCTCTGGTTTCAAAGCCTTTCACAGGTCCAGGAACCTCCCATTGTGTTTGTGGCTGACCTGACACCAAGTCCCAACACCATAGGCTTGCCTGTTTCTACCATAGAGGATGGAAAAATCTCAGTACCCACTCTCCCAGTCTCCTTGCAAACTCAGGCCAGCTTGTTGCTCCCTTCTTTTCTTCCTGCTTTGAATGTGCTCTTGGTTCCTGGATCTGTGATGGCCATGTTGTGACTGTGAGGAGGAGGCTACGAAGTCGTGATTGTTGAACCATGAGACGCATGTCAGGGAACACCTCCCTTCAGGTTTCTCCTTAATGTAAGAAAATAACCCCTATTCTTTAAGCCACTATTAGTTGGATTTTCTGTTACTTGCAGCTAAATGCATTCCTAATTGATACACTGCATTTTAGGTGTGGTTAGTAAACAGCAGTCTCTGGATGAACCCCTCCCCTTTATCCAGATGAAACACACTTGTTCTTCTTCTAGGCCTTGGAGGATGCTCTTGATTGGTGTGGCTGGTATGTCAGCCCTCTTCCACACCCACCTGGGTCTGTCCCAGTAAGGACTGTGTAGACATATTTGATCCCCATCCTCAAAGAGTGGCCTGGCGGGGACAAGTTAACCAGTCAGTCACTCAAAGACAAGGCAGGAGGTTGTACTTACTCACCATCACCCATGGTCAAAGTCTGTGCTTCCAAAAACAAAAAGTAGGGCCACATGGGCCACACATGAGTCACTCAGGAAGGAAGATGGGCAGGCTGGTGTGTCAGGAGTGGAAATGCACTCTCCGTGATTGGTGGAGACACCCGTCAACTTTTCTGGCATTTCTATTTATAGCTTGTAGGTTGGGTCTCCTCACACCATCTGAGATGGAAGGTCGATGTATTAGTCTGCTCTCATGCTGCTAATAAAGACATACCTGAGACTGGGTAATTTACAAAGGAAAGAGTTTATTAGACTTACAGTTTCACATGGCTGGGGAGGCCTCACAATCATGGCAGAAGATGAAGGAAGAGCAAAGTCATGTCTTACATGATGGCAGGCAAGAGGGCATGTACAGGGGAACTCCCCTTTATAAAACCATCAGATCTCATGAGACTTATTCACTATCACAAGAACAGCATGAGCAAGATGCACCCCCATGATTCAATTACCTCCCACCAGGTTCCTCCCAAGACACATGGGGATTATTACAATTCAAGGTGAGATTGACACCTTGATATAGATCTATAGATAGACACAGAGCCAATCTATATCACAGGGGAAGAGAAGTCTGCACCACCATGGGTTGGAGCTAACAGACTCTTCTTCTGAGGTGTTCAGAGTGATTGAGCATCAGCCTTGGAAAGGACCTTGGAGGCCACCTGGGCTCAAGGCTTGCCATCGCTTCTGCCTCTGCTCTGCTACATTCCCTGTAGCTGCATGGATGACCTTGTATCAGAGCAGCCTCCTGCATGGAAGGTGGCCCCTGGGGGAGGGGCTGCGCAGCTGTGCGCCTCTGGGAGCTCATGTGCTTCTGCTGAAATCTATGATTTATGGGAATGTTTATAACCATCCAGGCTCTGGAACCTCTCTGGGCTTCGGAAGGCACACACTGGGGGATCCCATAGTGACAGCCTGGCCTAGAGCCTGTCTACTTTGAGGGTGGGGTATTGTCCTCTGTGGGAAGACCTCAGCCCCAGGAGGGGGGCTCTGTGTCTCCTTGGGGAAAGAATGCTGGGGCTCATTTGGAGAGGGCCTGGGAAGAGCCAATGGCACCTGGGATTCAGGATGAACACTTGCCACTTTCCTTCAGTGAGAACAGCTTCGATGGCTTAATTTCCCCCATCAGGTAGGGAAGGGGGGTGACTGTGAAGATGAAATGCTGCAGGAGAGGATGAGCCAGGGAGATGTGACCTTGTTGTGGGCGGGGAGAGTTAATGCAGGATTCTCTTCCTGCAGACAGAAGCCTGGTGTTAGACCGCATGTTAGCGGTCCCACTCCCTGCCTCATGGTGCAGCAGGGAAGGAGGGGGCTGGGCAGGCTGGGTGTGGGTCCCAGCCTGCCACTTTCTTGGGATGTTACTTCTCTAATTACATTTTTGATGGATGAGCTTTAGGTGAAGGGGACATTCCCAGCACAGAGCTTGGCACCCTCGGGCATCCCGTGGCAGCTTGCAAAATCTCTAATAGGAATGAAAAAGAGGCACCATGAGAACCCAGGGGATGGAGCCGGTCACCAGGGATGGGAAGGCCAAGGGTGGTGTTGGGAGGGGTGAGTGAGGTCAGCCTGGAAGGCGGAGGAGGATTTCCTGGGGCAATTGGGGAAGGTGAGGCTGGAGGGCTCGGGAGCTGGGTGGGGCAGTGCGTCTGAGAAGGAGGAGCCAGGTGTGCCGCGCTGCTTGCTGGTGGTTTTAGGGTGAGGGTACCATGCCCAACCTGGACGTGGCAGTTTGTTGATTGGATGATTATCACAAGAAGAAGCGAGCCATGTTCATAGGAGGCAAATCCGGGCTCCTGTCTGGCTCAGGAGAGGCTCCAAGAAGCAGCTGAGGGGCTGGCCTCTCAGGGACAAGCTGAGGCCCATAGGGAAGACAGCATGGAAGGAGGTGACCAGAGAACACGCTGGCCTCTGCTGGAGAAGGAGAGCAGAGGACCCTCCTGTTCAGAAGAGTCTGTCATCTTCATCCTGTGTGCAGCTCTTAGTACAAGTGGGGCTGGGATCTCTCCCCACAGCGGGCAGTGAGGTGGAGGTAGGAGGTAATAATAATCACAGGAGCCTTTGTGCCAGTTACATCACTGAAGGGTCATTATAGCGTTTATTCTCACAATAATTCCTTGATCCAGGTATGGGTATCATTCCCATTTTATGGACAAGAAAACTGAGGCTCAGAGATGTTAACTGCCCAGAGATGGGCTGACTCTTGAGAGTGAACATATATTGAGCACACACTATGCGCCAGGATGGCGCTTTGCATCTGTTACCTTGCTGGTCCTCACAACAGCCCCGTGCGGTAGGGCACTTTTGTTGGCAGTTTGTTGATTGGATGATTATCACAAGAAGAAGCGAGCCATGTTCATAGGAGGCAAACCCGGGCTCCTGTCTGGCTCAGGAGAGGCTCCAAGAAGCAGCTGAGGGGCCGGCCTCTCAGGCACAAGCTGAGGCCCATAGGGAAGACAGCATGGAAGGAGGTGACCAGAGAACACGCTGGCCTCTGCTGGAGAAGGAGCGCAGAGGACCCTCCTGTTCAGAAGAGTCTGTCATCTTCATCCTGTGTGCACTCTCAGCACTTAGCGTCGAGGTAAAGATGAGTGTCAGAGGGGCCACAGAGGCAGACACCATGGCCCTGTCATGTGGGGCCATGTGTGCTTCTTAGGAATTTGGACATGGCCCCAGGGGAGCGGGCCCACTCTGTATTTGGGAGGAGGCTCCCGTGGCAGCTTGAAGGGGAGAGGAGCAGGCAGAGCTCTGCCTGGGGGAAGCTTTTGTAACAGATGCTCCTTGCGGGAGATGATGGGCAGAATGGAGGTGGTGGCTTTGCATCTGCACATAGTAGGCACTCAGTAAAAGGTGCCTAGTGACAGGAAATGGGGAGGAGGGGATGTGTTTGGGAGCTGTTTAACAGGTGGCACTAATAGGACTTGGAGATGGGAGTGGCAATGGGGTGTGTTATGAGTGGGAAGGCAATGATGTTCATATTTCTGTCTGGGGTAACTGGGGAGATGGGAGTGGCTTTCCCTGAGATGGGGACACCTGAGGAAGGGCAGATTTGGGGCCAGGAAGGTAAGATTCACTTGGGACATATTGGGTTCAACTTGTCCATCTCTACCCCGCTGGGGTCATGGTTTGGGGAATAATTGTCAGAGCTGGGCTGGCCTCTGGAGGTCTTCCCCCAGCCCTTGCTTTCACTGGTGGGAGAAGGGACTCGAAAGCTGAAGGCCAGGCAGCTACTGATGCCTCCATCTCCGCCCTGACCACCTGCAGATAAATCACCAGTGGAAACAAGTTTCCCCTCAAGGCTTCAGGTGTTTCCCTAATTTGTTCCTTAGAGCATTGTCTCAGGAACAGCATCCGGAGACACCTGTTTTTCTATGCGGATGTTTTCCACCTTGCATCCCAAGGAGACAGACTCCTCGGAGCAACCTTGGTAATAGCCAATCAAATGGCTTGCACTGCCAGTGCTCAGTCTGTGCTTTAGAAAGAGGAGATGTCCTTGGAAAAAAGGTTTTTGTGGTCACATAAGTTAGGGACAGTCTGGACTCTACTCGTTAAACAGGGCTCTGTGCTGCAGGACATCTCAGGGCCTTTAGCCAAGTCAGTCTTCAAGAGGGGCCTCCTGTGTGCAGGGCTTCTCAAGGACATTAGACCAATGAACACCTTGTCCATGGAGCATCTGTCTGTCTCCCAGACCTGGTGCTCTGGGGTTGTGTTTTTGGAAACAGTTGTCGGAGCTGGACTCACCTCTGGGGGTCTTGCCCAAAGCCCGTCATTTCACGTTGGGAGGGAGAAAGGAATTGCCAGACAGAGCCAGCAGGGGTTCCCTGGGCTCAGGACCTCTGGCCAGGCTCCTTCCTCCTGTGCAGGCCTCCTGGTGCCCCTGCCTCCTGCTCGGGGACACTTGTGTCCAAATTCCTGGGTCCCCAGAGGGACCAATTTTTCTTTCCAATGGGCTCTTCTGGAAGGGGTTTGGAAGGGTGCACTGGTCTGGGCTGTGCCCCCATC
The DNA here is from genome assembly GCF_000001405.40 of Homo sapiens. Classification (NCBI taxonomy): domain Eukaryota; kingdom Metazoa; phylum Chordata; class Mammalia; order Primates; family Hominidae; genus Homo; species Homo sapiens. Next base: position 124,267,923 of record NC_000010.11, on the reverse strand, counting down.
TGTGTCCAGGCCTCTGATGTGGACCTGTGGGAACCTTCCTTGCTGTACCTCCAGCCTCAGAGACAGCCATGTCCTAGCCCTGAGTCGGATACTGAGTAAAAAGCAATCATGACCCCCACATTCCCTGGCAGGGCCATTTGCAGGCCTCAGAGGGGGGATAATGAGTGTCTGGGTGGTGACTGTAGTAACAGGAACTCTGTGGGCCAGTGACAAGGCCCAGCTCTGGCCTCTCTGGGCCTCCCTTAATAGCCTGTGGATTGCAGCATGGATGGCAGCCAATGCCATGGGCTCTGACAGCTGGAAGCGCTCAGTGTCGCCAGCCTAGGGGGACTGCACTCGCTGAAGTGAAGCTTGAGGCTGGCAGAGAGAGGCCTGCATGTCAGGAAACCCTGTTCATATGACAGATTTGCTGTGTGACTTTCCTGTAAGGACCACCTCCCAGGAAGGACACAGGAGCTTCCTTGATTCCTCTGGCAGGTTTTTATGGAGAGCTGACTCAGCGGCAGCCTCGCGTGAGGCCCTGTGTCCCTGTGGTGTGCAGAGAGATGGCATCTTAGTTTGGGTTCCTGGAAGGCCAGGCCTGAGACTTGGGTGCAGGTGGGCTATCGGAGCAGATCCCAAAAAGTGGAGGCATGGGAGTGTGGAGAGTAGGAATAGGAGGAGGAAACACGAACACAAGGGCTGTTGAGATTGCTGCTGTGGGCCCTGAGGCTTGACACCATTGAGACCTCCTGGGTAGGGACAAAATTGTCCACTGGAAGGGCAGAGGACAGCTTACCCACTGGCTCACGACACCCCTGGTCAGAGGTTTGCCCTTGGGGACTTCACCCCCACACTTCCAGCTGTGTGTGCTTGGCCTGGGCAGACTCCCATGTGCCTGGAGACACGCACGAGGCAGGTGTGAGACCAATGCTTTCAGGGCCAGGGAGTGTGAGGTCAGCTAGCGCCTGCCACCAAGATGCTGAGGCAGAGGTGGGCTCAGGGGTGGGTGCCTCGAGGGGCACCGGGGGTGTCTGTCACATGCCGTTTGTCTGTCCCTAGGGCATGGTGAGATTGGAGGGCCTCCAGCTGGTGGAGAAGAGAGTACGGAGTGAGGCCTGAGCCTCCTGTCCCAGGGCGTGTCTCCCGCCCGGCTTCCATCGCAGTCCCTTCATTACCCTTGCACGACACCACGGTACCTTGAGCAGACCAAGGTAAAGGGCTTACTTCTGGAAAATGTGGTCAGAGGAGTCCAGCTCCCCAGCACACCTTCCTGGCCCGAAAGCTCTCTGGAGCTCTAGAATGTCCTTCCAAGGTGCTGAGTAATGATTTACTCATTGCTGTCAGATAGGGAAGTCTTACCCAGCTTCTTGAAAAACCAAGTTAGAAAATCAAGCTGGGCTTTTTTTTTTTTCCCCATAGAAGCTGAATTAGTAATAGAATTTTTAAAAATGTGGTCATGAAACTGTTAGTCTAAACTTGAACATGAGCCCTGCTAAGGTGGCTGAAATGGTTCCTGAAACCTGGGGGCTGCCGGGCTGGTGGAAGAGCTCCTCCTCCCTGTAGGGCATACCTGCGAAGCTCCTGGCTGGGGAAGCTGCACCGCAGGGGATGTGCATTCTCAGGACCCGGTGTACTCCTCGTGGCTCTTGGTGGGCAGTGGGCATGGTTTCTGGAGGCGCCGTGGAGTGGCACTAATTCCGTCATGCAGGGCTGTTCCCCAGCTGAAGGAACCTGCTCTTTCTGCACAGCCAGGTTTGATGTCAGGATAACTCGAGTGGAAGTGAATGTCCTTTCCTGTCTTCTAGGAAGGTTCCCCAGGGAGGCTCCAAGGCAGAGGTGTGTCCCGGGTCTGGGGGAGGGTGGAACAGCACCACCTGAAAGCAACTGGGCCTGGGGCAGCCACTGGGGAGCCCGGATGTTCTGGGCACTGTGCTGGGGCTGGGAGTCAGGCAGGGGTGGGTATTGGAGAGCAGGGCTGTGGTGGGAAGGACAGAGCCGGTAGGGGCAACAGCAGCAGGAACAAGGTCTCTAGTCCAGTGGGTCAAATTCCAGGTTCCAGAGCCCTGGGTGGGAAACCACCATTGCCCCACCAAGGCCTTGTCCAGCCTTGGCTAGGCCAGTGGTTTTCAGCTTAGCCAGGGACCCAGCAGACACAGGCATCAGATTTAGGAACAGCACAGGATGGAGAGAGAGCATTTATACTGGAAGCCAGAATTAGGATTAAAACAAGATCCATTGACTGGGGAGAGGGACAATCTTGGCAGAGGAGAGGATTCAGGAAGAAGGGGACAAGTCCTGTAAGGGGTCTACTGTGTGAGTGCAGGGGGCTGGGGTGGGGAGGTGGAGGGATGGAGTCAGCAGCCTAGATAGCACATGGCTGGGGGTCTGCATACCCACACCCTCCACTGGGAGGGCCCCAAGGCCATGTCTGGGACGTGCCCCTCCTGGGCTACCACTGATTGGATGAGAGAGGGGGCTTGATCTAGGGGGATCCAATCAGATTCAAATCCAGGGAATTTGGGATTGGATCAGAGATGTTGGTTGGTTGGATGGTGGCACTGGAATGGAGACAGCCATGCACATCGGAGTGTTTGAGGCAGGTGCAGGGGCAGAAGATCTGCAGGAGAGGGAGGATGAGAGCCTGAGGGCCCGAGAGGGGGTGAGGATCTGCACAGCCCTGGGTAGGGCGAGTGGGGGTTGAGAAGGCAGTGGCTCGAGAAGGCAGTGGCTCCTTCCAAGCAGAGTCTGGTCCCCACTGCCCGTTCCCACACTTCCTCAGTTCTTGGGTTCCTTGATGTGTTCCCATGCCGGTGGTTTAAGTCCACTGTTGTGAGCTGATCTGAGTAGGCTTCATTTACTGCACCTCAACAGGCCCTGGAGAGCCGGGGACCTCACTGTCATGGTGGGACAGATGCCTACGGGAGGAGAAGTGGGCAGGAACAGGGCCCGGGTGGGAACGAGTGGGCAGTACTGCTGCCCTCTGCGTGGCAGGACCACACTAGATCCCTGCAGCCCACTTGGCACCACCTCTGGAGAAGGGCAGCTCAAGCTGGTGACTGCTCCGTGGAGGGTGGCCCTGGTGTCGAGGGACCTGCCCCCCGGCAGCGAGGAAGGACTGCAGGGTCCCACCTTCCACCTGGAGAGAAGCTGAGTCAGTGAAGGACGGAAAAAGCATGTTCGATGTTTGAAGACTTGTTAGAGGAAAAGAGGAGACTGTTCTGTGCTCTCCAAGGGTCTTGGGTTCCAAAAGTCGAGGGTCCACTGTTGGCTCAGTGTAGGGGAAACCTTCTCCTGTGCCAGCCTGCTACAGCACTGGAGGCCTTGGGCATAGGAAGCTCTGCATTTCTGCAGCTGAAGGACCACACTCCGAAGGGTGCTACAGGGCCTGCAAGTGTGGCATTGATGGTGTGGACTGGACGATCATAAAGAACACCTTTACCTGCAGAGAGGACTCAGGCCCAGGGCAGAGACAGCCCCAGGCCATTACGGTGAATGTGAGTCAACTGCAGAATCAGATGCGCCCCTGGCCCACAGGACAGGCACATGTGGCCCCTGATCCAGATTGAGCCCGTGGAGCAGCAGAGGCTGAGAAAGAGGAGGAGCAGAGATGTGTCTCTGGGATGAGGCAGCTGCAGTAGGAGGAGAGCTCGGAGAATACGCAGAGATATTAACAAGGGATTTTAAAGACATTTTGCATTGAGATGTGCAGGGTCATCTCTTCCTTTACCTCCCCATGAACATTTCAGTGAAATCTGCCAGACTCACCAGTGCTATTGGAGTTGGACTTCTCTCTGGGAGTGGGTATGTTTGGAGTGGGAGGGGGCCCTTGGGTGGGAAACCCAGTGACCTCTTAGGGGGAGAGCAGGACAGGCCCAAGGAGGCTCACATGCTATATGGGTTACACACCTTGTTCCTTTCTTTTCTCAGGGTCTGGAACGAACTTCCTGTCCAGGTGGCTTTAGGTGGTCCCTATGGGTCACCTCCCCGCCAACCTCAGGATGCCCTTCTCTTTGCCAGACAGCTGCGGGTAGACTCAAGCCACAGGTGCCCCTCTGAACCCCTTCACCAAAGCCCGACCCAGAGCTGTTCCTCTGCAGTGAATGTCCCACTGCCCCGTGTCTGCTAACTGGAGATTGAGAAGGAAAGGAGGCTATTTGAGAAGTTGGCCTAAAATGATTATGGTCCCTCTCCAGGGAGACAGGTCACAACATGGGAGAGCATTCCAGGGGTGATAGAAACAGGCCTCAGTGAGGGATGGAGCAAGGAGAGAGGAAAGAGGGAGAGGAGGCGAGGGGAGGGAGAGAGAGAGAGAGAGAGCAGTGGAAATTCTTGCCTGGTGTCTTTCCCAGAAAGCGACCTGTGTGGAATTTCTCTGTGGAATCAACCCATTAGCTTAGCTTGGCAAAGCGGATTGGGGCTATGGCCATTTCTGGGGCAGCCCCGATTCGGCAGGTTTTTGTAATTATCTGTTAGTAATTATCTGCGAAGACTTTGGTAAACAGCAGTCTGTTTAGCCATCCTTGAAGAATTAAATCATTACATTTATTGCTCTATCCACTCGCTATTAACCTCCTAAGAGGCTTTTCCCCCTCAAGACTAGGGTTTTCATTTGATGAACTCTAAGGAGAACATTCGAGTCTGGAGGCATCGGGGTTGAGGAGCAGCTCTCCCTTGGTGAGTCCGTGCCAGGCATCTGCTTGTGGCCGGCATCCCTGACAATGGCAAATGCATTTCAGGAAAGCAGAAGTCCCTCAGAGGGGCAGATCTGAGGAAGCCAAGAGCCTGGCTTGGAACTGTCTGTAGGATTCTGGAGAGACACAGGCAGGCAGGCCAGCTGGGCCCTTCCTGGGGTGGACGGATGAGTGTGGCTGGCATGGTCTGGAGTCGTGGGCTTTAGGGCTAGGAGGAATGATCAAAGTCCTTGTCTTTCCTGGAGTGGGCAGTGAGCTCAGCGGCTTGGAGGAAAGTCAGATGAAGACCAAGGACATGGATTCAGTTAGGGTCTGCCCTGTCTTTCGCTCTGGGCTAGGGTCACTCTTTTACCTCTAGACGTTTCAGAGATAGCCCATGACCCACGAAGATGGGCCCATTGCAGGATATGAGGGCCCCTGATCCATGGAACAGGCAGGCGAGGCCTCTGAGCCAGACACTGCTAGTGAGGACGGATGGATCCTCCCAGGGCAAGCCTGAGAAACCGTACCGGTCCACACGCCTTTGATGACCCAATATTTGCTGCCCAATGTCCTGCTGGGTGGCATCTGCCAGCTGAGGGGCTTTGGAGGTGATGACGGTGGGGGTGTTCTGTGCTCCGAGCTGCCTCATGGGGCATGGTGGGATTCTGCTCCCAGGCATACTTCTCTCTGAGGGCCTCCTGCATTGGCAGGAATGAGGCATTGCCCTGCCACACAGCAAGTGGGCAGCGGGCATCCAGGAGGCCCTGGGCAGGGTCCCAAAGGGCCTTAGTGCTGCGTGCCTACTGTGTCCAGGCACTGCTCAGCAGGGGGTGCACATTGCTAAGGAAACCCAGGCTTGGCCCTTGCTCTCATGCAGGGTTTTGCTGAGAGGGAAAGACCGTAATAAATCTTGAGATGTGACCAGGACCAGCAAGACATTGTTGAGCCTCCAGACTCAGGCCACCGGAGCTAATAAAGGATTGGATTTTCAGGCCTAATTCTCCAGCTTGTTCCTTAGACTCTGAAAGCCATTATGCAGGAAGGAAGTTAGAGCAATAAATGAATCGGATGAGTGCAAATTCATTTGGAAGAGGCCATAAGAATGGTTCATTTCAGAAATTCTTCTGAAGAGGTCCTTCTCTATCTTCTTTTCAACAATCAAGTGTACAGTAATGGAACTTTGCAAAATTCCAAACTGGAGGATAAGACTGGTCAACAGATTTCTAAAATATAGAAATGAATTTACATGCAAGGACTTAATAGGTGGAAAACAGAATGATTCACATTTTAATACAAATTACCTTCATTCCTAAGCTCTAGGAAATAGGGATTGTGTCAGAAAATTGGGGCTGGACAATTGCTTTACCATCAATGTAAGGACTTTTAAAGCTGGGCTGCATCAGAATGACTGGAGGGAGATTAAAACAAAAATGCCAGTCCCCACCGATCTACTGAACTCCAGACTTCTGGGGCTTGGGAGCTGCTATGGTTTGGCTGTCTGTCCCCACCGAAATCTCACCTTGAATTGTAATAATTCCCAGGTGGCAAAGGCAGGACCAGGTGGAGGTAACTGGATCATGGGGGCAGTTTCCCCTGTGCTTTTCTTGTGCTAGTGAGTGAGTTCTCATGAGATCTGATGGTTTTATGAGGGTCTTCCCTCTGCATTCGGCACTCATTCTCTCTCCTGCTGCCCTGTGAAGAGGTGCCTTCCACCATGATTGTAAGTTTCCTGAGGCTTCCCCAGCCATGCGGAACTGTGAGTCAATTTAACCTCTTTCCTTTCTAAATTACCCAGTCTTGGTCAGTTCTTTATAGTAGTGCGAAAACAAACTAATACAGGGACCTCAAGTCACATAATATGTGATATGTCCTGATATGTACTGAAAAGATGTGGAAGGGTGTTTGGAAAGAGACCAGTGCCAAAGCTGCCACTGATGGAAAACACACCAGAGCCCAAGTACTGTTGCCAATGCCAGTGGCTACTGGGCAGGCTTCGGAGACCCCTCAGGTCCGGCCCTTTGCCTTCTTTCTCCCTCTCTAGCTCCTCCTCCTTCCCTGTTCTGGCTCTATCTTGCCATTGCCCCTTGGGCTACTCTTGTCCTGCTTGTGGGCACCCTTGTGTCCGAGCTCTGTCACCTTTTGTTCTTTGGACAGGAGCAGCTTCCAGACAAGCCATTGTCCCATTGCGAATGTGAGTGGACCCCTCCAGACTCACTTTGCCATGGTATAGGGCTAAAAGGCCCCTCTCCATTGGAGTGAAGGAGGGGAGGAGGCAGGGCTGAAGGAGTCCAGGTGACAGCACTGCTCAGGTAACTGATGCACACTCAGTTAACTGGTGCACCCTTTAGAACACCTGTGCATGGGAAAGGCCGTGCCGTCCTTGGAGCAGTGAGGCACTATTTGGCAGCCGAAACTCCTTCAGTGTGAGATATGCCCAGCAATCACATTCAGCCCCGTTCTGGGCACTTTGCCTCCCCCTGCCTGCACCTGTGAGGACCTTCCATGGATCACAGCCCACACCAAGCTTTAGTGGAGTGTTGGGGGAACTGTCTACAATGGGCCCAGCTGCAGGGAGAAAGCCAGGCAGGAATCTGGGGACATGTACTGAATCTGTGGATGAAGAGTTGATGGAGATGCTCAACTCTTGGAGCTGGACTGGCAGCTCAGGGATGTCCCCAGCCAGGGCTGAGGCTCCTTCCTGGTGTCATGTGTGAGGACCCACGGGCTAAGGCCTGATGGCGGACTCTGGGAAGGCTCTCACCCCAGACATGTGCTGAAAGGTCCCACTGCAACTGCAGGAAAGGGCTCAGGAAGCTGGGACCTTCACTCTGGTCTCAGCCCAGCCCTGAAACTCACTGAGACTGACTTGGCTCAATCTTATAGTGTCCATGCACCTACCATGGGCAGACCCTGGCCAGGTGCTCAGGTGACACAGGTAGCTCAAGGTCCCTGGCCATGTGGAGCCTCAGACACATGGGATAAGCAGATAGATTCTGAGATAAGGCTGATAATAAGGGCATGCAAAAACTGCACAGGGGCCTGTGGAGGGAGACATCCATGTTGTGAGTGGGGTGGTGTGAGGGGATAGGGTGAGGACTAGAGGAGGTAACATTTGAATTGGACTTTGGAGGTTGAGTAGGAGCCCACTGTGGGAGAAGAGCCTGCCAAGCAGAGGGAACATCGTAAAGACAAGGGCCCCAGACGGCTGTCACACTCTGGGGACTGCAGAGAGTGTGGTGTGCATGGGCTTGGGGTCCAGTATCCTCTTTGCTCGGCTCCAGCACCCTGTGATTCCAACCCATGGTGGGATTGCTTAGTTGATGTGGGAATTGATCTCCAAGATGGCTTCCGTGATGATTCTACCTCCAGGTATTCATGCCCTTGTGGTGTCCTCTTCCACACTGAACAGGGCTGGCCTATGTAACCAGTAGAAAACTGTGGAAGTGATGGGGCAGGACCAGTAGAATACTAGAGAAGTGATGGCGTGGGACAACTTCCAAGGCCGCATCACAGAAGGCATTGCAGCTTCTGCCGTGGTCTCCTGGACTGCACACTGGGCAAGCCAGGCACCATACTGTGAGGATGCTCAAGCAGCCCCGAGGAGAGGCACACGTGGAGAGGAACTGAGGCCTCCTGCCAACAGCCACGTGAGTGCACCACCCAGAAGTGGGTCCTTCAGCCTCAGACAGGCTTTCAGAGGACTGGAGCCCTTGCTGACCTCTGACTGCAGTCCTGTGAGAGACCCTAAGACACAACTTCCCACTCACACTGCTCCTGAATTCCTGACCACAGAAACTGTGAGAGATGTGAAGTGCTTATTGTGGGAAGCTTTGTTATGTACTTTCTTACATAATGCTAGATTACAAGTGCAGTTGCTGCCCATGGGTGCCACCTGCTGGTGTTCCTGCCCCTGTGTACCCCCTCCCCTTGAGTGTGTGCCGTGATGGGATGTCACTCTGAGACTGCACAGCAAAGCCTCTGGCTTCTACCTTTCTCACTCTCTTGCTCTCTTGTCTCCCTTGCTCTGAGGGAAACTGGCTGCCATGTTATAAGCTGCTCTATGGAGAGGCCCATGTGGCTAAGAATTGAGGGAGGCCTCCTGCTGATAGCCAGTGAGGACCTAAGGACCTCAGTCCCACATCTGGTGCAGAGCTGCACTGGCCAACAACCATGTGGCTGAGCTTGGAAGTGGATCCTCCCCCAACTGAACCTTGAAATGACAGACGCTCCAGCAGGCACCATGATGCCAGCCTTGTAAGAGACCCTGAGCCAGAACACACAGCTGAGATGTGTCTGGATTCCTGACCTGCAGAAACTGTGTGGCAATAAACATTTGTTGTTTTAAAGCTGCTAAGTTTGGGGGCCATTTGTTACACAGCAGCAGATAACAAATACAGTTCTGATTAATGGCACCAGCCTCACCTGTCCTATTCCTAGATATGCTTAGCTTAGCTTTGGTCTAGACTTGGGTCTCCATGTACAACTATAACCTTGGTCATCTGAAGCTCAGAGTAGGAGGGGGTGTATTGAGGGAATGAGACTACGAGGAGGCACACCCCAATATCTGCTGCTTTCTGGAAAACTCAGCCTCCAAAACTAAGTCAGCAACCATAGGAGATGGCCGTTGCAAGGTGGTTAAGCATAAGGGAATAACACAGGTTCGGAGCCAGCTTCTACCACCTCTTTCCTTTAACAGAGTTACAGGTCCTCCCTGAGCTCCCATTTCTCAGGGGCCCTCCTGAAGCAGAGAAGGAAGCCACAACATGGGCAGTCTAACTAGCACCAGCCAGAGAGCAGACACGAAGACGAAAGGAGAGGTTCTTTGTAAGGAACTTAGCCCTGGAACACGGCAGGTGCTTGTTATGAGCTTGGCCTTGTAGTTATCAGGGCACTTGGCATCATAGGCATCACCCCAGCCACTGTTGGCATGAAGACCTTGCAATGCCATCCTGGTTCCTGGACCCGGGCATATTAACGATGATGCCCACATCTGAAGGACAAGAAGGTCTCAGTCGTGCAATCACAGAGGATTCACCTGGAGCTTCCCTGAGGAATGTTCTTTTGGGCCGAGTCACCCGCTTGCTCCGGTGAGGCTGAGCTTGAGCTTTGAATCCTGCCTGGAATACAAAGGCCCCATCAAACACTGCCAGGCTCACCAGCTCCCCTCCACCGCATGCGCCAAGGGTCTCCCTCGCTTGGGTGTTTATTTCTTGCTGTAAGAAGCGATGATTTAATTCTTGCCTGGGATATCATTCAGCCCAAGTTCGTGCTGAAGTGAGGCATATTTCAGCACTCACCAATGTCCATATAGATAAAAGAGAAAAAAAAGAGAGAGAGAAAACAACCTCAACCAGCCTCTTCAAGAGCTGTGCATTTGAAACCTGTTTCTTAAAGATGGATTGCCCGTTAGGCTGCTAAGAGGTTTTTCTTGACTTGTCAACATTTTATGCCCCCACAAACATTCTTGGCTATAAATTATTCATTGCCCAGTTAGTGGTTAAAAAAAAAAAAGCTGCCCGGGGCTGAGATACTTTCTTAATTCCCCCTCTGCTTTTCAGATCCAAGTTGTTTTTGTCCCTCCTCCTGCTGGAAAAGTAGAAATAACTGGAAGTCTCTGGACTCAGAGGTGCGTGGCTATGGCCGGATGAGAAAATAGAGTTGAGTACAGCATGAGCTTGGCTGGGGTCAGGGATGGGGGCAATTACAGTTTTGGGGTCAAGCCTGGACACTGGGGTCAAATGTAATTAACATATATTTGTTATGTTACAATTAACACATATTTGTTATAATATATGTTAATTATATTTGACCCCAGTGTCCTGTCTGATCCCAAAACTGTAATTGGTCAAATATATGATAATATAGGCAGTCTCTACCTCCACTGTAATGGAGAAATGGGAAGTAGGTGTGTTTGGGGCTCTTTTTCCCCCTTTCTGTTGGCAGAGACTCCAAGGTTTTCACGAAAAGTCTAGAGGAGGCTTGATTCTGTTCTAGTCCCAGTCATTTCAGAGTCCACAGCTGGAGAAGATGTCAGCCTTTCTCTGCTCACCTGATTCCACCCTCCCTGAGCCCCTCCCCAGGTCAGGGGCCTGCCAGGAGATAGTGCCCACCTCGTCCTTCCTCATGCCCACCCACTTCTGTACGGCACACACCAGGCCTTGCTCAGCCTCTGCAATTTCTGATGGCAACTCCCCAGGGCAACTGACCCCTCCTCCAGGTGGATTCTCAGGCCTACCATGGTTCCGCCCCCACAGGGTGTGGAGAAAGGTTGGGGGTGGAATTAGGCTTTAGGGCTTGGGCCCTGAATTAGTTTCCAATGGCAGCTGCAACAAAGCACCATAAACTGGGTGGCTTGAAACATGCCCCGGTCTGCAGAACTGAGCGCTTCTGAGACCCTAGGTAGAACCGCTGCTTGCTTCTCTCCAGCTCCCCAAGGTGACTGATGCTCCCGGCCCACAGCTGAAATCTCTACCTCCACGGTCACAGGGAGTTCTCCCTGTCTCTGTATGTGTTCAAGCCCCTCTTCTTATAAGGACAACAGTCATATTGGATTTGGGATCCACCCTACTCTGGTACAACCTCATCTTCACTTCACTAATTACATCTGCAGTGACCCCATTTCCAAACAAGGTACTAAGGGTTATGACTTCAGCGTATCTTTCTGGGGGACACAATTCAACCCATCACAGGGTCAGAGAAGGGAGGAGCCCCCAGCGATCAGGCCCCAGAGTAGAGCATCAGAAGCCAAAGAGGTCACATCCTACAGAGCCCCCAGCTTCCCCAGCAATACATTTGCACTTTATTATCCTGAATGACTGTTGTCCCCAGGCTTTGAAACAGGACCTTGCTGTGCAGGTGCCAGGCCCTGGTGTGTGCCTAGAAACCTGTCTTTTCACATAGAAGTAAAGGAATGTGAGAAAACTGGGCTATGGGACTCGCCCACGTCAAATGGGGACAGGACCTTCCCGGGGAGACCAGCTGCTTTCCATTTCGTCCCAGCAGCCGGGTGTGAGGGCAGAGCTGTCCACTTGCTATTGGTAGCAGATGTAGCCTCTTGCTGGCTCCCGAGTTATTTCTGTGACTCCATCTTGACTCCCAATTTTTCTCCCCTCTCCCCTCATTCTTCCCAAGCATTAGGACTTTGCTAGGGTCGCATTTCTGGGTGAGCTCTAGGAAGTCCTCTGAGCTCTGCTGGTCACCCAGAGAACTGGCCAGTGTTGGCTAAGCATCTACTGCGCCAGTGTCCTGCTGCACAAGGCTGTTTCCTGTAGGGAGTGACGCATGGGGCTGTTTGCTGGGTCTGATGTTGGACATGGTATTATTTACCCCCAACCCTACCCCCTAAACTTGGCAAAAAGGATTAATGATTTTATTTCCAAATATTTGTGTTGGAAATTAATGCTGAGGGAGAGAAGAGGCCGAGTTTGGCTTTCAGAGAAGGCTCCTAGCTGTTGGGTTTGTAAACACCAGTGGATGTCTGCATTTTGTCAAGCCAGTCCTCCTTCTGGTTTCCATCACCCTCCATTAGCCCAGCTACGGCCATAGGGTATCGGATTCCATTACGCAGACAGCAGACCAAAGAGGCAGAGTCCCAATCATCCCTGTCCATTCCCATTGGATGGGATTGTTATTTTCTGCGTCATTTACCTTTGGTTCAATTCAAGTTTATTTTAACACAGATTAAGCAGCCTTTAAATGGAGACCCTGGGGTTCCTCCAAGCCTAGGCTGCCTCTAAGCGTGGGAGCGGGTCAGTTTGGAACAAAAGCAGCTGAGGGTGAGAACAGGAGATTGGGATAAGCCTCTGACACATGACAGTTGAGGAAGAAAGGAGATAAGCACAAAGCACTTTGTATTAGTCCATTTTCACTGCTGCTGATAAAGACATACCTGAGACCAGGTAATTTATAAAGAAAAAGAGGTTTAATGGACTCAGAGTTTCACATGGCTGGGGAGGCCTCACAATCATGGTGGAAGGCGAAAGGCACATCTTACATGGTGGCAAGCAAGAGAGAATGAGAGTCAAGTGAAAAGGGAAGCTTCTTATAAAACCATCAGATCACGTGAGACTTATTCACGACCATGGATGGGAACACTATGGGGGAAACCATCCCCATGATTTACCTCCCACTGGGTCCCTCCCACAACACATGGGAATTATGGGAGCTACAATTCAAGATGAGACTGGGGTGGGGACACAGCCAAACCATATCACACTCTCATATACAATATTTTACTTAATCCTCACAATAGCTATCTGTATATCCACTGCACAGATGAGGAGACTGAAGCCCAAAAAGGCCAAGTGATCTGCTCAGGTTACCTAGCTAGTAAGTGGCACAGCTGAACAGGTCCAAGGTTCCTGAATAGAGGATTTCTCCTTCAGGCAGGTGGTTTCCGCTGCCCTCTGATTACTCTGTGGTGAGTGGTGGCCTAGTCCAAATAATGAGCTTTCTTCCTAGGGCTGGGGATCTGAGCAGAAATCTTTGCAGCTGAGTGCTGCCTTCTCACTGGCTGGCTGGGAGCTGCAGGAGCAACACATCTGAGTATGGGCTGCAAAACCAGAGCGGCCTCCGTGCCTGAGGCACTTGATAAGGAATTACTCAGGGAATCCCAGGGAAGGGACGCGCTCCTGGCAGCATCTGGTGAAAATTCTTTTTCCATTCAAAAGCTGAAGAGTCAAATAGAGACTGTTTCTGGAAATGAGAGTTACGCAGGGAGCGCTTGAAAGCATTCTGCAGAAATGTGAACTGTTGCAAACAGAAACGGGAGTAGTGAGACCTCCAAAAATCAATTTATTAATTCATCCCATTGTATTTTCTGCTGTCAAGGTTATTTAGTTTTATTTTTATTGTCATCATTTCCTTTCTTAAGACTGATTTTTTTTGTTTTTCGAGATGGAGTTTCACTCTCATAGCCCAGGCTAGAGTGCAGTGGCATGATCTCAGCTCATTGCAACCTCTGCCTCCTGGGTTCAAGTCATTCTCCTGCCTCAGCCTCTGGAATAGCTGGGATTACAGGTGGCTGCCACCATGCCCAGCTAATTTTTGTATTTTTAGTAGAGTCAGAGTTTCACCATGTTGGTCAGGCTTGTCTTGGAACCCTGACCTCAGATGACCCACCTGCCTCAGCCTCCCAAAGTGCTGGGATTACAGGCATGAGCCACCTCGCCCGGCCAAGACTCAATTTTTTAAAATGAATATTGAGATGAATAGGTAGGCCCTTTGTTTTCTGAATTATTACTTTTGTTAGCAGTTTTGTAGAGGTGTAATTCACGGGTCCAATTCATTCATTTCAAGGGAATAATTCAATCGTTTTTGCTCTTTTCACAGAGTTGTGCATTCCTTATCCCTATCGCTTTTAGAATATTTTCATCATCCTCAGAGGATGCAGCCTGGGGTGTGTGCACAGTCACCCTGGGATGACTGGCTTCAGCAGGGCTCTCTTGGACTATCTCTTTTCCTGATCTCTCCTTAGGGTGCCTGCTTCATTTGAGAATATACCCATCCCATTAGATCCCACTAATTACTTGATGATTGCTCTATCTCTATTGTGGTTTTTTTTTGTTTTTGTTTTTGTTTTTGTTTTTTTTTTGAGACAGAGTCTTGCTCTGTTGCCCAGGCTGGAGTGCAGTGGCATGATTTCGGATCACCGCAGCCTCCGCCTCCTCAGTTCAAGCAATTCTCCCTGCCTCAGCTTCCTGAGTAGCTGGGACTACAGGTGCATGCCACCACGCCTGGCTAATTTTTGTATTTTTAGTAGAGACAGGGTTTCACCGTGTTGCCCAGGCTGGTCTTGAACTCCTGGCCTCAAGTAATCTGCCTGCCTTGGCCTCCCAAAGTGCTGGGATTACAGGCGTGAGCCACTGTGCCCAGCCACTCTATTGTTTTTGAAAATGTCCCAGGGTATAAATTGCTCCAGAGTCTGATTCAAGTAAATCCAGGCAGAAGTAGATTTTGAGGCCAGTCTTTGAGGTTTGTTAGGACCTCAGGAGGGCTCTTCTTGGCTGTCTGTGTCCCTTGTTCTTTCTGGTGAATTAGCTGGTCTTTGGTTTAGCTTGCTCTTAATTAAGAGGAGATGTTGTTTTCAAGAGTGCCCTCAGGCTTGAACTTTACCACAGCCTGTTTCAAATAAAGTCAGTTCCTTTGGGGAAAGCTTCAGAGCTCCCTTTTTTCTTACGGATTAACTTTTCCTCTGGGTAAACTCCCTGAGCTATAACTCTGGGCACTGAGTGGATGGTGGCCTCTGATAATATAATCAAGTATCCAAAAAGATAACTTCTTTAAATTACAAAAAGCAGAAATTGTGCGAGATCTTCTCAGCTTGCTTCTACCCCATAACCTCTGTCCATGAGCAAACTGGAGTGAGGGTGGTTGGGATCTCAGTGTTCTTGGACTGCCATGTCTTTGTTCTATGGGTAGTGTCTGAGAAAAAGGTAGCTCCAGTTTCCCAGCTACACTCACCTGGAACTTAGCCTTTGCAACTTGGAGTTGGAGGGGATGAGAGATGATGGTGGCCTGGCTCTCCTAGTGAGATATGCTGAGCTTTAATTGGGAGATGAGGGCCAGGCATGGTGGCCCCCACCTGTAATCCCAGTACTTTGGGAGGCCAAGGTGGGTGGATCACTTGAGGTCAGGAGTTTGAGACCAGCCTGGCGATCATGAGGAAACCCCATCTTTACTAAAAATACGAAAATCAGCCAGGCATAGTGGCACACGTCTGTAATCCCAGCTACTCGGAAGGCTGAGGCATGAGAATTGCTTGAACCTGGGAGGGGGAGGTTGCAGTGAGCTGAGATTGCGCCATTGCACTCCAGCCTGGGCAACAAAGTGAGGCTCTGTCTCAAAATAAAACAAAAATTGGGAGATGAGGGGAGAGGGAACCCTGATTTCTTGGCCACACCCACCTGGAATGACGCTTCTATCAAACAGAAGTGGAGAGAGTGGGTTACAGCTGAGATACGGCAGATTCTCACTGTTCTTACCAAGTTTTAGTAGCTGTTCTTGAATAAGTGCTTCTTTATTCATTGTATGCCCTTAGTTTCCAGTCTCCAGAGATTTTTAAATGGTTGGTTGTTTTTTTAAAGGTAGTTTTTAAAGGTAGTTTCTGCCAGCCTTGTTTGTTTCACTGGAAAGTGGTTCGTGGAGGTACTCAGGCTGTCATCCTGGAAGTGAAAACTGTTTTGTTTTATTTTAACAATGAAGGCATCTTAATATTACAAATTTACCTCCTAATACAGCTTTGGTAGTATGCAGTAAGCTTTGACAAGTCATATTTTAATTTTCTGTTGTATTTTTTATTCATTTTCTGAAGCCAATGTAAAGAATATTTTAGTTTCCAAATGAATTGTCTATTTTTGGTTCTTCAGACTTTCAGCATTCTAGCCTAGCTTTGTTGCATTTTGTGGTTTGGAGAATGGCTTGCACAGTTTCTGCTTTTTGTAATTTAAAGAAGTTATTTTTTGTATAAGTATTTGGTAAGTGTTTTGCAAATTTCCACTGATAATTTGAGAAAAAGGTGTATTCTCTGCTTGGGGGCACAAAATTCAGAATCTACCAGTTATTTTAACTTGATTATATTGTTATGATTCTCTAGGTCTGTGGTAAACAGTACTCCAATAGATAGAAACAGGTAGAAGGAGCAAAGCAATTTGCAAGGCAAATTTGCAAAGCAATTTCAGCGAGCTCGTGGTGATTTCATGGGAAACACTACCTAGTACATTTTTCTCAGAGGCTTATCTAGGTAGCAGGGCGTACAGATTAATACAACTTTTGGCCTTGGAGGGACCTTGGAGGTTTTCCTGTGCCACTTCCTTGTTTTACAAATGAGAAAACGACTTGTCCAAGTTGGCACAGCTGTCAAGCTCTGAGTCCAGAAGCTGAATCCAGGTCTCCTGGAGTCTGATGAGGGCATGAAGTCTGTGTTTTTGCCCTGCTTTTGGTGTGTTGTATTTTGTTTTAGTGTTCAACATTGTCTCTGAGACAGCTGGTGCCTTAGGACTGGGTAGAGATATGTTTCCTCTGAAAACAATGGCCTTATATATTTAGTTGTAGTTACTTTATAATTTGCAAAGCACCTTACAGTTTGCAAAACACTCATATGTCTCACCTGATCTGATCATCGCAGCCAAGTGCTATTAAAGGCAGTGCTGTGGAGGAGGAAACCAAGGCTGAGAGATGGGTAGTGCTGGGTCTTCTGTCCCCAGAGGCCATGTGCCCCAGTCCCACCTTGGTCTGGAGCCAATGTTCGGACTCTTTTACTTCCTGAGTGATTCTTTTGGGGTAAAATTATAATATCCTGCAGAACTTTTCCTTCCTCCATTGGAACAATGCCCTAGACAGCTGGCTGGGTTTTGCAAACACAGTGAGAGGTCTGGGGAATTCTTATTTTTAAATGCTATTCTACCTTGCACCTGCTAGAGTGGAGTATAATCGGCTGGGTGTGCACTCACAGCACGCCTCTACTTGTCTTCTGGGACTGTCTTGGCCCATTCCCTGCCTTTGCTTTCCTTCCTGGGCAGTTCAGTGGCCCCGGCTCAGCTGCGCTCTCCATCTGTGCTGCTGTTCAGCCAGCCTTCTCATGGGGGTTTGATGCCCTGAAATTGGCCGTGGAGTGATCAGACGCTCCTCACTCCCTGTCCTCACACAATCACTGTTATGTAGGGCTGCACTAGTTATCTGTTACTGGTAGCAGATTACCCCATATTTAGTGCCTTAAAACAAGAATATACACTTACTAACACACACAGGTCCTGCAGTCAGGAATTTGGGAGTGGTAAGTGGTCTAGCTTGCGGTCTCTCATGAGGCTGTAGTCTGATATTGATGGGGCTGCCATCGTTGAAGGTTGGTCTGGGGTTAGAGACTCTCCTCCCCAGGTGGCTCCGCATGTGGCTGGCATGTATGTGCAGCTGTGGGCAGGAGGCCTCAGTTCCTTGCCATGTGCACCTCTCCAGAGGGCTTCTTGAGTGTCTTCACGACATGGTCATTGGTTTCCTGCAGACACCAAGGATGATGATAGCAATGATCCCACAGCACTTGCCTTAGGGGGCGCTATTTACAATTTATATACCTTAGCCAATATTGAGGAACACGAAAGAGCAGATCTCATACTAATAAAATACCTACTCTTTTGGGACCTGAGCGGGTCACTGTTGTGAAATTGGCAAGCAAAAATAACAGTAGTGCTGACGGGCTAACAGCACAGGGTGCTGGGTTCCCAAGTCCTCTGAGCTGTCCCTGTGTCCTTGTCTCCAGGAGTTCTAGGAAGGTTTGCTCAGCTGTCATAGAGGGCGGGCTGGCTTCTGACCAGATACCAGCCATCCTGGCTGGGCTTGCATTTCCAAGGTTGAAGACAGGGAGGAGGATTTTTCAGGTGGTTTCATCTCTGTCCTGCTGGAATTGCTGGTGCCTACTCTTCCCCACAAGCAAGGTCTACACCACTGTAGCTCTCGAGGCCTCTCCAGCAGGTCAGTGATGTGTCTGCTGTATCCACCACAAGGTGAGCCAAGTTTAGATTCATAAACATGTCCCTTCAAGACTTTTCAGATCCTTTCCTTTTTTTTTTTCTCTTTAAAACGGAAGAAAACCATGGTAAGCCTGCTGTAAAGAACAAAACAAGACACAACAAACCACCAGCCACCACTGTGAAGGGTGTAGGAAGTTGTATGAAAGAATTTCAGGGCTTAAGAAGTTCTCAGGAACTTGGAGTTCCTAAGATCACCTCAGTTAATATCTGACGACAATGTCAACGACAGGTGGAAACCACCTGTCCCTGCCTGGGAGGTTAATCGGGATAGGGATGGATGGCAGGAAATGGCTGAGGCTGACTGTGGCTGGACAACCCCTGGCCAGTGTTCCGCCCAAAACCTCAGGGAACTCGCCACCCCATCTCTGCACCTATGCCCCCAGGTCACACACTGCTGCATAAGTTCTGCCAAGCCCCAGGATACCCTGAGCCAGCTGTCCACTCTGATCGGGGTGGGGGTCATGGCTGTCATTTCCACCAAACCCTCACTTAAAATCAGTGGGGGAAAATCAACTACCAATGAAGCATATTAGAGTCACAGTGCACCAAAAACGTGGGCGAGAGGGACGTGGACACTTCAGGATGCTCCTGGCGGAGTTTCTGAGCCAGGGCTTTTCAGGTGACATGGTGTTTTATCAGGTGCCAAAACCTGGGTGTTTTGATATCTCAGCCCTTGGTGAGGCTTGCGGGGGTGGCAGCCAACACCCCCAGGCTGGGAGTGTCCAGCATAAGCAGCCTCAGTGTACCTGAGTGTGCTGCAGAAATAGCCATTTTCTATGTAAGGTGTTGCATTATTTTACCAGGGCTGTGGCAACAAATCACCATAAAGTTGGTGGCTAAAAACAATAGGAATCCATTCTCTCACAGTTCCGGAGGCCGGAAGTTCAAACTCCAGGTGTCGGTGGGGTCACGCCCCGCTGGAGGCTGCAGGGAGAACCCCTTCTAGCCTCTTCACCTTGGGGTGGCTGCGGGCAGTCACCCTTCCCTGCTTGTGGCCACCTCACTCCTGTCTCTGCCTCTGTCTTCCCCTGGCCCTCCCCTCTGTGTATCTTCTGTGTCTCACAAGGACGTGTGTCACTGGATTTAGGGTCCATCCTAAAGCAGGATGATCTCATCTTGAGGTCCTTAAACTACATTTGCAAAGAAAAAAAAAATTCCCAATAAGGTCACAATCACAGGTTCTGCTATCACATGGACGTGTCTTTTTGGAGATCACCCTTCAACCCACTCCAGTGGTGTTGTGAAAGGCTGAGGGATGTCCAGGTCGCCTGGTGACCCTGGCCAGCATCTAGTGTCAGGGGCCCACTTGGCCATGGAGGGATTCCTGGCTCTACTGTGTGCATGACCTTGAACAAGCTGCTCAGCCTCCGTCCACCTCACTCTCCCTATCTGTGAGATGGCAAGTCCTGGGCGTGTTGTGGGATGACCTGAGGCTGTGTGTCAAAGGGCATGGCACACACAGGGAGAGGACTTGCCCAGTGTCCCTGGGGAGCAGGCATTTGATGTGGATGTGAGGACCCAGTCCCTAGTCCAGCACGCATGCCAGGAAGCTGTGCTGCACCTGAGCTGAAGGCCTGGCGTGTCTATAGAGGAATCCAGTCTGTGGTCCCACCGCCCATCCATCCGTCCATCTGTCGGTTTGCCCGCTCACTCCTCTCTCTCTCACCCACTCACTGCCTGCGCAGGGCATGGAGAGCTGTCCTTCCTTACTGGAAGGAACCCACACTTGGAGTGACAGACACATCCAGCAAGAAAGCTGTCTCCTTTCTACCCCTCTGGGCCCTGCCCTGGGGACTCTTACTGACCATGGTGACGGGGCATGCTGGCTTGGGTGGGAGGCTGGGTGTGCGCTGGTATGATCTTTGAAATCATTGTCACCTCCTCTGGGGCAGATGTAAGGACTGGGCCCAAGCTCGAGCTGGCCAGCCTGTGGACTCCAGGTGGAGCACACCAGGCAGCCTCCTGGAGCCAGAAGGGAAGTGTGCAAGATGGTGGCCTGTAGGGTGGCGGCTGCTGTGTAAGTCACTTATTCTTTGACTAAACAATGACTGAGGTCCTGCTGACTGACTGACTGACAGGCTCTGTGCTTGGCCTGGATGACCAAGACCCTGTCCCTACCCTTCAGGAGATCAAGGCCTCATGGTGGGAGCAGGCTTGTCTTGTAAACTGAAATGACAGAACAGCGTGAGAACTGATCATGGGATAAGTACAAGTACAAAGTACTTTGAAAGGCTTCATGGAGGAGGGGGCATTTCACCTGGGTCTTGACCAATGAGTAGGAGTTTGCTGAGTGTGTTAGGTGTCTATAGCCGCATACCAAATTACCGCAAAACTTAGGTGCACATTTATTTGCACACATTTATTTCACTATTCTGTGGGTCAGGAATCTAGGGGCAGCTTACCGAAGAAGTTCAGGTTTAGGGTTTCTTATGATGATTTAGTCAAGGGGTTGCTGGGGCTTCAGCCTTCTCAAGGTTTGGTTGGGGAGGTCATTCACATACACATCCCCATAGGGCTGGCTCATGACATGGCAGATGGCTTCCCCCAATGTGGGCCATCCAAGAGAGGGCAAGACGGAAGCTGCAGTCTTTTTATAACCTAATCCCAAAGTGATGTTCTGGTACTTCTGCTGGGTCCTACACATGAGAAGTAAGTCACTAAGACAAGTCCACTTTCAAGGACATAAATGCCAGGGGGTGGGGATCACGGGGGGGCACTTCAGAAGCTGCTGGCCCCTGCAGTGGAGGAGTGCATGGTGGAGAGCTGGCACAGTGACCACAGTGACCTGTCTCCTGTTGTCTCCCACTGCAAGGGCCAGCATGAGGGTGAGTGAGAAGAGGAATGAGAAGTTTCCAGTTTGGGAACTAAGGAGATAATAAGGTAATCATCATAATGGAAGTATCTAGGTTTTTTTTTTTTTTTTATGTGTTTTTGAGATGGAATCTCATTCTGTCACCCAGGCTGAAGTGCAGTGGCACAATCTCAGCTAACTGCAACCTCCGCCTCCCGGGCTCAAGTGATTATCCTGCCTCAGCCTCCAGAGTAGCTGGAATTACAGGTGCACACCACCACATCCAGCTAATATTTTGTATTTTTAGTAGAGATGGGGTTTCACTGTCTTGGCCAGGCTGGTCTCAAACTCCTGACCTTAAGTGATCTGCCTGCCTCAACCTCCCAAAGTGTTGGGATTACAGGTGTGGGCCACCTTGCCCGGTCTTGGTTTTTTTTTTTTTTTTTTTTTTTTTTTTTAAGTGTGTACTATGCCAGACACTGTTCTAATCATTAACATAAAAAGCTCTCATTCAATCAATCCTCCCATGGTTCTCTATGAGGAAGGTCCTATTCAGAGCCCCATTTTACAGATGAGGAAACTGAGGCATGAAGGTGTTAGGCAGGTGATGGAGTGGGCTCTCAGCCTCCAAGATCCGGTCCCTCAACCTCGGGCTGCACTTGGCACTGGCCTCAGAGCCGGGGCTCCCTGAGGTCCGGCGGGAGGGTCGGAGGACTTGGGGACAGCCCCACTCAGTGCATCTGCAGGCACAGCATGGCTGAATGCAGACCTCTCCAAGATCACTCCAGGTTGGACAGAAGGTGGATTTATCTGCTGTTTTTCTGTTGTGACGAGTCAGTGACATTCCCAGCAGTGAGGGGCACACATCCTGCATCAGCAAACACAGGAAGCCATCCTGTTTGGCCTGAGGACGTGCTCTTCGGCCTGGAAACATCCTCTGGTCCTAGTTCTGCAGCTGAGGTGCCTTCCTGGGCAGTGACCATCAGGCGCACATCCCCTGGCTTGGCTGAGGGGAGGAAGTTTGTCTGGGAAGGCTCTTGGCGCTGCCATTGGTACAGCCTGGAGCTCAGCCTGTGCTTCCTGCAGAAGCCCCTGCAACCCCCAGCATCCTCCTGCAGTCCCTGCATCTGTCCATCCTCTGGCTCTGAGAGCAGCCAATGGCAGAGGGAGGAGGCCCCACACTGTTGGCTGTGTCCTTTTTTTTTTTGAGACAGAGTTTCACTCTTGTTGCCCAGGCTGGAGTGCAATGGAGCAATCTCGGCTCACCACAACCTCTGCCTCCCGGATTCAAGTGATTCTCCTGCCTTAGCCTCCAGAGTAGCTGGGATTACAGGCTTACACCACCACGCCCAGCTAATTTTGTATTTTTAGTAGAGATGGTATTTCTCCATGTTGGTCAGGCTGGTCTCGAACTCCTGACCTCAGGTGATCTGCCCCCCTCAGCCTCCCCAAGTGCTGAGATTACAGGCGTGAGCCACCGCGCCCAGCCCGGCTGTGTCTTTTCCACTTTAGGGAGGCAATCGGCAGGGAGCCTCCCTGGTCACCCGGCCTGTGCAGCACTGTCCTTCCCTGGGCCCACCATCTACCTGCTCTCCCCAGCTCCCAAGTAGATCAGAGAAGGTCCTGATGAGGAAGAGAAGACCGCTGGCTGGGCAGGGCAGCTTCCTGTTTGTATTCTGGGGTCACCTTCCTGTTTGTATTCTGGGGTCACCTTCCTCAAAGGTGCAGTGCACTTGGAGCCTGAAGACCAGGTTTCTGGCTCCAGCTAGCAACATTCTGCTGGATGACCTTGGCAGGTTCCCTTCTCCGAGACCCTACTAGCTCAGGGACCGCATGTCCTGATGGGAAGCCCTCCTTCCCATCCAGCAACAGAGCTTCTCCAATTCGAGCCTGCCTGGGAGTCGCCAGGCTCTTCTTGAAGTGCAGATTCTGATTCCGCTCGTCTGGGTGGGGCTGAGATTCCATGTCTCTGCTAAGCTCTGAGGTGGGGCCTCTGGACTCACCTTTGGAGTGTTAAGGGATAACAGGATGAGCGCTGGCACGGTGGGACATGGGGACATCCAAGCCTGACCCCTGCCTGTTCCTTCATTCACCATTTCCAAAGCACTTCCTGTGTGCCTGTTGCTCTACCAAGCTCCAGGGGTCCAGGCAGGGGGCTCCCCACTGCTGGTGGGGGTCTCTGGTCAACTGTCCAGGACAGCCTGGGTGGTGAGTGCCGAGATGCAGGGGCCTGCGGGAGCTCCATGGGGTCACCTAGCTACAGCGGGGAAAGGGGACAGGAGATGGGTGGGGGCTGGCGGGCAGTGAGGCCAAGCATCACAGGGTGGGCACGCGCCCTGGCGTGTTAGCAGAAAAGCAAGCCCTTGCCCAGGGCAGATGTGTGGGTGTGAGCCGGGCATAGAGGTGGCGGGGCCACATCCTGGGGGTCTTTGTAAACCACACTAGATGCTTAGACTCTGCCCTGCAGAAGGCCGGAGCTCCAGGAGTGCTGGAGACCAGCAAGGACATTCACCTTGCCTTCTAGACAAGCAGTGGGGCTGCCCGGCCCACCCTCCCCGGGCAGAGCCGGACCTGAATCCAGATCCCCTTCCACCGAGTTCCCAGCAAGCGCTGCTCAGTCACGGTCAAATGGACGATGGCTGCATAATGAGAAATAACTCAGCCCATCCCGGGAGGGGACCCCACGATGCCAGAGGCGTGTGAAGATGGTGGAGGACATGGAGGAGACTGTCACTTGGCAGGGCCTGGGAGTAAAGAAGATCGGCTGGGGCTTTGGGCTGTGTCCTGGGTCAACTGGGTGGTAGAGGTGGGTACGATTCCAGGCCGGGTGGTGAGGTGTGAACGGAGCAGAAGAGCTGAAGCTCCTCCCCAGCCTGTCTGTGGAGCAGCTGCCCTACTCTGAGCCCCACTGTTTCAGCCCCGCCAGTCACAGTCACAACCTTCCTGCGCTCCGCTGTTCCGAGGATGCGCCTCTGTCTCTCTTTGGTCTGAGGGGTCCTCTCGGGCCAGGGCTTGCCTGACTTATCACCGGGGTACAGTGAGAGGCCCAGCCCACACTAGCGCTCCTGTAGTTAATCATAATGATAACGCCAGTGCCCTGCGTCAGCTTCCTATCATGCGAGGAACAAATTACCACAAATGTAATGGCTTAAAACAACATGATTTTGTTATCTTGCAGTCCTGGAGGCCAGAAGCCCCAAATTGGTCCATTAGGCTACAGTCAAGGTGTCAGCAGAGCTGGTTCTTTCTAGGGGCTGCAGGGAAGAATCCGATTCCTGGTGTTCCCAGCTGTTAGAGGTGGCCCTCCTTGGCTCGTGAGCCTGCCTTGCTTGGACCTCTGCTTGTCCTCACTTCTCCTTATCTGACGCTTCTGCCTCCCTCTTGTAAGGACCCATGGGATTACATTGCACTGGGCCCACTGGCTAGTCCAGGATAACTGCCCCCTCCCCCCACCCCGGTCTCTAGATCATTGATTTAATCACATCTCTAAAGTCCCTTTTGCCATGTAAGGGAACATCTTCACAGGACCTGGAATTAGGACGTGGATGTCTTTCAGGTCCAGCATTCTGTCCACCCATGTGCTGTGTCAGGCGTGGTCCTAACTAACTCAGTCCTTCTAACAATGCTGTGAGGTCGGTACTCTTAGGATGTTCTTTTTACAGATGAAGAAACTGAGGCACAGTGGGATCAGGAGATTTGGCCAGGTATGCACAGAGCCCCACGACTGGTCACATGTCTCCAGAGCCTTAACGTCTACCCTTTGAGTGTTTCCCTGACCTTAGATGAAGGGAGGCCGTGAGGATCGGTCCTGAGAGAACTGAGAGAGCCCCGCCTCACTGCTCTTCTGGGTCAGTGGGGGGGTGGTGTCTGAGTGCTTTCACTGTCCGGGCTTGAGTTCCAGCCTACCTGCAAGTGGTTGTGGAAAGGCCACCTACCCTCTGTGAACCTCAAGTTCTTCATCTGTGAAATGGGCCCGCCTGTTTCTCCCTCCTCAGAATTATTATGAAGGTTCAGCACGATGATGCAGGTCAAGTGCTTTAGAACAGAGTGAGGTCGGTAGTAAGTATCAGTAAGTAAAGGCAAGGGGTCACTACTATGAATGCGCTCTCACCAATATGAGGCCTTTGGACTTTCACCATGCAGGCAAGGAAGCCACTGCTGACCCTGAGTGAGGATGAGGGTCCTGGGCTCTTGGCTCAGCTATGAAAGGAGCCCCTCCGGGTCTCAGCCCCGGCTTGCTGGGTGGCCTTGGGCAAGTCCCTTCCCCCTCTGTTTCCCCTGTGGCAAAACGGCATCTTTGATCTGCACGAGGGCTTGCATCCTTCTCAGCCCTGCTCTCTATGGGGCTATAAAGCAGGGAGGCCCCAAGGCACCCCTTGCCCCCGCCCCCTATGGCTTGGCTGCTAAATGATCAGAGAGGGAAGGAAAGTGGTTGCCGTCAGGCACTGGGGGACTTGTTGGCTGATACTTGGCAACAGATTGGCTGGCACCTGGAGGGCACAAATAGGGTATTGAAGAATGACCTCCAGCTGCACTGGGGCAACATGGCCCCGGGCCCTCTACCTTTCAGGAGGGCTCCTGAACCACTATGGATAAGATGCATCTCCAGCAAAAGAAACTACCATCAGAGTGAACAGGCAACCTACAGAATGGGAGAAAATTTTTACAATCTACCCATGTGACAAAGGACTAATATCCAGAATCTACAAAGAACTTACACAAATTTACAAGAAAAAATCAAACAATCCCATCAAAAAGTGGGTGAAGGATATGAACAGACACTTCTCAAAAGAAGACATTTATGCAGCCAACAGACACATGAAAAAATGCTCATCATCACTGGCCATCAGAGAAATGCAAATCAAAACCACAGTGAGATACCATCTCACACCAGTTAGAATGGCGATCATTAAAAAGTCAGGAAATAACAGGTGCTGGAGAGGATGTGGAGAAATAGGAATGCTTTTACACTGTTGGTGGGACTGTAAACTAGTTCAACCATTGTGGAAGACAGTGTGGCAATTCCTCAAGGATCTGGAACTAGAAATACCATTTGACCCAGCCATCCCATTACTGGGTATATACCCAAAGGATTATAAATCATGCTGCTATAAAGACACATGCACACATATGTTTATTGTGGAACTATTCACAAGAGCAAAGACTTGGAACCAACCCAAATGTCCATCAATGATAGACTGGATTAAGAAAATGTGGCACATGTACGCCATGGAATACTATGCAGCCATAAAAAAGGATGAGCTCATGTTCTTTGCAGGGACATGGATGAAGCTGGAAACCATCATTCTGAGCAAACTATCGCAAGGACAGAAAACCAAACACTGCATGTTCTCACTCATAGGTGGGAATTGAACAATGAGAACACTCGGACGCAGGGTGGGGAGCACGTTGTGCACATGTACCCTAGAACTTAAAAAGTATATATAAAAAAAAAGTTCAGTTTGAGCAACAACGCAGAATAGTGACCAAAAAAAAAAATGTGCCTCCCAAGCCCATTCCAGGTTCTAACCAGCTGCCCAATGGGCCTCTGAGGGTCAGGCCAGGCCTCTTTCCTCCTCATCTTCTCCATGTCTCTCTCTCTGTAAGGTAATTTTGGGACAGACGCTGTCCTTAAGTAAACCTTCTATTATTCTTTTAAAAATGCAGTTGTTTCCCGACAGGAACATTGCCCCCAGCTTCTCCTACTGAGGCACACAAAAGAGATGCACCACAGGGCGCCTCTCTCCATCCCTCCCTGAAACGGATCAGGAATGAAACATCCTTTAGAGGAAGAGCATCCGGGCCAGCAGCTGGCCCGGCCTGGATCAGCTCTTCCCCACTGTGGCCAGAGAAGGCCTGGGGCCTGCAGACCCCTGGCCCCCGCCTGAGTCCCCCATCTGCCGTTCAGCCCGCGGGCAGCCCCGGGGCAGCTGCTGTCCTCACTCGTCCATTCTGCTGGGACTGCACATTTTCCTTCCAAGTTCAGCCTCCGTGGTAAACGGGAGACGCCAGATTTCTTTCCGTCCTCCGTCCCCACCCGTGTCAACTCACCAGGCAGATGTTTCCCACTGGTCTTTCCTCCCACCAGGCCAGCAAGGTTTTGAATCAGAGGATGGAAAATGTAATTGCAGAGAGAAGTCAAACATCTTTAACCTTTAAAGGGGACATGTCCTTCATTTATTCAGTGAGCACTTGCTGAGTGAGGCACTGGGATTTGATGAAGCCTGAGGGCCCTGCCCTCAAGGCACTCACAGTCTGCTGGAAAGGATAAGAACATGGATGGCGGGTGCTGTTGAGTGGCCTCCTGGGGGTGCCAAAATTGGGGGGTGGGCACTGAGGTAAAGGGGGGCAGGAGCTAAGGAGAAGAGCTCCCAGGCAGGGTCTGGGAGGGGAATCACACGTTCCCCAGCAGCAGCAGGAGATTGGGGATGGGAAGGGTTTCCAGGTGGGGGACACGTGCCCCAAGCCGCAGAAGAGCAAGGAAGTGGGTCATGCGGGGAAAAGGGAGGAGCTGGACTCGGCGCACAGGGCAAAGGAGGCCAGGTGGAGCTGGAGCCGGATGCAGGCCTTGAGTGCAGGCTACCGTGGCCCCTGAGGACTTTTTTTTTTTTTTGATACACAGTCTCACTCTGTCACCCAGGCTGGAATGCAGTGGTGTGATCTCGGCTCACTGCAGCCTCCACCTCCCAGGTTCAAGTGATTCCCCTGCCTCAGCTACAGGCGGACACCACCACACCTGGCAAATTTTTGTATTTTTAGTAGAGATGGAGTTTCACCATGTTGGCCAGGCTGGTCTTGAACTCCTGACCTCAAGTGATCCGCCCGCCTCGGCCTCCGAAAGTGCTGGGATTATAGGCATGAGCCATTGCTTCCGGCCCCCTGAAGGATGTTGAGCAGGGGTGTGATGTGGTCAGACTCAGGACTCAGAAAGAAGGTAGCTGGCGGCAGGAGACCGGCAGCAGGGGTAGTAGCGGGAGGTGATAACGATAGTGGAGGTGAGAGATGAGTAGGCCCGGATGGAAGCAGGTCAGGAAGACACAGGGTCGGGAAGGGGACAAGATCAGAGCCACGTGTCCCAGTGAGGACACTGTGTATTCTGGTGGGCGGCGATGTGGGAGCAGGGACTCCACTGGGAGCTCAGGCCAGGGCTCCGGGCTGCAGTCAGCTGGCTGGGACAAGCCGCATCTTGGCCCTGAGAGTGGGGTCCTGTGCAGGTACCGGGGCAAGGACCTGGGAAGTAAAAATACACACATGTGCTCACGTACACACACACACACCCACACACGCACACACGAGTGCGCAGATGCAAGTGCACACACACTCTTCTTTTTCCCTTTCCTCTTTCCTTCCTCTCTCCCTCCCTCCCTCCCTCTCTCCCTCCCTTCCCCCTCTCTCTCCCTCCCTTCCCCCTTGCTCCTTCCTTCCTCCCTCCCTCCCTCCCTCCCTCCCTTCCTTCCTTCTCTTCTTTTTTCCTTTCCTTCCTTTCTCCCTCCCCTCCCCTCCCTCTCTCCTTTCTTCCCTCCCTCCCTCCCTCCTTCTCTCCCTCCCTCCCTCTGTTTATTTCACTCTAATGAGCACCAATGAGTGTTCATCCTGCAAGAGGGCTGGAGCACTGACAGTGCCTGAGCACGCGGTCTTGCCTCACCCAAGGGAACAGACTCCTGTTGATGGTTTCCTTGCCATCCATTTGATCACATCTCAATGCAGTCCTGAAAAAGACTGTTACTTTTCATCATTTTTAACTTTGAAAAAGGGCATTATGCTATAAAGTTTTTAAAAATAAGTTTTTAAAAGAACAATATTAGGTTTACAGAAAAATTGAGAAGATAGTACAGAGTTTGTATAATCTTTTTGGATTTTTTGTCTCAAAATTTTATTGCTATTTTGGAAAACAGTTTGGCATGGCTTGCAAATTTGTGCCTTCACAAGCCCTGCTGGGAGGAAACCCGGCAATTCCTGTCCTAGGTGTGTATGAGGCTGTTCCTAGCAGTGTTGTTCCTAGAATCAAAACATTGAAAATAGCTCAAATCTCATCAACAGAAAGAAATAGATGAATACATTGTGATATGTTTATACATTGGGATGTTATAGAGCAGTAAAACTGAATAACAGCAGACAATAAAGATAGAGATGAATCTTACCAATTTAATTTTGAATGAAAATGAAGGAATGTCTGAGATCTTTTCCCTCTTCAGTGTATAGGGAACTTGAAAAAGCTGTCCTGGAATTTGGAGCTGATTCAGCTAAATGCCATCACATTTTGGGAACAGAATGACGAAGGTCAACACAACAGAGCGAGTCTCTGCAGGAGGACTACCTGAAGGGATGACTCGGAGCTGGAGGAAGGGCCAAGCCTGACTAATGAGTCAAGGTGGCCAGAGCTGACTACCTGTAGAAAGGCAAGGTGTGTCCCAGCTGAGGCCAGAAGGGCCTTGGCCGGAGAAGCTGGCTCCCCTGGGATAGGCCGGCGAGAGAAAGACGCCGATGTTGGCTGCACAAGGACTGCAGTCACCAGAGAGTAGGTCCAAAGCAGGGCAGGGAAGGTTCTCCAAATGCTGCCCCAGCTGTACAAACTGTCCCTCAACCCATCCAATTTCCATGCTCACCTAGCAACACTCATATTTTTCTAAAATAATTTTTATTACAAAACAGTACATGCTTATAAAATAAAAAATAAAAAATGCATAAAGTAGAAAAAAGGAATAAAAATCATCCATGCCTTCACCACTCATGATTACATTTGGGAGTATTTTATTTCAGCCTTTTTCATATACTAATAATCAGATGGTACCCATTACTTTAACTGATGTCTTTTATCCAAGCACATTTTCCCTTTATAAACCCTTTGCAATCACCATATTTTTGGAATGTATAACAGTCATTGAGTAAAATCCACCCATCCATCCATCCGTCCATTCATCCATCCATCCATCCACCCATCCATCCATCCACCCATCTGTCCATCCATCCATCCATCTATGTCACTTCCCCTTCATAGACTATATTCTACACAGAAAATAAAAATATGTCAATGGCTGTCCTCCAAGGGTTGGCTATTTTGGCTGTTTCTAGGCTTTCACTATTATAAATAATCTTGCCAGAAATAACTTGGTACATAAAGCTTTTTCAATATTCAAATTATTTCCTTAGAAGACAGTCTTAGACGTGACATTATTAGATCAAAGGGTTTGCATATATTTAAGTCTCACGATAAGGCCAGGATGCTTTCCAAATGTATGGCAATGATGTACCCTACAGCAGGCGGCCTGTGATCAAGCCCATTTCTATGCATCCTTACAAGCATTGAGTAGTCTAATTTTAAAATAGCTCTGCTAATTTTCAATGATCAGTTGAAGGCAATCAGTGGTATCTTAAATAGGAAAGGATCCATCCTGGGGTATTAGGTCCTGGGACAGCTCTATCCTTCAGTTTGAGTGGTTATGCTGCTATCTGGTTGATTACTAGCCTGTTATCATTTTACTGTGTGTTAGCCAGGCCCCTGGGCAAGAGGATGATATGCAGTTCCAGGGTCAGCTGTGCTGAGGCCCAGACCCAGACATTTAAAGGCCAAATAATCCAGCCAGGCATCACTTTGATTTCTCTTAATTGCAATCCTTTCTGGAGAAACAGATTTGATAGAAGGAAGGAAGAATATGAAGGTGCCAGCCACTGGGGAGGGCCATTGTCAACCACACAACATCTATTCTACTCCTGTCTTCTTCCCACTAGCAGAGCTGCAGTTTGTTTAGGCAATTGCATGGATTCACTGATCTCAGGGAAGGAAAGCCCCAACCCCAGTCCTAGGGGACGAATCACGATTGGACTAAAGCAAGCATAATAATATAATCCCCGCTGGCCATTCATTGGTGACTGCGGTCTTGGCCAAAGCAGTGTCAGAAAAAATTGGCTGTGTGGGACAGACTCAGCTGGCCTCCTGCCTGGGATGCAAATGGAATGCCAGGGGTATAGCAGCCACCTTGTGACTATGTGTTGATGAACGTTAGGACAAAAGCCAACACACTAAGAACGGCTGAACAGAAAAACAGATAGAGCCTGTGTCCCTGAACAGCTGATTCACTCCTCAACTGCCTCTTCTCAGACTTCTTGTTACGTAGAAAAATAAACCTTATATTTGTTTGTACCACTTTGGTTGCCTTTTTGTTTACTTGCATTTTAATGGATTCCTGGTATTTGTCAGGACAGGTGATGCTAGCTTCTATAACAAACGCTTTCCAATCTCAATTGCTAAACACAGTAAAGTTTTAAGTCTCACACGCATCACAGTCTGAGGAGGGTCCAGGCAATGACTCAGGGATCTAGGCGCCTTACATCTTATGACTTTATCTTTTTCAACACAGGGTCTCTGGGGTTGCCATGGACAACCATGCACATGATTTTATGGCCAATCCTGTAAATAGTATGCATCACTTCTGTTGACATCTCTTTGGCCAAGACCCAGGCATATGGCCTCCAGCTCACTGCAAGGGAGGCTGGAAGAGGTAGTCTTCTTGTGTGCTCAGGAAGAAGAAATGGGATTAGTGAGCTGGTAGCCAGTCTCTACTACACACTCATTGAAAGGGAAAAATCCCAAAGATGAACATGTTTACAGGAAAATTTGCCAAAGACCCATCTGGGAATGGTGTTCCTGATCTGGTGAGCCAGTCTGGCTTAATGTATAGTGGCTGAGCTGGGCCTGATGATCGTCAGTCTGTCGTCTGCATCTGAGGTTCACCTTGCCAATTTTTAATCCTGTGAAAAGTGATACTGACATTTCCCAAGAGTGTGTTTTAAAGAATAGTAAGACTTTTTTTTAAAGTTTGTACATCTTTAAGAGATGCATTCCCTGTAGCTTGGTTTGAAATGCATAGGCCTGGTCGAAATTGCCTTGGTCAGGTTGTCTTCTCTTAGATTTTTTTTCATAAACCCACTCATTAACAGCCATGAGCACAGGTTTTGTTCATAACTCTGGGCTGCGCTTGGGACCCAGGTACAGGTGTGTTGTGTTGCTGCCCTCCAGGAACTTGCCAACTGGCCAGCATGTGTGTCTACACATAAGGGAGAAAGGGCAGGAGGGGGCCAGGTAGGTTGCTGTGGCAGAGAACCCAAGGTGTGTTGAACCACACACGTTCACATGGGAAAGCTTGCTGTGCAGGGCAGTGCTGACCTAAGGGGTGGCCTCTCAGAAATTCTGATGCCATCATCTGTTCATTTCATCGGTTGTGTGGGCAAAATGCTGAGAATGGTGTCTGGCATATGGCACTTTATTTTTATTGGTCCATTTGTTCATTCAGCAAACAGGAAAGGGGCACCTGTTATGTGCGAGGCCCTGGCTAGCTCTGAGGACAGGGAGAGAGCCCTCTGTACGGCTGTAAATCTGGCAATCATGTCCAGCCGCAAAGCTGACCAGATTGACAATTTCAGCACAGGGGTGAGGATAGTGTTATTGATTATGGAAGCATGCAGGAAGGGCATTTAATGCTTCATTGGGGTTAGGGTGGCCTTCCTGGAGGAGGTGGCATCTAAGTAGAGCCTTGAAGGATGAATAGGAGTTGGCCAGGCAGAAACGGTAGATAATTTGCAGAGCTCAGTGCAAAGCAGGAAAAAAGTGCCTCTGAAGATACTAAAATATAAAGCTTTTCCTTTCTTCCGGTCTCTTTCTAGACTTATCGTGGTATTTTAAATTTGCTATTTAATGATGTTCTAAATAAAGAAAATTAAAAATTTAAATTGTTAGCATGAATTTTACCATTCATTCTTTACATTGCATAATGTCAGTTTTGAATAGAAATGTAAGAGCATTTAACTCATACACAGAGTCCCTGAAATGGCACAACTTGCATTCTGTATTTCTTGCATTCACGTGTATTTCATTCTTACCAGGATAGTGGAGACCCTCAACTGTTTTTATTTTGCTGTTTGATATAATCACATTCTGCCAACACTCACTGCCTTCGCCTCACTGACGAGTGAGGAAGAATTGAAGGGAAGAAACTAGGGCTGCCCTGCCTTTCCCTTCCCTCTGAGTTGTCATTTTCAGCCTGAGTGGTTGGCTAACGTGGGGAAGCGACAGTATGAAAGGATAAGATAAAGTCTCCTCGGTTATTCGCGTTTCTAAGAACGCCACTGTTTTTCTTCTAAGATGGAAGCGCTTTCTGGTTTGAAGGGAAAGTGTGGCCTCTTGGGTCCGTCAATGTCCTGCTCACGCAGCGTGTCCTTGTGTTCAGGGCAAGTCTCACTGAACTCCCGTCCTGGGCTCACCAGAATTTGATGCTTACCGAGTGACAAGGAACAGAGGACACAAGTTCAAAGACGAAATTAAGAATTTCAAGATGGTGACAGCAGAATAGTAAACCAAGCCTGGGCCCCTCCTGAGCCCAGGGCCCCACGTGCAAGGTGCATGTGTTGTGGAAGCCCCGTGGTGAGCCTGAGACAGCAGAAACTGAGGCCGACACGCATCTCAAACGTGCCTCCTCTGCTCCCACATGTGCTTGACCCATCTGGACTTCACTTACAAAATGCAAGTTTGAATATAAAATTATTAAGAATTGCAAGATGACAACAGGGGAGTATGAAACCAAGAACACAGCCCTTCTGAGTGAGGTCCCGTGTGACTGCACAGGTCACCCACGGCCGGGTAACAAGATACACCGTGGAGAAACTGCAAGAAGTCCCAACACCTGCCCGTGTGCTGCCTCTGTCATTTATAGGGTATGGGTCTCCCTGTACACTACTCTTTCCTATCCCTCTCCTCTTGCCCCCACCCACTCTGTCACTGTGCTTCCATAGCTCCAGGTCCCCCAGAGCTAAGTGCTTGGCTTTGGGGGTGCTGGGCCCCCCGCAAATGGGCCTGGCAGTGGGCCTGCCTCAGGAGCGCTGCAGTAGGCAGGGCCACCTGCCTTGTGGCTGCCACCCACCCAGGGCTGCGGAAAGGCCTGGTGGACAGAGGGCTGGGGGAGCGTGCCTGGAGCGGGGGGCCTCTCCTGTGACTGACACCTAGGCTGTCCAGAGTGGCCGTGGGAGCCCAGCATGGCCCTGCCACACCCCATGCAGCCTCCGGCTTGGCCCCTGCCTCTCACCTTCCACCCCAAACCCCTCCCCTCTGCAGCCAGGGAAGTCTTTCAGAAGCACACGTTGCGTGGTTTGGGCCATCAGCTTTGGCTGGTGTGACAGGGTCTCAGTGGCCAGCCCCTGTTCACCTCTCCAGCCTCATCGCTGGAGTCTCTTTCCAACTGTCTGACCTGGGCCGGTCCCTCCGGAGGGAGCGTCGTGGTGTGTGCTACCAGGATCGGCAGGTCCCGTGGTGGGATGCTGTAAACAGGGGCTTCAAGGGAGCACAGAACGGCTCAGGTATTGGGCAGCCAGACTCTGACTCTCAGTACTGCTGAAGCCACGGGAAGCCTGGGGCGCTGAGGTGGACCTGGTGCAAAGACACAGAGTGCCAGCATGTCTGGAGGGGAAGCAGGGATGGGAGAGATATCGGGGACAGAAACTCATTTCTGGCCAAGCGCCTGGCTCATCTCATCCTCTGCCTTTTGTCTGAGCTGACCATAATTAGTCGTCTTAGTTCCCTGTGGGTGAGCCAGGCTGTGCAGGGGTTCAGAAGGCTTGAAGCACGTCTTGTCACCCTGGTCCAAGCCGGTCTATTTCTGGCAGTTTAATTGTGGATGCTGTGTTCCTGGCGTGGGAAGGAAGGCAGGAAGGACCTGGAGGAAGTCGGAGCAGGAGAGAAGCTCTGGTCGTGTGACTTTTCCAACCATGGCCCCTTAGGAACAGGCTGCTCCTGGCAACTCAGCTATTCTGCTCCCACCTATTTCTAGCTCGGGGCAGGAAGCTGGTTTAGCAGGGAGGGGAAGCTTCTTGTTAGACTCAAGAGACCAAAGTGCATTTGGAGAAGAGCCATCGAGGTCTGTGTAACTGTCAAGTTCTGGGTAGACATTGAGTTCTGTGTAAAGATGGGGATAGGCTTGGGGTCCAACAGACCCAGACCAACAGCACCTCTGTCCCTCCCAGGGTGGTGTGACAATCCTTGGAAATAACTACACGGCCAGGGCCAAGTCGGTGCTGGGCACACAACACGCGATCCATCAATGGTGGTGGGCATCCCGTCTCTTCCTTCCTTAATAAAGACATCTCAGGGTGAAAAGGGGATGGCGCTGGGCAATACTAGGGTGGAGTGGAGGGTCTTTAGGGCCTCCAGCCAGTGTGAAAATCCACAGACCTGAGGGTGGGCCAGCAGGAAGGAATTTGGGTGGGGATGGTCTTTAAAAACCCAACAGAAGAGAGTGGTTACTGACGACTCTCTTGATACTTAAGAAGGGAAAAAAGAACAGCTTCGAAATCTGAGACAATGGATTGTAGTATCTTTGATGGAATTCAAACTCGGCCTGAATTCTGGGACACATTATGAAACAATTAGTGAAGAAAGCTGAGATCATGAAGACGTTGTGTGTTTGTTATTACTTTGTTTGTTTGTTTATTTACAGGGCTGAGCAGAGGGTTGGCATCTAATCCATGCTCCTGAAAGTGAACTGACTGTAGTTCAAAGTGATACCATTTTTCTTCTGATGGTAGGGTTACTACAGGCATCCTAGGAATATGTCCTGTGCGTAGGTAATTTTAGCATTTGGCAGGGCATCTGAGAGTTCTTGAAATCTTCGTGAAACACACAGTGAAAATACAAACTGAATGTTGGCCAGTTAAGGTAGGATTGGGTTTGATTGTCTGACCAGCAGTGAATCTGGTAAGCCCATGCAATTGCCAATATTTGGTTTAATCTACAAAAATGGCTATTTCATATGATCCACCTACTATTTATTGGACTAGGGAACTGTCTACTTCCCTTCCAACACAAGGGTTCTGTATTGCTGTGAAAGTCTACTTGTTCAGAGGAATGTGAACTTCAGCTGCCACAACGCCTAGTGAAACAAGCTCTGATTCTGTGGTCAGAAGGCCCTAGGTTCAAATCCTGACCCTCCCACTCCCAAGATTCAGGAAAGAGCATGCAAAGTGTGGCGCCTGCCCACTGGGGGTTCCTGCCCTCCTCTCTGCTGAGGGTCTTTGGTCTGTAACCAGGTCTGCATTGTACCTGGTGTGAAGAATTGAGTGGGGATGAGGCTGGAATGTGTAGGGTCAGAGCTGGAGGAGCAGAAAGGGGCAGAGCACTGGGTCTAGGATCCAGGGAGGAGCTGGGGTAGGGTTGGGACAGTGGATAAGGTCACACCGTGGAGAGATGCCAGGCAGGTGCTGTGAGCTGAGCAGTGCTGGAGGTGAAATGGAGATATTAGCTGAGGGTGGACACATAACCCAGGGCACCCACCTATCTCTTCAATATGCTGCAAACCCAGACATCCCCCACCTGAGTGGCCTCCAGCTGCAAGTCTTCATCCTCCAGATGGAGGGTCTGCAGGCCAACCACAGTGCTGGGCTGGACAACTGTTTCGGCAGCATGCTGGGCTTGTTCTGGGTCTGGGATGAAGGGTCAGTGGCCAACTGGGCATGCTTCCCTCAAGGTGGGGGGGTCAGAGCTTCCCAAGGTGTGAGTGAAATCAGGCCTTGCCAGTTAAGGCCTAAGCTCAGAACTGGCACCCTATCACTTCTGCCAAAACCTCACCGACCAGAGTAAGTCACATGGCCAAGCCCAATATAAATGGGGCAGGAAAGTGCATGGGCCTGAGCGGGGGTGGAGGAACGGGAGTGAATGATCACTGCAGGATAATCCAGGCCACTACCATATTCAAGACCTGTGCAGAGTCAGTGGGCATACCTCGTCAAATACCATGTGGAATATTGTGCAAAATACCGTGTGGAATATGGTGCGGAATACCGTGTAAAATATTGTGTTAAATACTGTGTGGAATGCTGGGTGCAATACCATGTGGAATATTGTGTGGAATACCACGTGGAATACCGTGTGGAATACCATGTGGAATAACGTGTGGAATATTGTGTGGAATGCCATGTGGAATACTGTGTGGAATACCATGTGGAATACCGTGTGGAACACCATGTGGAATATTGTGTAGAATACCGTGTGGAATACTGTATGGAATTCCATGTGGAATACAGCATAGAATACCGTGTGGGAAACCGTGTGAAATACTGTGTGGAATATTGTGTGGAATGCCATGTGGAATATTGTGTAGAATACCATGAGGAATACCATGTGGAATTCCATGTGGAACTCCATGTGGAATATTGTGTGGAATACACTGTGGAATACTGTGTGGAATATTGTGTGGAATAGCATGTGGAATATTGTGTGGAATACCATGTGGAATATTGTGTGGAATTCCTTGTGAAATACTGTGCGGAATACCACATGGAATACCATGTGGAATACCATGTGAAATATTGTCTGGAATACCATGTGAAATATTGTGTGGAATACCACGTGAAATACCGTGTTGAATATCCTGTGGAATATTGTGCGGAATACCGTGTGGAATACCATGTGAAATGTTGTGTGGAATACCATGTGGAATACCGTGTTGAATATCATGTGGATTATTGTGTGGAATACCATATGGAACACGGTGTGGATTTCCCTCTGGAATTCCATGTGGAATATCATGTGGAATACCGTGTGGAATGTTGTGTGGAATACCACTTAGAATATTGTGTGAAATAACTTGTGGAATACCATGTGGAATACCGTTTGGAATATTGTGTGGAATATTGTTTTGAATACCATGTGGAATACCATGTGGAATGTTGTGTGAAATACCGTGTGGAATACCATGTGGAATATTGCGTGGAATACTGTGTGGAATATTGTGTGCAATACTGTGTGAAATACCATGCGCAATACCGTGTGGAATACCGTGTGGAATACCATGTGGAATATTTTGTGGAATACCATGTGGAATGTTCTGTGAAATACCATGTGGAATACCGTGTGAAATATTGTGTGGAATACCATATGGAATATTCTGTGGAATACCGTGTGGAATGTTCTGTGAAATACCATGTGGAATACCATGTGAAATATTGTGTGGAATACCATGTGGAATATTCTGTGGAATACCGTGTGGAACACCATGTGGAATATCGTGTGGAATACTGTGTGGAATTCCGTGTGGAATACAGCGTAGAATACTGTGTGGGAAACTGTGTGAAATACTGTGTGGAATAACGTGTGGAATATTGTGTGGAATACCATGTGGAATGCCAAGTGGAATATTGTGTGGAATACCATGAGGAATACCACGTGGAATTCTGTGTGGAATACACTGTGGAATACTGTGTGGAATATTGTGTGGAATACCATGTGGAATATTGTGTGAAATACCATGTGGAATATTATGTGGAGTATTGTGTTCAATTCCATGTGAAATACTGTGTGGAATACCACATGGAATACTGTGTGGAATACCATGTGAAATATTGTGTGAAATAACATGTGGAATACCATGTTGAAAATCGTGTGGAATACCGTGTAGAATATTGTATGCAATATCGTGTGGAATATTGTGTGGAATACCGCGTGGAACACCGTGTGGAATATCGTGTGGAATACCGTGTGGAATACTGTGTGGAATTCCATGTGGAATACAGCATAGAATACCATGTGGGAAACCATGTGAAATACTGTGTGGAATACCGTGTGGAATATTGTGTGGAATAACGTGTGGGATACCATGTGAAATACCTTGTGGAATATCGTGTGGAATATTGTGTGGAATACCATGTGGAATTCCGTGTGCAATACCATGAGGAATACTGTGTGGAATTTTGTGTGGAATACCGTGTGGAATATTGTGTGAAATACCTTGTGGAATACCGTGTGGAATACCATGTGGAATATTTTGTAGAATACTGTTTGGAATATTGTGGTGAATACCGTGTGGAATACTGTGTGGAATATTATGGGGGATATTGTGAAATACCATGTGGAATATTGTTTGGAATACCATGTGGAATACCGTGTGGATTATTCCACATAATATTACCACATTCCAGATAATAATACCACACGGTATTCCCCATGGTATTCCACACAGTACTCCACACAATATTCCACACAGTATTCCACACAATATTCCACACAACATTTTACATGGTATTTCACACGGTATTCCACACAATATTCCAAGCTGTATGCCACACAATATTCCACACAATATTTCCTATGGTATTCCATATGGTATTCCACACAATATTTCATGCTGTATGCCACACAATATTCCACACAATATTTCACATGGTATTCCACATGGAATTTCACACTATATCCCACATGGTATTCCACACAATATTCCATGCTGTATGCCACACAATATTTCATATGGTATTGCATATGGTATTCCACACAATATTCCACACTGTGTGCCACACAATATTCCACACAATATTTCACATGGTATTCCACACGGAATTTCACACTATATCCCACACGGTATTCCACAGAATATTCCACACAGTATTCTACATGGTATTCCACACAATACTTTACACAGTATTCCACATGGTATTCCTCATGGTATTCCACACAATATTCCAAATGGTATTCTACACAATATTCCACACAATATTTCACATGGTATTCCACATAATATTCCACACAGTATTCCAGCTGGTATTCCACACAGTATTCCATATAGTATTCCACACAATGTTCCACATGGTATTCCACACAATATTCCATACAATATTCCATATGGTATTTCACACAGTATCCCACACAATATTCCACACGGTATTCCACACAATATTCTACACTGTATTCTGACAGAATTCCACATGGTATTCCATCCAGTATTCCACATAATATTCCATACAATATTCCACATGGTATTCCACATAATATTCCACACAGTATTCCAGCTGGTATTCCACAGAATATTCCACACAATATTCCATACAATATTCCTCATGGTATTTCACACAGTATCCCACACAGTATTCCACACAATATTTTACACGTTATTCCACATGTTATCTTACACAATATTTCACTAGGT
Organism: Homo sapiens; assembly: GCF_000001405.40. NCBI lineage: Eukaryota > Metazoa > Chordata > Mammalia > Primates > Hominidae > Homo > Homo sapiens. The sequence goes on along the minus strand of NC_000010.11, from coordinate 124,227,995 downwards.
TTCCACATGGTATTCCACACAATATTCCACATGGTGTTCCACATGGTATTACACAAAATATTCCACAAAATATTCCACATGGTATTCCACAGAATATTCCACATGGCATTCCACGTGGTATTCCACAGAATATTCCACGCAGTATTCCACACGGTATTCCACACAATATTCCACACAGTACTCCATGGTATTCCAAATGGTATTTTACACAATATTCCACACAGTATTCCACACAATATTCCACACAGTTTTCCAGGCGGTATTCCACACAATATTGTACAATGTATCCCACACAATATTCCATACGATATTCCTCACAGTATTTCACACAGTATCCCACATGGTATTCCACACAATATTTTACACGTTATTCCACACGTTATCTTACACAATATTTCACTAGGTTGCCACATGGTATTCCACAAAATATTCCACACAGTATTCCACATGGTATTCCACCCAATATTCCACACAGTATTCCACACAGTATCCCATATGGTATTCCACATGGTATTCCACAAGGTATTCCACACAATATTTCACACCGTATTCCAAATGGTATTCCACACAATATTCCACACGATATTCCACATGGTGTTCCACACAATATTCCACACGTTATTCCACACAGTATCCCACACAATATTCCACACGGTATTCCACACAATATTCCATGCAGAATTCCACACAATATTGCACACAGTATTCCACACTGTATTCCACACAATATTCCATACAATATTCAATAATATATTATTCACAGTATTCCACATGGTATTCCACTCACTATTCCACAAGGTATTCCACACAATATTCCACATGATATTCCACACGATATTCCACATGGTATTCCACATAGTATTCCACACGGTATTCCACACAATATTCCACATGGTATTCCACCCAATATTCCACATGGTATTCCACACAGTATCCCATATGGTATTCCACATGGTATTCCCCCCGGTATTCCATTCAATATTCCACATGATATTCCACACAATATTCCACACGGTATTTGACATGGTATTCCAGATGGTATTCCACACAATATTCCATAATGTATTCCACACAATATTCCATGTGGTATTCCACACAATATTCCACAGGGTATTCCATACGATATTTCATATGGTATCCCACATGGTATTCCACACGGCATTCCACCTGGTATTCCACACGGTATTCCACCCAATATTCCACATGGTATTCCACACGGTATTCCATACAGTATTCCACATGTTATTCCACACAGTATTCCACACGATATTTCACATGGTATTCCACACAGTATTCCACACGGTACTGCACATGGTATTCCATACGGTATTCCACATGGTATTCCACTCAGTATTCCACACGGTATTCCACACGATATTCTGCACAGTATTTCACACAATATTCCACTGGGTATTCCACATGGTATTCCAGACAGTGTTCCAAAGAATATTCCACATGGTATTTCACACAATATTCCACACGGTATTCCACAAAGTATTCCACACTGTATTCCACACAGTATTCCACACAATGTTCCACGTGGTATTCCACACTGTGTTCCACGCCATATTCTACACGTTATTCCACATGGTATCCCACACAATATTCCCCACGTTATTCCACACAGTGTTCCGCATGGTATTCCACACAATATTCCACATAGTATTCCACACTATATTCCTCACAGTATTCCACACAATGTTCCACACTGTATTCCACACGGTATTCCACGCAATATCCCACATGGTATTCCACACTGTGTTGCACACCGTATTCCACACGTTATTCCACATGGTATCCACACAGTATTCCACACATTATTCCACACATTATTCCACATGTTATTCCGTACAATATTCCACACGGTATCCCACAAAATATTCCACATGGTATTTCACACGGTATTCCACACAATATTCCACATGGCATTCCACACGGTATTGTACACAATATTCCACACGGTATTCCGAGGCAGAGCAAGGACTGCAAAGCAGTCCACCGCGTGCCCTGAGCTCTGTGTGCTCTGCCTTGCACCCATCTTGAAGGCCTGTGATCCTAGCTGCAGGAGACCCTTGGCCCCAGCTACCAACAGGCAGCAAAGAGACATTTGGGGTCAGACAGAGCTCCTTGTGTTCTTCCAAATATAAAATACAGTCCTGCACCTACTTGGCTGCCTTGAGGGACTGGCCAGCAGTGGCAATCACTGTTCACAAAACTGGATGAAAATCATGGTTAGTCTGCTAAAACGGCTGGCTCCGGGGTCACATGGGAATTTGGGGTTCTTCACAGTGAAATGTATCATTCTGAGGACATCACACTGGCCCACTGAGAGGCAGGAGGTGATGAAGCCATCACTGTTTGTCTGGGCTTCTTTCTGCCATGAACACAGCTCTGTTGCTGGCAGCCTTGGCCCTGGAAATATTCTTAATTCCACAGCTTACTACCATGAACACTGCCAGGATCCTGAAATAATATGGACCTCACCGCCACCTCTGCTGGGACCACTTGCCATTCGCAGCTGTTGATCTTGCTGGGATCGGTGGCCCCAGGCACAGTGCTTCTGCATGCACGTCCCATAGACTCCCAAATCTGAGCTTTGGGTGGTCTACCATGCCAGCCATCCCTTGAAATGACCTTGGAGAATGCTGTCTCAGGGCCTCTGAGCAGGACATTTGTATGCCTGAGGAAACTGATGATCTCATTCCTTTGGGGCTATAAAAAGGCCTTCGTGCAAGGCCAGTAAAACTCAGGAATCAATATTCTATGAGGGCCTGAGTGTTAGAAAGTGAGGCGCTGTTTGTTTCAGGTTTGCCTCCAAAATTAGATAAATTAACGTAATGAATTCTCTCAACTCATTTACATACACTGCTGATTTGATTTTAGGGAGAAACGCTGGAAAAGGCAGCCCTGTGAATGTACAAAACAGGATTTGACCTATTTTTCAAGTTGTTTGTGTCTGCAAAGTTTGCGATCTCTTTAACTGAAGCTGCTGGTGCCACGCTTTTTAGAACAAACCAAATAGCTTCAGCCTGCACATAAATGAGCCGGTGCCCTGAGAAAGGATATGGGTGTCTTGTGAATTTTGGGGACATTCTGTGGTTCTGGCAGCATCTGACTCAGCAAGTGATCCCAGGAAGGTGGCTCAACCCTTAGAAATTCTATCCTGGTTCACTTCCAAATAGGCATCGTACGTGGGAGGCTGGAGCCCAGGGGCTGGCCCGTAGCCCGCAGGGCGCAGAGGAGGCTGGTGCCCAGACTGGGAATGGCACTGGAGATATGCTTCCCGGGCCTCCCAGCTCACTCACTCAGCTTCTGCCTTCTGTGGAGCAGACTCCAGGGTCTGGGGGATGCAGGCAGAGAGAGGTGATCCCATTCCCCACCCATCTTCATGCTGCGTTAAACCCATAGCCTGATCACGGCCACCTGATGCTGGTGCATGAAGCACTTCGCTACTTCGACAGCATCCCAGACACAGGCTGGGGCTGAGGTGGCCACCGCAGCGTGGAAAGAGCCAGGGCTGTGGCGTGGGCCCTGGACCCACTCCACCCCAGCCCTGTTGGTATTCAGCTCCACTCACTTTCACTGACCAGCCCTGGGGGTCCCGGCTCCATGCTGAACTCGAAGCCAAATCTCAGTCTTGGAGGAGCTGGTTAAGTTCCCCTCACATTGACCAAGGGCCAGGCTGCATCCTTGGGAAACAAGGTTTACCCATGAAAATCACTCTTTTCACTTGATATATGGAGATGGGGCTCTAGAAGCTGTGTGTTTGTGTGTGCATGTGTATGTTGGTGGGGAATTTAAAGTAAGGGTTGGAAAACAGCAGCAAATGAGGAGGTGGAAGAGATGGGAAACACTCAGAATTCCTCTACTGCCAGAAAGGAGGGGGTGAGACTGAAAACCTCCAGCGTCAGGGCCTTTGACCGCAGCCCCTTCCATCTCCTGGTGGGTCCTTGAGCATCCCTGCCCACTTTAGTTAAACAGACTTCTCAGTGCTTCATGGCCTGGCTTACATGTTCCCATCTCCAGGCCCTGGCTCTCGGAAGTGCACAGGAAGGCCTGGGCATGCCCTTGTCATCACCAGTGTTTGGGTTCCTCCCGCTGACCCAGGAGCCTACCTCTGCACAACCTGCTGGGAATGCGTATGACCCTGCCTGCCGATGCTTCTGTGTACAGGGGGGCTGCCTCTTACCTGCTCTTGTCCCATTCCAGGCAGGAGATTTAGCCAAACCCCTTGTACTTCTCAAGAGTGTTCTCGGCTGGCATTGAACAGTGGGAATGTGCAGAAATGTGTCATCAGTTTTCCTCACTTCAAAACCTCCCAGGTCAGGTGTCAAATGTCACTGATGCAGGAAAGTCAGCCAGGCAGTTCTGCCCCAAATCTGGGCATCTATAAAGAGGCCTGGGTAAGGGGGTGCAGGGTTATGCTGTGCCCTGTCATCACTGCCCTTGCGTGGTACCTCCCCTTACTGTCCAGGCTCTTCAGCTGTGCAAGGATGCCCAAGTGGCCGGGAGAGTGTCCGGACTGCCTGTCACACCACCTGGGTTGGACTCCTGGCCCAGCCTTGACTGCTTTGTGACTCCAGGCAGGAAACCTAATTGCTTTTGGCTTCCGTTCCCTCCACTGTAAAATGGGGATAAAGTGGTTCTCACCTCATAGGATTGAGGGATAAATGTGCTAATGCAGTTACAAGGTTTCGCACGAAACCTGGCACATAATGAGCTTTAATGCATGTTAGGTGCCAGGGATGTTGCTGGCAGCCAGCTGCATCGTCGTCAATCTCCCCCAATCCTCTCTTGCCTCAGGGTTTGCTCTTCATCCGAGGCTGGGATGGGATGGACTAGCTCTGGCCAGGACAGCGAGCTGCCTGAAAGTCACTCTCAGGAGCTCCCTGAACCCCCTGCAAGGCCTGCCTGGGTTATTGATACAGGCTCAGGTAATGGGCTCCCTGGGCTTGAATCCCAGCTCTGTGACTTATGAGCTTGGAACAGTGCTTTGCATAAATTAAGCACTCAGTATGTTTAGGAGTTGCTATGATGAAGCTCTGAAAATGGGCAAATCCTGGCTGCCTGGGGCTTGGGGGGCGGCGCCCTGAACACACTCCCTGTTACAGCTCATGCCTCACAAGATGCTGAGGTCTCCTGACTACGGAGCTCAAGGTGGAAGCCTCCAAGCGCCTCCAGCAGTGGGAGGGAGGGCAATACTTACCCTTTTCAAATGGCGTCCTCGGTAATTCCCACCAACACGCCTTGGGCCCACTGCCCCCACTCCCAGACAAGCTAAACTGCCCAGAGCTCTTGATGTTTTCTGTCCTGCTGTTTCCTTGCCTGGACGCCTGGTGAACTCAGCTGCGTCCATTCATGCAAATACCCTGACCCCATGAGGCTTCCCTTTGGGCCCTACACAGGGTGAATCTGTGAATCCCCCCCTTCCCTGGGCCACCTGGCCCTACGCTCAGGCCTCCCCACTGGACTGTGAGCAGCCTGAGGGCTGCTGGAACTGGGCCAACTCCTCCTCAAGGCTTGGTTGTGGTGCCCAGTGTGCAGGGACCCCGACAGACAAGGCGTGAGAGGCTGCATGAAATATACAAGAGACCGCGGTGCATCGCAGATGCTGATCTGTGTGTCTGTCCTGGGCTGTGAGCCCCTGAGGGGCAGAGACCCACTTCTCTGTATCTTGGAGTCCCTGCATCTTCTGACAGAAAGCAGGGGCTAAGAGATGCTGGTGAAAATGGACTTGAGTGGATGACTGGGGCTGTGAGGGTTGCTGGACACCGGGCATGCCTCGGCGGAGAGGTGGAGGGGACAGCGAGCGGCAGTCCCCCTGCCTGCGCGGTCGGATGTATGTTCACTCCTACAGAAACCACATCACCAAGGGGGCTCTGGGGTTGAAATTCCTGAAGGAAACCAGAGATTGTTTTACAAAAATACCCTTTCAAAAATAGCAGCTGTTTTTACTTTGCTTCTGAAAGGCGGCGGAGGGCAGCTTCCTGATTTGGAAAGACAAATGTTTGTGCAGCCTGGGGAGTGAGGGGCTGGGCGACGGGGGGCTCTGGCCAGGGGCCCAGGGGCCCCTTGTGTTTTGGGAGGAGTCCTAGGGGACCATGTAGGTGTGGACATCCGACTCAACGTGCAGCCCTGGCAGTGTGCGGTAACCAGTGACACGTAGAATACTTTTTAAAAAAGTCCTTTCTGACCACATCCTCTGACCCTCGCACCTGGAAACTGGAAGAGAAACAGGCCCCTTTTTAACTGTTAGGTTTCCCTGGTCAGAAATGACTCATCTCGTTCTTTCTGGAGACTTGGAAGTTAGAATGTATGGAAGGATGAATGAAGCGCTGCTGACTTTGGGGGCTCCTCGAGAGGGAATGCCATGGTCCCCAGAGAGTGACTTGGTTGGTGATAGGGCCATGTGGTTCCTCTCTCCTCAGTGAGGGAAGCCTCCTCCTCTCCCTCCCACTGGGTAGCCACATGGTTAAGAGAGCTCCAGGCTCTCACAAGCTGAGGTGTGAGTCCCAGTCCTATTACTTCCTAGCCGTGAGGTCTTGGTCAGGGATAACTTATGCCCCCGGCCTCATTTCCTTTATCTGTAAAGTGGAAATGACAAGCATCCTGGCCTGATAGGGTGCTTGCCAGGAGGACACAAACACAGGCCTGGAAATCGCTCATTTCACCTCCCAGCAGCCCTGTGGGATGGTTACTCTGATTTTCCCCATGGGGAGAATGAAGCTCAGAAGGTTATGCTGGAGAACCACTGTGGGGGGCTCCATTCGTCTCCGCAGCCCCAGGTCTTCACCGCCCTCCTGAAGCCAGCATGTGGCCCCTACGTCACAGGTGGGAATGGCAGCTCTGAGCAGCCCAGGACACACTTAGGGCTGTGTGTCCTGGCAAGGAGCTGGAAGGGAGCCCTCTCCTTGGCTGGGCTCTCCCACAGGCACGATTATGACCGCAGGTTCCGGGGCCTGCCCTTCCTTCCAGATGCGCAGGTGCCAGGCTCCACGTGGTCAGCGGCGCTCCTCCATGAGCAGGGGGCTGGAGTGGATACTTTTCCTTCTCTTTTCTGCCTCTTCCAAAGCTTCTGCCTCAGACTACACTATATTGTGGTTAGAAAAACAAAAACAATAAATGTCATTTAGAAAAAATAGCACTTGCTAAGCACTTTTGCTTTCTGTTTGTGTTTGGGACTCACAGAAGTCAGTTTGGCATGAGGCTGCTGGGACTTTGGTGGGGGCTTCAGGCCACCACGTGGTAGGTGGGAGCCCCTGGGCTGCAGAAGCTGGGTGCAGGGCTGGCAGAGGGCGGAAGGGGGCCTTCCCCATCATGGATACGATCTGCAGAGATCTGCAGGGATCGAGCCTGCAGGGACCGAGAGGCACCCATGCCTCAGCAGGGAGTCAGGCGGGAAGCTCAGCATTTGTGTCTGTAATCCAGCTCCTTCTCTCCACTGTTTTTCTGGAATTATTCCCACCTCCTCCACTTTGTCTTTAGGGACACTGCTTCATCTCATCCCCTACTTCTGTTGGGGCTACTAAGTATAAAACCTTAACTCCTTGGTCAGAGATTGGGACATTTGACCTAACTCTTTTGCTTCTGTGGATATTTTGACCCCAAAGTCATTTTGAATGTCAGCATTTTAACCAGAATTACCCAACAGTGATGAGTTTTCATCTAGAAAGTATCAGAATTCCAGCGGGGACCCCATTAAGCTGATGTAATCCCTCTATCAATTTTCTATACAGCGCAGTTAAGCCATTCCTGATGTTTCCATTTCCATTTTGCTGAAATTATTTTCATAGGGATCAATTTTTTTTTTTTTTGCATTTAGAATCTTACAGCAGAGATTTGCTTCTTAAATCACTTTTCGTCCATATCAAACTACTAATCGCAGCTTCTACCATCACGAGCGGCCACGGGTTCCATCCAGTACTGTTTTCCTGGGTGAAGTCATAATTGGTGTTGTTTGAGTTGATGCATAAGGAAATAGCAATTTCTGTAAGGCAGGGAGATGGCGGGGGAGAAAGAGTGGAGGAGGGGCAGAGAGAAGGAGCAGGCGTCCCAGAGGGGGACAGGGAGGAGGACAGAAGGGTCCCTGGGCAGAAATTGGGTGGCCACTGACTGGAAGGATGCAGGAGGAGGGAGCAAAGGTCAAAGTGCCCACTTGGCCACAGGATCATCGCATGGCACCATCCTGGTCAAAGACTGCCCTCCTCCCCCTGTTCTGGTTCAGGGCATACTAGCCGGCACCAATGGGGCGGTGTGTTGTGACTAGGTACGTGGGATGGAAGATGAGACTAAGGGCCCACAGGCCAGCAAGTTCCTGGTACAGGAACAGAGCCTGTCCCCGTAGGAGGGTCAAGGAGCAGAGAATGAGGCATCAACAGACAGAAGGGTGGCTCCGGGCATCAGTCACTTCAGACCCTGGATCCAGCAGTGCCTGGGATGCACTCCCTAGGCCGCCCTTTATAGTAGCTTATGAAGGGCCCCCCTTTTTGGCCGAGGTAACTGATTTGGGTTTTTTTCATTTGCAACCAAACACCTCCTCCTGAATATCCCCCAGCTCTATGCTCTCAGGGCTGTGGCACCTGCCTGGCTCACATGTTGTTCTGATGTCCCTGCATGTCTGGGAAGACCCCCTTCTCCTCTTCTTGCAGCTGCTTCTGCTCGGGGTAGACACACCAGGGGTCCACTTGACATTCCTTCCTCAGATGTCTATTGCATGCTCCCCATGTTCAAGACGGCGTGCTGGGGCTGGTGCGGGGGGCATTCGGGACAGACTTCTGAAATCTCACTAAGCTTCAGTTGGCATTTCTGAAAACAGGTGCAATCACAACTGGTGATTGTGACTGTTGTGAGGACAGCAGAGCTCACGCTGGCATAGCGCATTGCCCCCGATCGCAGTGGACACTGCTAGCTCCTTACCGTTCGATTCTGAACGTTGGTCCTGGGAAAGGAGGCTCAACGTGGCTTGGATGGTCTCATTGCTCTCAGAGGTCAGTCAAGGAGGTAGAGATGTGAGATTGGCCCCCAGAGGAAGAATCCTTGAGTCAAGGAAGCTGAGAGGGGTCAGAATGCGGGGAGAAGCAGGCTGACCATGCAGTCTGCAAGCCCGCTGCAGTGGTGGGTGGCAGGTAGGCAGCCCTGTGGGGTGGGCGCTTCCTGGCTCCCTGTGGGCCTGGCGTGGTGCTCAGACACCACTCCACATGCTGTGTCTGTGTCTCGGATGCATATTGGAAGCCAAATCCTCGGAAATGGGCTGGCACCCATTTCTTTTGGCGCCTTCAGCCAGCGCATGTCAGACTGTTTTTTACGAGTTCAGAAAGGCGCCTTCTGTGGCATGCTGGGCGCTGGTTCTGGCTGAGACATGTATTAGAAACAGTGTGGGCTCCTCAGCAAGGCTGAGCCTGCCCCTGGCCCTCCGGCATTCCATGCAGCATTGCACAGGTCTGTGGGGGCCGCATCACATTCTGGGCCACCTGCTCATGGCAGCGAGTTAGCCTCTGGGTGGCGATGTGCAGCTCAAATGTGTGTTGGGACCTGGGAGTCAGGGAGCTGGGACAGGTGTTCCATGAACCAGTCAGTTAACACTGAAACATGATCTTATATTTGGAAATCCAAGAAAATTCTATTGTAATAAAACAAAAAGAGTAAAGCTTGAAAAATTGCCCTGGCTGCAGACAGGCATAAATGATGGTGCTTTCTCATGGATAGAGGAGGGTGGCAGAAACACAGCTGGGGTAGGACATGCCACTGTTGAAGGCTGTCACTCCTCACGGCTCCAGTCTGCTTCCCCTGGATCAGCCCTGACCTGATGCAGGTCAGCTGTCTCATTCCATATCCTCAGGCAGCAGAGTTGGAACCTTGTGTCAGAAGTGTTCCTCTACCACAAAGGGCACCTGTTATGTTATAGAGAACAGGCTGTGGGGATGGCAGAGGTTGCATAACCCACATCTGTTTCCCAAGTTGCCAAAACATACCAGGGAGGGGAGGAGGCTAGGGCTTCTAGAGTAGGAACTCAGAGCTTTCCCCTCTCAGGGGCCAATCTCACATCATTACCTCCTTGACTGTCCTCTGAGAGTGATGAGACCATTGAAGCCACCTTGAGCCACCTTCACTAAGACCAACCTAGGAGCTCTAGAAGGGACCAGTGTGGGGCAGAGAACTCCACTGTGAGGTTCCTGGAAAACCTGTCATCTTTCCTTGAGCTTTGGGCTGAGTCCTTAGGACCTGGGTGGTTCTCTCAGAGGCAGCCAGAAGCCCTGGGCCCTGGTGCTCAGCTCTGTCCAAGTGAGTGTGAACAGGGTACCCAAGTCAGAAGACGTGGTCTGAGTCGCAGTTGTGTTGTTAGCTGTGTGACCTTGGGCAACTCAACCTCTCTGAGTCCCAGCTTCCATCTTTACAAAGTGGGCATGGCGATTTCTCCCTTCTTCCTCTTGTTAGCATTGAGAGTGTTCCTGTTTCCTTCCCCTGATAAGATTGTAAGCAGTGCCTATATCTCAAAGATCCTCCACTAAAACCAACACAAATACTAACCATCTGTTGGGAACGTTTGTGTGCATATCAGCGTTCAAATGCATTTACATGTGTCCTCTCCATGGGTCCTCCCAACCTGCAGGGACAGGTACTGTTTGGATTCTCATTTCACAGAAGGGGCAACTGAGGCAGAGAGGCAGCACCATGGGCCGAGGCATCTCAGCTACGAGAGGAAGTGCTAAGTGTCTGAACGTGGGCAGCATGGCTGCGAGTCTGTGCTGATGAGCGCGGCACCACTTGCTCCCCAATGAGAGGTCCACAGTCAGTGGTGACAGAGGGCAGTGCCTGACTGGTTCCTGGACTGCTCGCTCTTCAACTGTGAGATTGGAAAGGGACCCTGGCTGACACTCTGAATCCAGCAACTTGCTGCGGGTGGGGAGTTGGCTGTGTTTTCCTGGCTGCACTTCCCCTTTGGCTTCCCTCGGACCCTTCCCTGCTGGCTTTTCGATCTATTTGTTTTCTGTTTCATGGAAAGAAGTTTCTTGTTGAGGAAAGTGAGGCAGGAGGCGACTCGTCTGAGGTCACGTGGCTCATGGCCGCCAAGAGGAACTTGGATCAGATGGTGGCCAGTGCCCTCCCAGCTCCAGGTCGCATAAATGGGTGGCCCTGCAGAAGTAGCTTTTTAAAGATGCAATGGGATAGCATATTAAAGATGCAATGGAAGGGGGAGGGAAGAGGAGAGAAAGAACAAGAGAGAGGGAAGGGGACTCTGGTTTTTCTGTTTTGGAGTGAAATAAAACCTCTGTAGACTTTGCATCAATGTGTTGTCTGTTCTTGTTGTGGTCCCAACTTTGGAGAAGTCAGTCTGGCAAACAGGCTTGCTCAGGATGAATAAGGGAAGGGCAAACAAAATGAGAAGGCCGCCTGTCAGCCTCAGGAAAAGAGCCCAGCAAGGGACCAAAGATGGTCCAGCAGCCTCTGCACCCTTCCTGCCTCTGTGCCTCGCTGGCAGGAGTGTAGGGGGACAGATAGAACCCTGGGCATCCTGGGGAGGGGTGGCGGGGCAGGTGGTTTCATCTGGGACATTCAAAGGGAGCCGTGCACCATAAGCTATTGAGATCTGCTCCTGCCCACACTGGCAGTGGTTAGCATGGGGGCCTCGGGGCCAGGCAGCCTGGGTTTGAAACTCGGCTTATTCACTGGCTGTGAGATCTTGGGAAAGTTACTTACCCACTCTGTGCCTCAGTTTCCCCTGGTGAGAAGCAATGACCTCATAGGGTTGTTGTCAGGTTAAATGAGATAGGTTAGCTATTATTAAGATTAATATTATCAATAGCTTTAATTATAGCTGTCAGTTATATACATGGATTGTTCGAGCCTTGTTTCTGAGTTAATGCATTCGAGATATGTGACAATCAAAAACACTTGCAAATTGTATGCATGTGATTCCTTGCTGGGGCACTGGATGATGGCAGGGAGGACCGAGTGACAAGAAGTGCACAGTCACAGTGAATCCTAGTCCTACCGCTCGCTCCCAGGTGGCCTTCAGCAGTCACCCCACCGATTTGACTTGCCGCATCTAGAGAGTGGGAATGTATTGGTTAGAAATGCTTTTCACATGGGCTTGGTGGCTCACGCCTGTAATCCCAGCACTTTGGGAGGCCGAGGCAAGTGGATCACTTGAGGCCGGGAGTTTGAGATCAGCTTGGCCAACATGGCGAAACCCCATCTCTACTAAAAATACAAAAATTAGCCGAGTGTGGTGGCGTGTGCCTCAGTCCCGGCTGCTTGGGAGGCTGAGGTCGAAGAATCACTTGAGCGCGGAAGGTGGAGATTGCCGTAAGCTGGGATCATGTCACTGCACTCCACTGGGTGACAGAGAGAGACTCCATCTCAAAAAAAAAAAAAGAAAAAAAACCCAAAAAAACAAAAACAAAAACTGCTTTTCACTAGGGGTAACAGAACACTCAGCTGGCATAGGTGTGAAGTTTATTTTAAAACATTCACCTAGCGAGAAATCCAGAGCAGCAGGTCTGGGGTTCTTGCAATGGCCCATCAGGTCTTCCCCACAGGGCTCAGACTCCTTCTGTCTTTTCCCCGTCCACCATTTTTAGCATGTTGGGTCTGTCCTCATGCTGCCTCATGGCCTCAAAATGACTGCTCTACTTCCAGCATCTCATCTATGTTCCAGTTAGAAAGAAGAATAAGCAACTCTGCTCAGGAAGGAGGGGGGACTTCCCTAGGGCCTTTGGCTTACATCTTCTTGGCCAGAATCATGATGGATGATCACCCCAATTTCAACAACATCTGGACAATGGACCCCTTAGAGTCTTTAGCAGAGGAAGGCCAGGGAAGGCGGTTGTGGATGCCTTCCAGGCAGCAAATCCACAGGGCTCGCCATGAGGCTTTGGGGAAGAAATATGTAAAATGCTTACCCTAGGGTCTGACATAGATTAAGTACCCAAGGAAGTGAACACTTTATCTTTATTAGGGAAGTCAGGTAAGGAATGAATTTAAAAAGGGAAGGATTAATGTCTTACAGTGCGAACTGGTCCTTAATAAATGAATTTCCTTCTTGTTCTTCTCTTGGCCTCCATTAGCCCGGTTGGGTTGGCCTCATGTCCCCCCATCTCAGACAAAGCTCCCACTGAAGTCACCAGCGCGGGGGCCACTCTGAGAACCCCTACGCCACCCATGGTCTCTCTCTGCAGACTGGGGGCTTTGTGCTGTCTGGGGAAACTTGGCTATGCCCACCAGTTACAAAACAACTGGAGAGTGTGTTCAGCCAGTGCAGTGCTGTAGCACCCTCAATCTCAGCAGTCCTGGTTAACCCTCCTCTTCCTGCTCTGCCTGGACTCAATTGAGGATTTCGCTGCTGAGGCCCTGAGATGTACAGCTTAGCCTCCGGACTTCTCCAGAAAGATACAGTTCTGTTCTGTGTCGCTTTATTGTTCAGTGTATTTTTAAAAATGTGTTCCTCTGAATAAAATGCAGAATTCATGATACTTTATTAACTAGAACACCCTGGGTGTTTATTGCAATAACGTGTCCTTTGGGCCTTTGATTGTTTACTGGCCGGGGGTAGACTATGCAGGCTCAGGAGGTTAAGGAAGAAAAATTCATTAATTTCACAGCCAACCACAGGTCTCATCTCACAGCCAGCAGCTCACCACCAGCTGGTCTCAGCAACTAATGAGCGTGAACCTCAAACTGGGGTCATTCCTCCCAGACTTTAATGGAGACAGATCTCAAGGTGTTTGGGAACCAGGAGGGGATGGATTGTTAACGAGGAACAGCTTCGAGGACTAATTAAACTTGCCTGCTGCTTCCTGGGTGTGGAGTACCATGGGACAGAGGTGAGGGCGGGTGCAGAGTGCCGGCCGCTGATCTATGGAAGCCAATGATGGCAGCTTTTGATTTACTCTTGGATGGAAGGGAGGAGGGTGAGTTGAATAACAACCCCTTGGAAAGTGGGAATTAAACAGATCTTTCTGCCCAGCCTCCCCTGCTTTATGGACCCTCCAGGGCCCTTGCCAACAAATCACATGATCTTGCTGCCGGCTATCAGCCCAGGTTGAAATAGACAGGATGGGCTGGATTTTGATGGCTGCCTTGGGTGACACTTTGATCAAGGGTACCATCAATCTTGAAATTTTCAGAAAATTGTATGAATTTTATGGGGGGAAGAGACTAGCTGTATTTGTGGGTTAGAAAGCCTTATAAATTAAAATCATGGTTCCTGGTAGTATTTTTGAAGTTCTCTGTGGCGTGTTACATCAATCTTAAGGAATGTCTAACATTTATTTGAGCACTTCCTTGCCTCAGGCACCATGTGGAGGCCTTTTCATAGATGAGTCCCATGTATTAATCCTCCCTACAATTCTATGAAAGAGGAACTGTTACTATTCTCACATTGATGATGCAAAAACTAAGGCTCCAAGAAGTTGTCACCCACCTGGGGCTGCATCGTAAGTACTGGACCAGAGACCAGAACTCCTGCCATTGTGCATCCACTCTGGAATGAATAGCCAGGCAGGTGAGACCAACTGGTGCTGGCCAGGAGCTAAGGACATCTGGGGCCCGGTGTCCCCCTCTCCAAAGCTCACCCTCTTGCCCTGTGAAATGAGGGCTGGCCTTCCAGATCACTGAGACTTTTAGAGGTCAAATGTTCTGTGCCTTGAGGACTGTGATGGTTTATTTATTTATTTATTTTATTAAAAATTTTTTTTTTTTGAGACAGAGTCTCACTCTGTCACCCAGGCTGGAGTGCAGTGGTGGGATCTCAGCTCACTGCAAGCTTTGTCTCCCAGGTTCAAATGATTCTCCTGCCTCAGTCTCCTGAGTAGCTGGAATTACAGGCATGTGCCACCAGACCCACCTAGTTTTTGTATTTTTAGTAGAGATGGAGTTTCACCATGTCGGCCAGGCTGGTCTTGAACTCCTGGCTTCATGTGATCCTCCTGCCTTGGCCTCCCAAAGTCCTGGGATTACAGGCGTGAGCCACGGTGCCTGGCCTGGGATGGTTAAGTTTATGTGTTAATGTGGCCGGGTCACAGACTGCCCCGGTATTTGGCTAAGCATTATTTCTGGGTGTGTCTGTTGTGGGTGTTTCAGGCTGAGCTCAGCACTGGAATCAGTGGCCTCAGTGAAGTTGACTGCCCTCTCCAGTGCGAGTGGGTGTCAGCTGATCCGTTGAAGAACTGAGTAGAAGAGAAAGGCAGAGGAAGGGCCGGGCACGATGGTTCATACCTGTAATCCCAGCACTTTCAGAGGCTGGTGGATCACCTGAGGTCAGGAGTTCAAGACCAGCTTGGTCAACATGGCGAAACCCTGTCTCTACTAAAAGTACAAAAATTAGCCAGGCGCGATGGTGGGCGCCTGTATTCCCAGCTACTTGGGAGGCTGAGGCAGGAGAATTGCTTGAGCCCGGGAGGCAGAGGTTGCAGTGAGCCAAGATAGCACCACTGCACTCCAGCCTGGGCGACAGAGAGAGACTATCTCAAAAAAAAAAAAAAAAAAAAAAAAAAAAAAAAAAGAAAGAAAGGCAGAGGAAGGAAGGATTATAAACTGCGTGTTTGCATACCCCCCACATTCATATGTTGAAGGCCTGATCCCAGGGTGATGGTATTAGGGGGTGGGGACTTTGGGGTGATTAGGTCATGAGGGTGGAACCCTTGTCCCGGGATTAGTGACCTCACAAAAAGAGATGGGAGAGCCCTCTTGCTCTCTCTCTAGCATGTGAGGACACAGAAAGGTGTCATTTGTGAACCGGGAAATGGGCCCTTGCCGGGAACCAAATTGGCTGGTACCATGACGTTGGACTCCCTAGCCTCTAGAATGGTGAGAAATAAATATTTATCATCTTAGCCACCCAGTCTGCGGTATTTTGTTCTGGCAGCTGGAGCTGACTAATGCAGGCAGAACATCCCAAGTGTCTGAGGTTAGCAACTGTTGACATGTAGAGGTAGACGTGAATGCCACAGACATGGAGGGTGGAGGGCAGGGTCCATTATGGTTAGTTTCATGTGTCAGCTTCACCAGGGAACGGCACCAGGTTATTAAACACTAATCTAGGCGTTTCTGCGAAGGTATTTGGTAGATGTAGTTAACACATACAATCAGTTGGCTTTAAGTAAAGGAAATTATACTTGATAATGTGGGTGGATCTCATCCAATCAGCAGAGGGCCTTAAGAGCAAAACCTGAGGTTACCTGAAGAAGAAATTTGGCCACAAGATTGAAGCATTAACTCCTGCCTGACCTTGCAGTCTGTTGGCCTGCCCTGCAGGTTTCAGACTCCATACTTCCAATGCATTTGGAAGTTCGCACCATCAGTACACCTGCCCAAGATTCCAGCCTGCTGGCCTATCCTATAAATTTTGTACTTGCCAACCCCCACAAGCATATGGGCCAATTCCTTAAAATAAATCTCTGTGCCATGGTGAGCAGGTCTATGCAAACCTATCCCCAAAGGCCAAGGGAGCTGAGAGGCTGAAGAAAGAGGCTGACAAATCCAATTTCTCAGAAAGAAACATTTAATAGGGCCTTATGAACAGAAGTGATGTCTCAGATGGCTGAGAGACAGTGGATTCCTGCACCCACCCTCCAGAAAATATCCCTCCTATAGCAAGCTTTTAGGGTAAAACATGTGCAGCTGGTCATGCCTCAGACTTTCTTGCAAAACTCTTGTCCACTGGGGAGGTTAGACGGTATCTTTATGAGCGGCTATCTATGCTATGGGCATTGTTTAAAGGCCTTGCTGTGGAACACCTTGGTCTGCAGGAGTCAAACATTATCATCATGGTGGTTTTGCTACAATCTCTCTCTCTCTGTCAATGTATAGATGTTTATATCTCTAATTAGTTCTATTTCTTTGGGGACACCAAAAGCATCTGCTACAGTCCACCCCTTGCACTGCTCAGATCCTCTTGGGCCTCATGTTAGGTTTGTTTTATCTGTCACTGATTCTTCAAGGTGGTGGCTGGTCCTAGTTCTTTTAAAACAAACAGAAACTTAAAAAAGGAGGCTTTCCAAAGGCTCCATCCTGCTTCCTCATCTACCATGGGTACTTCCAGCACCATGGAATGTGCCAGATCACTGGCCCACATAGCAGAGCCACTTAATCCACAGCCTAAACCTGCTGTAGACTCCTCTCTTACTCTGGGACCCACTCAAACTGGCAGCCATTTGCCCCACCCAGTAAATGTGCTAGAACACTATTCCCAGATGTGGGATGTCTCCAGATTCTAGGAAGGCCTGTCAAGTATTGTGCCTCTATCTTTTTTTTTTTTTTTTTTTTTTTTTTTCAAGGCACAACAGGTAGTTCTTGAACTGGCAGCTTCACTGATGTGCCAGGCCCCTGACTCTTTGTGGGGTTTATTTCCCACCCCTCCTGCACTTGATAATTCTGTGGTACTCCAGGCATGTGGAGTAGACAATAATAAAGCAGATTCTGGTGAGCAGAGGAAGCCCTGGAGGAATGAAAGGCCTTGGAAGTTGGCCAGTGTACACCACAGGGGTATGGGTGAGGGGATATGGTTGGAGCATTGACATCACCTGCCACAGACATCTGGCCTCTCCTACAATCAATGGGCTCTGGTTTAGGTCTACAGAGCAGGTGAGAGACCACAAGTCTCCATTGCAGTGGCTGACAGCAGGCTTCTGCACACCTGCTCTTGGTCTTTTTGGTTTTAGAATTTGAGCAGTACCCTCATCGGCTGCCCATCTGGCCTGTCCTCAGGAGTGCAGTGGTCTATTAGCCCTCCCCACAGGTCTCTGTGGGTCAAAGCCCCCTGTTTGCCATTCCATCCTTGCTGCCTGCTGTTAATACATCATCTCCTACTTCTGATGGTTAAGTGCTGCCAGCTGGCCCCTGTGATTCCAGAATCCAAGCATTTCCACAGATGCTGGAGAACCTGGTTCCATCACAGCACCCCTACCATCCACCCTGGCCTATGGTGGGCCACCACTACTGAACCTCTCAGGAACGAAGCACTCCTCTCATTATCGCTTTAGTTAAGGCTGGTTCTTTCATCTTACATAATTAATCTAGTCTAGTGGGCTCCCCTCTGGGAGCCTTGTAACCCATTCCTAGACTCTCCACCAAGCCAGTTCCCACATCTCCTCCCCAGTTTTTCCTAAGCCTCAAGCAGCAGTCCCAGTGGGTTATTAAGACCATCTCTGAGTGTCCGTACCATGATGTTAGATCCCAAGTCATGGGACGGTGCTCCACATTGATAAACTCTCCTTTATCCAGCATTACGCTTACCCCCTCCTGGCCCAATGCCTTCATTATATGCTCCTAGACATGTCCTCCTTGTTCATGTTGGTTCATTCTGCCAGGTCCTACACCACCACAGTGAGATAGCCCTCTCCTCCCAGAGCAGGTCGGTGCTTCCCAGTTGAACCCCTGAGCCTTGGGCTTCACTATCAGTCTAGAAGCCGTGAGGGGAGGGGGCAACTACTGATAAGGGCAAGCATCATTGCACAAGGCACCTGAGTCAAATGAGGCTCTGCGTGGTCTCCCTGGAGAAGGGGGCAAAGAGGAGGGCACTACCTCTGCTGGCCCCAAAAGCTCAGGAGCATATGCAGGATTAAGTTCCTCCCTCCCACGTGCCCCAACTCTAGGTTTCTAGGACCCACTTCTTCCTTATCATGGCCTTGGCTTCAGCATAGGAAGCTTGCTGGGGCCATGAATCCAGCCTCTGTAACTCTGCTCCTCCACCATCAGATTCTTAGCCTGATTTTCAACACAGTCTGCCCCTGGCTGTGCAGGGTAAGGATAGCTCTAATGCTGTTCTGGAGGACACCTAACTTTTGCACCTTGTCCTGAGTAGCTAGATGGCTGGCCTGAGCCTGTCATCTTTTTCCTTCAGAATTTTGATAGCAGCTAGTGACAGTTAGCAATCCTTATATTGTCATTGCCATATGGCCCTCTGGAGCTAGAGCTATTGTGCTACAGCTATTTCACTAGCCAGTGCATCTTGCCCCACCCATACCCTATCCCAACTCAGCAGGGTGAGTGTTTCTGCAATTGTGATGCCCAGCATACCAGGGGTCACCTGACTACCCACAGTGGCACTCTTTTGCCATCACACTGGCAAAAGATCCAATTTCAGGACAACTTCTTTTTTTTTTTTTTTTGAGTCAGAGTCTCACTCTGTCACCCAGGCTGGAGTGCAGTGGCACAATCTCGGCTCACTGCAAGCTCCGCCTCCCGGGTTCATGCCATTCTCCTGCCTCAGCCTCCTGAGTAGCTGGGACTACAGGCGCCTGCCACAACGCCCAGCTAATTTTTTGTATTTTTTTAGTAGAGATGGGGTTTCACCATGTTAGCCAGGATGGTCTCGATCTCCTGACATTGTGATCTGCCCATCTCGGCCTCCCAAAGTGCTGGGATTACAGGCGTGAGCCACCATGCCTGGCCAGGACCACTTCTTACACAAACTGTCTTGAATTGGGATCCCCTGAGAGAAGACCCTTGTAAGTAGCTTTTTTTTTTTTATTTTT
Organism: Homo sapiens; assembly: GCF_000001405.40. NCBI lineage: Eukaryota > Metazoa > Chordata > Mammalia > Primates > Hominidae > Homo > Homo sapiens. The sequence continues at coordinate 124,208,520 of NC_000010.11, read as the reverse complement.
ATTTTTTAAGGAGGTGCTCTTAGGTAACTTCAGTAGGGAGGTGAGCGAGGAAAGATAAATAAGTCAGCAAAAGGTGTATTATCAAGCCATATTCTAGCTGTGGGCAACTGGAGCTCACACTGAAGAGCTCTGAGCATCAATATGGAACCCAGCTCAGAGTTACCACACCTGAAAGGCGTGGAATCTGGGGTATTGATCCTCCATGTCTCATCATTTGTGGCTTGAGGGCTGCCTCTGGAGACTTATTCTTTAGCCCTTCTGGCACATACAGTCCATGAGCTAAGCGAGCTCTTATAGCAGCAAGAAGTCCTCAGGCAGAGAGTCGTAGGTTTGCAGTAAGCAGCATTTGGCATCCAGAGAAGAATGCTGAAGGGACCCAAGGGGGTGGCTGAGTGCACCTGTTGCAGGGCCCACTGCTGGGGAGTAGTCCATTCTGACCTTGGACAGTCCAGGTTGCAGGAAAGCACTTTCTCAAGATCCCAAACTGGTGTCTGTGGTAGGCTGTATATGGCCCCTCAAAGATATCAGGTCCTCGTCCCGGGAACCTATAAATGTTACCTTATTTGGGAAAAGAGTCTTTGCAGATGTGATTAGGTTAATCATCTCATTTAGCTGGGGGAGGTTATCCTAGATTATTTGAGTGTGTCCTTGTGAGAGACAGAGGGAGGTTTGAAGACAGAAGAGGAGAAGGCACTGTGGCCACAGAGGCAGAGGCTGGAGCCATGCAGCCACAGGCCCTGGATGGCTGCAGCACTAGAAGCTGGAAGAGGCTAGGAATTTTTCTCCCCTAGAGCCTCTGGAGGGCGTACAGCCCTGATGACACTGCGATTTTGGCTCAGTGACCTCCAGATTTCAGCCTTCTGACCTCCAGAACTGTGAGAAAATACATTGGTGTTGTTTTAAGCCACCAAGTGTGTGGTATTTGTTACAGCAGCCACAAGAAACTCATACAGTGTTTCGGGATTTCATTCCATGGCTCCCGGCTCCCCTCCTCCCCCAGGACAGATCTCCCCATGTTTGTAGAAATGCCCAGTGCTTCCTGTGTCTTTTTTCTTGCAGGCAAAGCTAAACATAAGTTTGTCTCTACTTGCAGTCCCGGACCTCAGGAAAGACCCTAATATCAGTGGGGCCTGATCAACACCTCACCAGAGCTTTGTCCTCCCAGAATAACTTGAGAAGAGCCCACAGAGTGTGGCTGTCACGCCTGTGCTTGTCCCGCCAACCTCTGTTCATGCTGCTCAAATTTCCATAGACCCTTGGGGAAGCTTTGTTGCCAACCTGAGCTGCATTTGTCTGCTAACACACAGTAGGTTCTGGGAGGTGAGTAGGTCCATCTTGCTCACTAGGGTGTCCCATGCTTAGTCTTGGCACCATCTTCTAGGGCATCTGTAATCCCCAACATATCTCAGTCTTGCTCATAGAGATGGGGCCACACGGGAAGGATTCTGGCCTTTCTACCCAGCCAGATTCCTTCTTTCCCACAAAGGGAGAAGGTTCTGAATTGGTTGGAAGAGTCTGGCCTTCTCTGGGTCATGTTTTACTAGCAGACACAGTCATTTTCTCAAAAGGTGATACATGTTTACAGACATGCTCAGCTTCACCTGCAGCCAGGATTGTTGGCGACCCAGCCATCCTTGTTCATGGGCCTGGGTGGATGCGTGGACTCAGCATCTGTTCCACTGAACCACTCTCCACAGGAGGGAGTGCATTGCAGGAATCCTCTTCCAGGCCTCAAGCCCACGCGTTAGCTCAGCTTTCCCAAGAAGCTTTGCACCAGGGACTGCTGGGTGCTTGCCTAGCTGTGGAGAAGATGCATACTGTATTTCACATTTGGCAATGAGAATCCTTGCCAGTGATTCCTCATATGTGTTGTTTTTGGCAGGAACCAGAGGAGGTGAGTGGGAGATTTTAGACCCAATACCCTACCCTCAAAATTTAAGAGGCCACTAGGAGAGCTGGGAGGTAACTCACAGCAAATGCTCAGTGCATGGTAGCAACTACAGCCACCTCCGTTATTATGATTTCTTCCACTGTTCAGTAAATAGTTGTGGAACTGGAGGAATGAATGACAACTGCAGATTTAAGCATGCTTCCTGTTTGAAAGTTTGTTGGGCCTGTTCTCCAGTAAATTTTTGGGGGCAAGATGAGGAAGAAGGAACATCAGTCTTGGACCAACAAAGACCAGAGAAGAGGAGATTACACCTTGGAGAGGAGTTTGTATTTTTTTTTGAGACAGAATCTCACTCTGTCGCCCAGGCTGGAGTGCAGTGGCACAATCTCAGCTCACTGCAACCTCCACCTCCCAGGTTCAAGTGATTGTCATGCCTCAGCCTCCTGAGTAGCTGGGATTACAGGCATGTGCCACCATGCCCGGCTAATTTTTTTGTATTTTTAGTAGAGATGGGGTTTTGCCATGTTGGTCAGGCTGGTCTCAAACTCTTGACCTCAGTGATCCACCTGCCTTGGCCTCCAAAGCGCTGGGATTACAGGCCTGAGTCACTGCACCCGGCCGGGAGTTTGTATTTTCAGTCTTAACTGGGCTTCCTGTTGGTTGTAGCTGGTGTCAGTTTGGCTTCATGGGCTTCTGACCTTGGAATACGAGCTAACGTGCTCTCCTCCTCATTGCTTTGGTGCCCTGTGGGTCTTCACGTGGCTGAGCATAGGGATTTGAAGTAACAATGAGTGAGAAATGAAGGTGTTCCAACAAACAACAGCCAGACCTGCACTGGGCCTCCTCCCAGAGTGTGGAAGCTCAATCCGAATCAATGCCAGCCCAAACCAAGCCTGAGCTTGCCATGACCCTTTATATGTGGAAGACTGTCTCTCTGTGCCCTCCTCTGTGGCTGGGCCTGCTGCCAGCATTCTCTTTACCACTGGTCAGTCCTCACCTGAGGTCCCAGAATGCCTGGTAGCTGAGTCCAGAGGTATCAGGACCAGTGCTTGTCACTAACTTCCAAAGAGTAATCACAGATTACTAGTTCTCCAAGGGTGTAAAGCCTGGCTGAATCTGGCAAAAGTTTCTACCTGGGTCACCCAGGACCCTGATGACCAGAACCTTAATACAAACCATCTGGGCATCTTGTTAAAATGCAGATTCTGATACTGTAGGTCCGAGGTGGGGCCTGATGGTATTTCTAACAAGCTCCCAAGTGGTGCTGATGTAGCTGAGCTGTAGACCACACTTTGAGTAGGGCAAATCTGGAGACACCGAATTCACTGGTTGAATATTTGTTGTGCTTCAACTTCAGGCCACTTTCTGCAAAGCTTAAACAAATCTCAAGATTCTACATTTCCATTATGTGGAATGCTGTTTTCATGATTTTGTTGCTGCTAAGATTTTTGCATTTGAAACTTCATTGGGAAATATCTCCATTTTGCTTAGAACAGAAAATCAACTGGAGTCATTTTCCCGGAGACCACACCTGCTCTTGACTCTCATCTTTTAGGCTGAAGATTTTGAGTGGATTTGACAATGTCCCCTTCTGCAGGTTCTCTAGGACTTCTCTTCAAGAATTAACAACAAAGTCATCCTGATTGCACATTCAAATGGAAGGCACCAGAGAACTGGATAAAACAATGCCATTTCCTTCTGTTTGGCTGTGTGCCAGTGCAGGGGATTTAGCAAAGAGCTCAATGCCTTTGCGCCCAACCCCACACCCTCTGTACCTTGCTTTGATGGAGAACAGCACTGGCCTCCCAGGCTCCTGCTGCTAGAACCTGACCTTTTCCCTGGCCTCTGAGCATTTTAGGGATGGGGATCACGTATACCCATCTCTGCAACTCTGGTGCCTCACTCACCAGTTGCCTAATAAATGTGTGGATTAAATATATACCTCTCAAATAGCTGTTTTTTAATCTCCCTGCCTGAGGGGATAAGAGACTTGCACATGGCCCCATGGCCAGTGATAGAGAAGGGCAATTCTTCACGACTTTCCTGAACCGAGTCTATAACCTCATGTAGGAGGGGCCTGGAGGCCATCTTGTCCAACCCCTCAATGAGTTGCTAAACTGAGGCTAGGCAGGGACAATGACTTGGCCCAGGCTCTATATCAAGTCAGAACAGCTGGACCTGAAGTCTGGTTGCCATGATGTAGGTCTCTTCCTCTTCCACCTTTTGGATTCTGTTTGTTTTACCACCGCCCCCCAAAAAATATCAAAAGGAAAGATAATTTTCAGGATGCTCTAAGCTATCTAAAGAGAGAAAGAGGGCTGGCCCTGTGAATTTTGTTGCCTGCAAGGCTTGGGATGCCCAGCCTTTGTCCCTTGACCTCCCGTGGGCGCACTATCTGAGATTCACAGAGCATGTATACCATTTATCTTGGAGCAATGATGAGACCTGGTGACTTTTTAGTTTTATTTTTCATTTGAGGATGCAATGTGATGCATAAGAAATGACCCAAACTTTAAAAAACATGTATCTTGGGACCTAGCAATTCCATTTTTAGGAATCTCTTTTGCAGAAATTCTTATACACACGCACAAAGATTTATGTATAAGGATATTTGTTGCAGTTTGTTGGAAACAAATGTCCATCGGTAGGGAGGGTGTTTAAAGAAATGATAGCAAATCCATCCTCCTGAAGGTTCTGCAGTCATTGAAAAGAATGAGGAAGAGCTTTTTATGTACCAACTTGGAGAGATGTTCAGGATACATCATTAAGTAAAAAAAGTGAATCACAGAAAAATATGCATAGGAGAACCCTGTTTATGTTTTAATAAAATTATGTATGTGTATCTAGATATATAGGAAAGATCAGAGAAGATACACAAAACTGTAAAGAGTGCTTCCTCTGGGGGAGAAGTAGATGGTTGAGGGCAAGGTAAAGATGGGCTTCTAATTTTAATTACTTATGTTAGAATTCTGAACAAAAAAATCAATACGGATGGTTGTTATATATTCATATAATATTATTGCTGTGATTTAAGAAAATGTATAGAGGGAAGCAAACAAGGGCTTTGGTATCATTCCAACTACGTTTGATCCTTATTTTAGTTATCTTTTGCTATAAAAACAAATTATCCCAAAACCTAGGTGCATAAAATCACACACATTTATTACCTCACAGTTGCTATGGGTCAAGAACCAGGGTTCTCTGACTCAGGGCCTCTCAGAAGGTTGGAACCAAGATGTTGGCTGGGGCTGTGGTCTCATCTGAAGACTCTGCCAGGGAGGATCCTATTCCAAGGCCACTCATGTGGTTGTCAGCAGGATTTGGTTTCACACAGGCTGTTGTAGTAAAAACCTCAGTTTCTCAGTGGCTGTTAGCCAGAGACCACCCTCAGTTCTTGCCACACAGTGCTCTCCATGGGGCAGCTCACAACATGATTTCCTTCAGAGGGATTGAGCATGTGGACAGAGGAAAAGGGAGCAAGATGGACAGCAGTCTTCTGGGACTCAATCTCAGAAATGATGGCCCATTACTCTCGCCACATTCTATTCATCAGAAAGTGTCACCAAGTCTTGGCCACACTCATGGGGAAGGGATTCTACTTGGAGGTGGGGATCGCTGATAGCCAACACTGCCTGCCACAACTCCAGTCTCTTGTAATCACTGTTTACAAGCTGTGTGTCTTGGGGTGGTCACTTAAAATCTCCAGGTCCCAGTTACTTCATCTGTAAAATGAGCTGATAACAGCTGTCTCACGGGGTCATAGCAAGGACCATATACACCAGTGTGTGTGAAAAATCCAGGCGCAGAGCTAGCACATGGTGGGTAGGCCATGCTGTCCATCCCTCCCCGTAGCCATGAAAGATCTGTGGCTTACACATTTTTCATGATTGTTTCTACAAGTTAGAAATCTATCCATGCAGACCCTGCCTCTCCAGAAACTCACTTTTGGGGAATTCTCCAGATAAAACTATGTTTATGTCAAGGAGCCTGGAATAAAGTGCTCTCTATTTAAAGGCTGCCGACATAGGAGCAGGCAGGATCGGGTGCAGTGTTAATAACTGTGATATGAGCATGAAGGTACCATAGATTATGGAACACTTGGAGAAAATGGGGCCTTTTACAGTGGGTCTCAGTCATTAGCAAAATTCCGCATTCAAAATTAGTCAGAAAAGGTAATTAGTGTCAAGGAGTGATTGCAGCCGCATCATTAACGTGACGGATGTTGGTGCAGGCTCATGCTAATGACTTATGGAATTTTCATTCGGGAGACAATCGGAGCAATTTGGTGGTCAGCAGACAGTCTGAGAATCAATCACCATGATAGTCAATAATTTATCATTTCTATTTAAAGTCTGCAATCTGCATCAGCTTAAACAGAATTGAGTCCTGATGGAGGAAGGTTGGCACCCAGCAAAATCCTGAGGCCTGGCACAGTCTATTTAAGTGGTATTCGTTGTCTCCCGGCTGCAGAGCAAACGGGAAAGTTGTTTGAAGAATTTGCTTCCAATTCCGTTGTGGGGTGGAAGCAGCCACATGCTACTCCTGCTGGGAAATCAGGAGTTACACGTTAAACTAGATTTAGCTTTACAAGTTCATCTTTGGGAGCTAGACTAAAGGGCCCTCTCTTTCAGTGATCTCTGAATGTTATCCTTGGTAACTGCAAGGTGGGGTGGGGTTACCTTCCATTCATTGGGAGGATACTGACTCAGAGGGCCCAAGTATTTCTAAAGGACACCCAGCTAGGAAGTGACAGTGGGAGTTCTGACATTGGTCTTGGGTAGTGTCCATTCAGCATGAATAATATTAATGATAACAATAATAACAATAGCAATAGTTTTTTTTTTTTTTTGAGACAGGGCCTCTCATATGGTTTGGCTGTGTCCCCACCCAAATCTCATCTTGAATTTCCATGTGTTGTGGGAGGGACCCAGTGGGAGATAATTGAATGATGGAGGGTGGATCTTTTCCATGCTGTTCTCATGATAGTGAAAAAGTCTCATGAGATCTGATGGTTTTAAAAATGGAACTTTCCCGGCACGAGGTCTCTACTCTTGTCTGCTGCCATGTGAGATGTGCCTTTCACCTTCTGCCGTGATTGTGAGGCCTCCCCAGCCATGTGGAACTGTAAATCCAATAAACCCCTTTCTTTTGTAAATTGCCCAGTCTTGGGTATGTCTTTATCAGCAGCATGAAAATGGACTAATACAGCCTCACTCTGTCACCCAGGCTGGAATGCAGTGATGCGATCTCAGCTCGCTGTAGCCTCAGTGTTTTGGAGTTAAGCAATCCTCCCACCTCAGCCTCCCGAGTAGCTGAGACTACAGGTGTGCACCACCATACCAGGCTAAGCAATAGTTCTTGAGTGGTTATTGTATACTTGGCACTTGCTGAGCATTTCACATGTTATTTCAATTTGATCTTTACAGATGGAGGCTTAGAGGGGTGGAGCAAATTGCCCAGGATCACACAGCAAGGAATTACAGGGGTGATCTTCAATCTCAGATCCTGGTCTGCTAAGTACCATGTTATTGAGCTGCTGGGTGCAGGAGATTGATGCTAAATTCTTCTTACCTCAGCTAACTCATCTATAAAACACGAATAATAATGTGCTCCCTATACAATTTTGGGAATTAGTTGCTTGGTAAGCTGTTATGCAGGGTGCCTAAAGCCTGAAGGAAGGCAGCTATGATCCTGGTAACTGCAGCACACGGCCGGCCCCTGAGGGTGCCCACCTCCACCTGCATCCTTCTCAATCCCGCTGAGGCACCGAGTCCTGCCTGGCTGCTCTTAACAGAGTCTCATGTGCGCAGCACTCCATTTCCAACTTATATTACATTTGGTCTCTGGATGCTGCCAGATTATCTTTCTGCTACATTATGCCCTTGAGTCCTCTCTCCAAAACTTCCAGGGGCTTCCAAAACCCAGGCTTCTCAGAGTAGCATTCAAGACCTCCTGACCCCACTCCCTTGCATAATCTAGCTCCAAACTGTCTCCAGAAAATTCCCTTCTGCAGGTGCCCACTGCCGGCTCTGATTCCTCCTTCTTCCCTACCTCCTTCTCTTTCCTCCCCATCATTGTCACCGTAGTTATTATCTTTTTCATGACAATGACAATAGGCCCTCATGGCAGCATCTCAAACCTTCCAAGTTCCCAGGAAAGTGTCCCTGTTCCTGCCCTGTCCCTGTCCCCAGGTAGGGACTCTCAATACTTTTCCCGAACATTCTCAAGATTGAGGCTGCTCAAATATGCACCGGCATCACTTCCGTGCCCAGGAAGCCTCAGAGCTATGGGTGAGGTTGGAGACAGCCTTCACTGGAGAGAGGGTGAGCTCCCTGCATGGCTCTATCCTTCATGCAGTGGCCATGTGGTCCAGATTATAAGCATTTTCTTTGTCCTTTTCTCTGTGTCTCATATCATAAGGCAGGCTACGAGTCATCATTTTTGGCTCAAAAATGATGGTCACCAAACCTCCATCCTGGGGCTGTCAGACTTTCAGGGAAAAGGGAAATCCCTGAAATCTCCTGCACAGATTTTAAAGAGAGGGCTCCTAGCTTTCCTAAGATCCTCAGGAGTCCATGACTGAGAAAGGCAGCCCTGGCCGACTCAGGCTGCTGGAGGGGCGACCTGAGAGATCCTCCACAGCTACCCCTCCCCAGAGTCCTGAGATTGGAAACCAGTGGCTGGAGGGAAAAGAAATCTGCAGCCAGTTTGCTGCCTGGACATTGGTTTTGTAGGAAGCTGTGGGCCTCAGGAAGTAAGAGCTAACATAGAGTTCTAGAATGTTCCAGGTAGTGTTGAAAGCATTTTATGCAGATAAACTCATTTATTTCTCCTCACAACCCTAGGACTAGGCACTGGTATTAGCTTTTCATTATGGGTTGGAAAATATGTCCAGGGAGCTTAAATAATTTTCCCCAGGTCATGTGGCTAAAAAGTGGGGAAGCCAGATTCCAATGCAGATAACCAGGCACCAGGACCCATGCACTCAACTAGACAACTTCCATGGCCTCCAGCCTAGAAAGTGAACCCCACTGCCCACTGACCCAGGGGTGACCCAGACCCTCTCTGATGCCACCTGGAGACAGGAGCCCCAGGGATCTCCACCCAGGTATGGTTTATCTTTCTACTTTGCTTGGGGTGGTTTTGCCATGCAAAAGGGTTTTCTTTGAGTGCACTCAAATGTAATAGTCTTTCCCCTTATTGCTTCTGGTAAGAAAGTTTTCCCCACACTCAGGTTGTATAAACCTTTCTCATGGTTTTCTCTCGCACCTAGAGGGTTTCCGTTTTTATATGTAAATGTCTGACCCATTTTAGATTTTACCCCAGCGTATGATGTGAGTTCCAGGGCTGACTTTTTTCATATGGCTGTCCAATTATCTCAAGCCCACTTATTAAAAAGAAATCATCTCCTAACACAGATTTGTGAAGCTGGCTTTCTGATATAATAACTTTCCAGATGCAGTTGGATCTATTTCTGGACTCTCTTTCGGTCTCATTGGTCTGTCTGTTTATTCATGTGCCAATACCAAACTCCTAATTACAGGCTTTGCAGTATGTGTTAATGTCTGGTAGTGCTGGCCCCATATGGCTCTTCTTTTTCTAGGTTCTCCTGGCTAGCTTTGTGTTTTTGTTCATTCAAATAAACTTCATAATCAACTTACTGAGGTCCAGAAAAAAATCCTGGTGGTATTTTAAAAATCGCAATTGTATTCAATCTGTAAATTAAGTTAGGTGGAATCTTTAGGATTATGTTCCTTTAGTCAAGAACATGGTGTGTCTCTTCATCCAAAATACAATTTTGAGGGGAAAAATAAGTTTCAAGAAGATATTAATACATACAGAATGATTACCATTTAAGTGAATTTTTAAAAACACACAAGAGTCCATATAGCTATGGAGCCATATATGGGTTGTAAACAGACTAAAATCAGGATGTGAATGACCCGCACCATTTCAGGGCAGGGGTTACTTCTGGGGAAGAGGGAAATCATGAAAAATGGGTGGTTTTAGCTGGTTTTAAGCCATTTAGGAGAGAGAGAGAGAGAGATTGATTTTAAGCAACTATGGCAAATGCTTGACCTTGGTGGAGGATAGTCTTATATTATTTTTCTATACTTTTCTCTGTTTGAAGTATTTCATAATTAAAAACAAAAGAAAAAAGCAAAGATCTGTTTCCACCGCTTAAGGGTGCTCCCCAGAAAATAACACATTTTAATTTCCTTTTATGTGGTTCTGGAGAAGTCGCCTGCTGGCTGGGCCTCTGTCAGGGGAAGCCTGAAGTTCCTTCCATGGAAAGAAATTCTATTAAGACTTTGCAGCCATCTCGGCAGCTGGAGCGGGAAGATTTCCTTTCTTTAAACGGGCATCCTTAGCACCAGGCTCCTTTAACTGCTAAGGATGAGAGTCTTGGGTGTGAGTTTTGGAGTTTAATGAAATCTCACAGTCTCCTGAATTTGTGATCAGAAGGGTTTTACAGTATTAAAAACCTGTTTCTCAATATGTTGTAAACATCTCATTTCTTACTTTACATCCACCCTCACGCAAGATTTAAAATCACCAGGGGAAAAAAACCCCAACAACTTCCAAATGGAAGAGGGAATCATTTCTCCTCCTGACTATACAATCGTCTTACAAGAGCCTTATTCGGAACAGCTGGCAGGAAATCATATTTTCACAAACCGATTTATTGCACAGCCCTAATACTGCCTGTTTCAATAGGACTTCCGCGAGCAGATTTAGACTTGGGTTATGCGGTGGGTCCATTCAGAACCATTTTCCTCTGTGACGAAACGTTTTCATGACAAAAGTGGCCCAAATCAACGCACCGTGCTCCTTAGAATTCTTGGCCTGGCAGCAAACACGCTTCAGGAGGCCTGCGCGGCTGTCGCCTGCATGGGCCTTCCCAGCGAGCTGTGTTTGTTTTCTGAAGCGTGCTTAATGTGGGCCCAGCCACGGGACACAATTGCTTCATTTCTATTCTCGGCAGTGGCCATGCCTACATTACAACCGCCTGCCTGGGCCCACACAAGATTTCCAGAGAAATGAGCATGGCATTAGACACTCCGTTTTACATGAGGAGAAGCAGCAAAAGGCAGTTGGGCCTGGCAGCCTCACTCCCTCCCCAGAGATGTCTGAGTGGACGGGAAGGCCTCGTGGGTGTCACTGTTGCCTCAAGGAATAATTCCCCTCCAGGAAAGTCCCCGCCAGCGTCCTTTATAAAAAGACTTCCATTGCCAGTGAGGGAGTTAATTCTGAGACAGCACAGCCAACATATGTAACCCTTTGGGAAAAGTGCTAAGTCAAGCTGGGATTCCCCACCGAGGGCTCCAGAGCCTCTGCAGTCTCTCAGGAAAAGAAAATCTTGGTATAAGCATATTAAAGTTGCTTTTCTTGAACCGGAAAAGGGGAATGGGAGGAGGGTTCTCCAAATTTTACCAGAAAAAAAAATGTCCTGAGGAAACATTTGACCTTGGAATTTTTAACTGGAATCATGAACAGAAAGAAATGGGGAGTGGGGGAGGAAAGAAAGTTGGCTTCCCATTCTATTCTCGGTCTTTCTGCGGGGTTGAACTTTGAAACGCTGAGTTTTGTCCTGGGTGGGTGAGTCCAGGGAAGATGAAGGCCCCACGCTGGGGAGTGACCTGGAAGGGTCCCTGAAGGAAGCTGTGGGCTTCAACTCAGATGTTCAAATCGAGATTCTTCATCTTTCCCCAGAGCCCTCTCATCCTGTGGTTTCCTTGGCTGTTCATTGACCCACCATTCTACCAGGCACGGGTGGTGACATCTCCAGCTCCTCCCATTTCCTGGCCACCCAGGGCCATCAATGGCCAAATCACGTGATTCTTCCTCAAAACTCCCCTTCTATCTGTCCCTCACAGACTCCCAGCCATGGATGGCAATGACTTCTCAGTGAGGCTTCCTGCCTTCAGTCTGGTTTTCTTTGCTTCTTTCATTTTATAAAATGCCTAGATTGAGCTTCCCAAAGTACAACTGTGATTGTGTTACTCTCCTGCTCAAGAACATTCAAATGCTCCCCATTGTTTATGGCATAATGTCCAACTGACATCTCAGCTTCCCTTCCATGCTCCGACTCCTCTCCGCCTGTATCTCATGCTCCCTTGGTTGCTACCCCAGCCATCCTGACCTCTCTCTTGCTCCTTGAGCCCTGTAAGAGCTTTCCAAATTCAGAGCATTTGCACCTGGAACCCTAATACTCTTCTCATGGCCAGTTCTTCATCTTTTAGAACTTGGATTAAATATCACCTTCTCAGAGAAAACGTACATTATCACCAGTCATTCTGTTACTCCACCACATTAATACAACACCCTTCTCAGCAATGATCACAATTTATACTTATTTATTTGTTGCTTTGTTTATTTGTTTATTGTATGTTTCCTCATATAATTCTTTGAATATTATAATTCATTTTATTTTATCTTAATAGGTTTCCTCATATAATTCTTTGAATATTATAATTCATTTTATTTTATCTTAATAGGTTTTTGGGGAACAGGTGGTGTTTGGTTACATGAACAAGTCCTTTAGCGGTGATTTCTGAGATTTGATGCACCCATCACCTGAGCGGTGCACACTGTACCCAGTGTGTAGTCTTTTATCCCCACCTCCTACCCTTTCCCCAAATCCCCAACGTCCATTGTATCCTTCTTATGCCTTTGCATCCTCATAGCTTAGCTCCCACTTACGAGTGAGAATATATGATGTTTGGTTTTCCATTCCTGAGTTACTTCACTTAGAATCATGGTCTCTAATTCCATCCAGCCTGCTGCAAATGCCATTATTTCATTCCTTTTCATGGCTGAGTAGTATTCCATGGTGTATATATATACACCACATTTTCTTCATCCACTCGTTGATTGATGGCCATTTGGGCTGGTTACATATTTTTGCAATTGCAAATTGTGCTGCTATAAACATGAGTCTGTAAGTACCTTTTTCATATAATGACTTATTTTCCTCTGGGTAGATACCCAGGAGTTGGATTGTTGGATCTAATGGTAGTTCACAGGGGCAGGAAATATGTTTTCTTAATTCCTCCATGAATATTTAGTAACTAGCCCAGCAAATGGCATACAGCAGGCAATCAATTATTTATTGAATAAATAAATGAGCATTTTAGGATAAATTATTAGAAGAAACCTACTGAGTCAAAGGTACTGTGAACATTTTTGAGGTTTTGGATGCACATTTCCAAACTGCTTTCCAGAAAACTGTGCAACTGTGCACTCTGTTAGCAGTGCGTGCAGTCGGCTGTGCAATTGGCCATTTCACTACATATTTGCCAGCACTGAGTATTATTTTAAAAATGCTTGCCAGTTTGAAGTTGAAAATAGTTAATTTGATTTCTAATGGATTTGAATGGTTTTTCATATATTGTAGTCTTTTGTATATCTGTTTTTCATACATTTTATTTATTTCCTTATTCATCTTCCTCTTGGACTTTTTAAAGCTATTCATGCATGTGTGTGTGAGAATCACTCACTTTTCTATTGGCGGTGCTGGAATACCACAACTTTTGGTTACTTGCAAGACACGGACACTTTTTACAGAAACTTGCAGAGGTTCCTTTTCTCTTTTTTAAAATATGGTTTGTGTTTGCAGCTCTTTGGACATCATTCCTTATCCAGGTCTCTGTGACCTCTAAGTGAGTTTGCAAAAACAAAAACCTTCAGACCACTTATTTGACTTGATGAGTATGGTTTGCATGTTTTATCTGGGGCTTGGGATATTGTATAGACACAGACACTGGCCCCCATGGGGAAAGTTAAAGAGCTTTAAAAACAGATTCCTTTTCTGTGCTTGTTTCATTTTCCTCATAAGAATACCTGGCATCTTTTTACATGGCAGACAAGATGGAGCAGTTCCCTACCAGTCAGGCACTGTGTGTGCCAAAGCAGGGATGAGGAGGACACTGCATGTTTGCACACTGCTCTCAGCAAAGGGCTTCCAGATGCCTTCAAAATGGTCTCAGCTTAGGCCATAGGCATGCAAATGTTTGAAGTGTGGTTTCCTAAGCAGGAGCACCTGTGCAAACTTATTATTGACCATAATACAGAGTCAAAGGGTCTCTCTTTGGCTCGTTCATTCATTCATGCAGCAGATATTCAGAAGCTGGGAATCCAAAACAGGGCCAGGCAGACAAGGTCCCTGCCCTTGTGGACTCTGCGTTTCATGGGGAGAGACAGGAAGAATGATGTGTTGGAGAATAATACTGGGATGTGCTTCAGAGGAAGTGTTTGGAAAGAGAACATTGGCCCTCTTAGGCAACTGCCAAGAGGAACAGAGACCCATTAGGTGTGTCTGTTGGATGACATGCCTAATTGTGAGGCCTCCATCAGGTTCTGGGAAAGAAACTGCAAATTACCCACCAAGCCCATCTTTTCTTTCTTCATACTGGAACCCCCAAGTTTACCTGGGTATAAGCCTGTCATGAAAACAAAAACAAGCAAACAAACAAACAACAAACAAAAAACTGACAATTGGATTACATTTAGGCCAATGGGATATGAACCGAAGGGGTGTGTGCAACATGTGTTGTCTTTAATAGAAGACATGCTTTATGTCCTCCTTCTTCCTTCTGCTCAAAAGATGTAATGGCTGCAGCTCCAGCACCCATCTTGGACTAGGAGGAAAAAGTTGTATGCTGGACAAACCAGCAATCCTGAGAGAAATTACAGACTCTCTGAAGGAAGCAGACTGCTCCTGCAGGACCCAGGAGACACCCCAAATACTGTGAGTGCCCCAACCCTCCTCTCCCAAACACACTCCCCCACTGGAGAAACTGAAGGTCTGTTTGCAGGAAAAGTTTCCAACCTTACCTGAAGCTGAGCCAATTTAGAGAGCTGAGCGAAATACAGGGGTAGAGGAAGCAGCAGAAAGGCCCTGGGAGCTCACTGGGTCCCCTAGCAGGTCATTTCTGCTGGCACCACAGGGATCCATCGGGAGGGTGACCAGAGGAGCAGGGGGCAAAACTCCACAGAAAGAAGGAATTCTCAAGCTGAACTTTGTAAGGCCTCGTGGCCAGAACTTGGAGGAGGGTGCAAATCCAGAGTGCAGACTTCACAGGCGGGGGAAGAACCAAGCCCTTTTCTTTCACTGCTGGGAGTTGGGTAGCCTGGGGCAAGTTTTCAAGCCCCTGTCGCCCACCACCTGGAAACAGACTTGGGGCTATTGGTGGAGGCGCGGTGGGAGAGACTAGCCCTTCGGTTTGCATGGGAGCTGGGTGAGGCCTGTGACTGCCAGCTTTCCCCGACTTCCCTGACAACCTGCATGACTTAGCAGAGGCAGCCATAATCCTCCCAGGTACACAACTCCAGTGGCCTGGGAATCTCACCCCCATCCCCTACAGCAGCCACAGCAAGACCTGCCCAAGGAGAGTCTGAGCTCCGACATGCCTACCCCGCCCCCACCTGATGGTCCTTCCCTACTCACCCTGGTAGCAGAAGACAAAGGGCATATAATCTTGGGAGTTCTAGGGCCCCACCCCCTGCTGGTCCCTCTCTATACTACTACAGCTGATGCTTTCTGGAAAGCGCCACCTCCTGGCAGGAGGTCAACCAGCACAAAAATAGAACATTAAACCACCAAAGCTAAGGACCCTCACAGAGTCCATTGCACACCCCCACTACTTCCACCAGAACAGGCTCTGGTATCCATGGCTGAGAGACCCATGGATGGTTCACATCACAGGACTCTGTGCAGACAACTCACAGTACCAGCCCGGAGCTGGGCCCACTTACTGGGTGACTAGACCCAGAAGAGCAACAACAATCACTGCAGTTCAGCTCACAGTAAGCCACATCCACAGGAAAAGGGGGAGAGTACTACATCAAGGGAACACCCGTGGGACAAAAGAATCTGGACAACAGCCTTCAGCCCTAGACCTTCCCTCTGACAGAACCTATCCAAAAAGAGAAGGAACCAGAAAACCAACCCTGGTAATATGACAAAACAAGGTTCTTCAACACCCTCCAAAAATCACCCTAGCTCACCAGCAATGGATCCAAACCAAGAAGAGAAGAAATCCCTGATTTACCTGAAAAAGAATTCAGGAGGTTAGTTATTAAGCGAATTAGGGAGGGACCGGAGAAAAGAGAAGCCCAATGCAAGGAAATCCAAAAAATGATACAAGAAGTGAAGTGAGAAATATTCAAGGAAACAGATAGCTTAAAGAAAAAACAATAAAAAATTCAGGAAACTTTGGACACACTTTTGGAAATGTAAAATGCTCTGGAAAGTTTCAGCAATAGAATTCAATGAGTAGAAGAAAAAAATTCAGAGCTTGAAGACAAGGTCTTTGAATTAACCCAGTCCAACAAAGACAAAGAAAAAAGAATAAGAAAATATGAACAAAGTCTCCAAGGAGTCTGGGTTTATGTTAAACAACCAAACTTAAGAATAGTCGGTGTTCTTGAGGAAGAAGAGAATTCTAAAAGTTTGGAAAACATATTTGGGAGAATAATCAAGGAAAACTTCCCTGGCCTTGCTAGAGACCTAGACATCCAAATACAAGAAGCACAAAGAACACCTGGAAAATTCATTGCAAAAAGATCTTCACCTAGGCACATTGTCATCATGTTATCCAAAGTTAAGATGAAGGAGAGAATCTTAAGAGCTGTGAGAAGAAGTACCAGGTAACCTATAAAGGAAAACCTATCAGATGAACAGCAGATTTCTCAGCAGAAACCCAACAAGCTAGGAGGGATTGGGGCGTTATCTTCTACCTCCTCAAATGAAACAACCCTCAGCCAAGAATTTTGTATCCGGCGAAACTCAGCATCATATATAAAGGAAAGATACAGTCGTTTTCAGACAAACAAATGCTGAGAGAATTTGCCATTACCAAGCTGCCACTACAAGAACTGCTAAAAGGAGCTCTAAATCTTGAAACAAATTCTGGAAACGCATCAAAACAGAACCTCTTTAAAGCATAAATCACAATAAAACAAAAATACGTGTTAAAAAGCAAAAAACAAAAAAAAATCGAAGTACACAGGCAACGAAAAACACAATGAATGCAACAGTACCTCACATTTTAGTACTAACATTGAATGTAAATGGCCTAAATGCTCCGTTTAAAATATACAGAACTGCAGAATGGATAAGAACTCACCAGCCAACTATCTGTTGCTTCCAGGAGACTCACCTAATGCATAAGGACTCACATAAACTTAAAGTAAAGGGGTGGAAAAAGGCATTTCATGCAAATGAACACCAAAAGTGAGCAGGGGTAGCTATTCTTATACCAGACAAAACAAATTTCAAAGCAACAGCAATTAAAAGAGACAAAGAGGGATGTTACATAATGGTAAAATGTATTGTCCAACAGGAAAATATCACAATCCTAAACATATACGCACCTAACACTGGAGCTCCCAAATTTATAAACAATTATTAATAGACCTAAGAAATGAGATAGACAGCAACACAATAATAGCGGGGGACTTCAATACTCCACTGACAGCATTAGGCAGGTCATCAAGACAGAAAGCAAAGAAACAATGGATTTAAACTATACCTTGGAAGAAGTGTACCTAACAGATATATTCAGAACATTTCATCCAACAACCACAGTATACACATACTATTCAACAGCACATGGAACTTTCTCCAAGTTGGACCATATGATAGGTCATAAAATGAGCCTTAATAAATTTAAGAAAATTGAAATTATATCAAGCACTCTCTCAGACCACAGCAGAATAAAACTGGAAATCAATTCCAAAAGGAACCTTCAGAACCATGCAAATATACAGAAATTAAATAACTTGTTTCTGAGTGAGCATTGGGTCAAAAACGAAATCAACATGGAAATTAAAAAATTCTTTGAACTGAATGACAATAATGACACAACCTATCAAAACCTCTGGGATATAGCAAGGGCAGTGCTAAGAGGAAAGTTCATAGCCCTAAACGCCTACATCAAAAGACTGAGAGAGCACAAACTGACATTCTAAGGAACTAGAGAAAGAAGAACAAACCAAACCCAAACTCAGCAGAAGAAAGGAAATAACCAAGATCTGAGCAGAACTAAATGAAATTGAAACAAAAAAATTACAAAAGATAAATGAAACAAAAAACTGGTTCTTTGTAAAGATAAATAAAATTGATAGACCATTAGCAAGATTAACCAAGAAGAGAGAAAATCCAAATAACTTCACTAAGAAATGAAACAGGAGATATTACAACCGACACCATTTAAATACAAAAGATCACTCAAGGCTACTAAGAATACCTTTAGACACATAAACTAGAAAACCTAGAAGAGATGGATAAATTCCTGGAAAAATACAACCCTCCTAGTTTAAATCAGGAAGAATTAGATACCCTGAACAGACCAATAACAAGCAGTGAGACTGAAATGGTAAGTAAAAAATTACCAACAAAGAAAAGCCCAGGACCAGACAGATTCACAGCAGAATTCTACAAGACATTCAAAGAAGAATTGGTATCAGTCCTTTTGACACTATTCTACAAGATAGGGAAAGAAGGAACCCTCCCTAATTCATTTTATGAAGCCAGCATCACCCTAACACCAAAACCAGGAGAGGACAACCAAAGAAGAAAACTACAGACTGATATCCTTGATGAACATTGATGCTAAAGTCCTTAACAAAATGCTAGCTAACTGAATCCAACAACATATCAAAAAGATAATCCAACATGATCAAGTGGGTTTCATACCAGGGATACAGGGATGGTTTAACATACACACACAAGTCAATAAATGTGATACACCACATAAACAGAATTAAAAACAAAAATCACATGGTCATCTCAATAGCTGCACAAAAAGCATTCCACAAAATCCAGCATCCCTTTGTGATTAAAACTATCAGCAAAATCGGCATGCAAGGGACATATTTTAATATAATAAATGCCATCTATGACAAACTCACAGCCAACATAATACTGAATGGGGAGAAGTTGACAGCATTCCCCCTGAGAACTGGAACAAGACAAGGATGCCCACTCTCACTACTCCTCTTCAACATAGTACTGGAAGCCCTAGCCAGAGCAATCAGACAAGAGAAAGAAATAAAGGGTATCCAAATCAGTAAAGAGGAAGTCAGACTGTCACTGTTTGCTGACGATGTGATCGTTTACCTTGAAAACCCCAAGAACTCCTCCAGAAAGCTCCTGGAACTGATAATTCAGCAGTTTCCAGATATAAGGTTAATGCACACAAATCAGTAGCTCTTCTATACACCAACAGCGACCAAGCACAGCATCAAATCAAGAACTCAACCCCTTTTACAATAGCTGCAAAGAAAAATAAAATACTTAGGAATATACCTAACCAAGGAGTCAAAAGACCTCTGCATGGAAAACTACAAAACACCATTGAAAGAAATCACAGACAACACAAACAAATGAAACACATCCCATGCTTATGGATGGGTAAAATCAATATTGTGAAAATGACCATACTGCCAAAAGCAATCTACAAATTCAATGCAATCCCCATCAAAATACCACCATCATTCTTTACAGAATTAGAAAAAACAATTCTAAAATTCATACAGAACCAAAAAAGAGCTCGCATAGCCAAAGCAAGACTAAGCAAAAAGAACAAATCTGGAGGCATCACACTACCTGATTTCAAACTATATTATAAGGCCATAGTCACCAAAACAGCATGGTACTGTTATAAAAATAGGCACATAGACCAATGGAACAGAATAGAGAACCCAGAAATAAATTCAAATACTTATAGTCAACTGATCTTCGACAAAGCAAGCAAAAACATAAAGTGGGGAAAGGACACCCTTTTCAACAAATGGTGCTAGGATAATTGGCTAGCCACATGTAGGAGAATGAAACTGGATCCTCATCTCTCACCTTATATGAAAATCAACTCAAGATGGATTAAGGACTTAAACCTAAAACCTGAAACTATAAAAATTCTAGAAAATAACATTGGAAAAACCCTTCTAGACATTGGCTTAGGCAAGGATTTCATGACCAGGAACCCAAAAGCAAATGCAATAAAAACAAAGATAAATTGCTGGGACCTAACTAAACTAAAGAGCTTTTGCACAGCGAAAGGAACAGTCAGCAGAGTAAACAGACAACCCACAGAGTGGGAAAAAATCTTCACAATCTATACATCTGACAAAGGACTAATATCCAGAATCTACAACGAACTCAGATATATCAGTAAGAAAAAAGCAAACAATCCCATCAAAAAGTGGGCTAAGGACATGAATAGACAATTCTCAAAAGAAGATATACAAATGGCCAACAAACATGAGAAAATGCTCAACATCACTAATGATCAGGGAAATGCAAATCAAAACCACAATGCGGTACCACCTTGCTCCTTCAAAAATGGCCATAATCAAAAAAATAAAAAAACAGTAGATAGTTGGCATGGATGCAGTGAACAGGGAACACTTCTACACTGCCGGTGGGAATGTAAACTAGTACAGCCACTATGAGAAACAGTGTGGAGATTCCTTAAAGAACTAAAGAACTAAAAGTAGAACTACCATTTGATCCAGCAATCCCACTACTGAATATCTATCCAGAGGAAAAGAAGTCATTATTCGAAAAAGATGCTTGCACATGCATGTTTATAGTGGCACAATTCACAACAGCAAAATCATGGAACCAATCCAAATGCCCATCAATCCATGAGTAGATAAACTGTGGGAGATATATATATATATATCACATGTGATATACATATATATCACTCTCTATATATATAATATATATTTTATATATATATATATATAAAATATATATTTTATATATATATATATATATACACACTATGCAGCCATAAAAAGGAATGAGTTAACATTTGCAGTGACCTGGATGAGACTGGAGACTATTATTCTAAGTGAAGTAACTCAGGAACGGAAAACCAAACATCGTATGTTCTCACTGATATATGGGTGGCTAAGCTATGAGGATGCAAATGCATTAGAATGATACAATGGACTTTGGGGACTTGGGGGGATGAATGGGGGTGGAGTGAGGGAGAAAACGCTACAAACAGGGTGCAGGGTATACTGCTCGGGTGATGGGTGCACCAAAATCTCACAAATCACCACTAAATAACTTACTCATGTAACTAAATATCACCTGTACCCCAATAACTTATGGGAAAAAAAGTTTTATGTTGTCGATGGTACAGTAACAAGATAGAAGGAACCTGGGTCCATAAGCAGGAGCACCTGTGTGGCCTGGGGGAGTGTCATACGAGATATAGATTGCCCACCTCTGGACTTTGTTTACTTAAGAGACATACAAGCCTATCTTGTTTAAGCTGTTATGTGTTACCAGCAACAGTGGGGACCACACAGCTGAACGGACTCCTAACTGACACCAGCACTGTGGAGACAGCATCTGGAGGGCAGGGGTCATGCTTTGACTTACTGTATATCCACCCCAAATAAGAGCTTTGCACAGGGCTGGGCACTGAATGGACACTGCTGGAGGGCCCACTTCCGAGGAAGCTCACTCTCAGCACCGGCGAGTCAGGGCCAGCTGTGGGCTGGGGGCCTCAGCACCTCATCATGTGGCATCGCCATGCGGCCACTGGAGAGTCCTCATGATGCTGGCTTCTCTCAGAGTGACCCAAGAGGATGCAGGTGGAAGCTGGATGTCTTTCACGTTTTTTATGACCTAGTCTCAGAAGTCCTCCTCTGTCATTGTCACAGTATTTGCATCCAGTCTGCTGAGTTTGGAAGGGAGCTACCCAGGGTGTTACTACCAGGAGGCTA
Organism: Homo sapiens; assembly: GCF_000001405.40. Classification (NCBI taxonomy): domain Eukaryota; kingdom Metazoa; phylum Chordata; class Mammalia; order Primates; family Hominidae; genus Homo; species Homo sapiens. Next base: position 124,186,877 of record NC_000010.11, on the reverse strand, counting down.
GAATCATTGAGGGCCATCTTGGATCCTGCCTCATCTGAACCTGGAGACCCTTTCCCATCTGAAGGGAGGGCATCTCATGGTTCTTTTTCTATTCCCCTTAAAAGAGAGTCTCATGTTCCCTTGGATGGGTGGGATGCAGCCATTATTGGACAAAGGACCACCTTGGAGATCATCAGATGGAAGAGGCTCTATGCCTTAAAGATGAATGGTTAGAACCCAAATTGCCATTCCTGCAGGGGACTGGACATAGAATTCAAGGACCCAAGCTCATTTGGAGAGGCAGCAAAAGATAGTATAGCATTGGAGCTGAGCAGTTAGGCTAATTAATGAGAAAATAAAGCATGTGCCAACAGTTAAGCTGGAAGAAGGGGCGTTTCCTTCCAGGCCAGGCCAATGCTCATCTGCAGCTGAGCCTACTGGGGTCCAGGAAATCAGCGCAATGGACATTTCCTAGGTGTGCAGACTAATACAAGTGACATACAGCCACCAACTTACCACAATGGAGACAGAGCTGTGCCAGAGCCAACCCATTACTGCCTCATAAGAACTGACTGTCAAATTCAGAAATATTGAGAGCTGGTTATTAAATATAGTCATAAAAGTTCAATTATATAAACTCATACTTAAAGAAATTATTTTAAAAACAAAAGTAATAACTACTCAAAACTTATCCTAATGATTTGACTATGGTCTGTGCTTTTGAGGTTATTTATGTCTATTGCATCTGCCTGATGAAGATTCTATGTAATGGGCCTCTCTTCCCAAGTCTGTTCCAGTGACCTCCCATTAATAGCTTAGAACTGGGCATGGAGGGAGTATTTACACCACAGAAATCTGCAAATGCAACAAATCAATGTGATACACATTGCCAGCACACCACTGTGTGGGACATGACTGGAAGGGCCATTGCCCAGGAAGAGGGTGCTTGGGTGGGGATGGTATCTCTCAGGCTCCGGTCCCTTATCCACACTGATGTGTGAGTGGCTGAGTGAGTGTTCTCTCCTCTCTGGACCTCAAGAGGAGCAGATGATCTCTGGGTTCCCTCTCGGCCCTAGGATCCACTCAAGAGCTATTTTCATTTTAAGAGAGTTTATGGCTCTCCCTTACTGCACCCCTAATGTCAGTCATCAGGTTTCCTGTCTGATGGAGGATTATTAATCTTGGGCCTGGATGGTACTGAGGGTGTGAAGTTGACCTCCTGATAGACATTGAGGGAGTCCAGGGAAGGAAAATGAGTTGGCTTTGAAGAAAAGCTGTCATTCCTGCATATTGATAGATAGAGTAGAAAATGGAAACTCCCAGAAGATTGAATGTAAAGCAGCTAGAGACTCTGGAGTCTTATTGTCTTGACCCCCTTCATTCCTTCTCACCAAGACCTGCACCCTCCCTCCCCAGTACATTTAACTAGAAGACTCTGGAAGAGACCAGAAAAGAAGGAGTTAATCCATTGCCGCCACAGGAGTGATTCTTCCTTCTGCCTTTGCTGCGGCAGACCATTAAAATGTAATATTACGAGTATCACGGTCCATTTCCTGGATGTGTGGAGTGGGGCGGCGGGTCCAGGCCTGCTGCATTTTTCCTGCTACACTCAGATTCCGCAGAGTCATAGAGCCTGCTGGGATGGGGAGGGGAGGGGCCTGGGCACGAGGGTCATCTCACTGGAAGTTGGAGCAATTAAGCCTTACCCTTGCAGCTCTGACTGCCCTTGAGCCCTGGCTAGTGACCCTGTCAGGGAACTGGGATGTGGAATCCAGGAGCCAGTTTGCTGTCCCTTAGGTGAGAGTTGTGGGGTCATTCATTCAGGATGGGACCTTGGAGATCCATTTTTCACCTAAGGCAGGTGAGGTTTAGAGAAGGCAGCGGGCTCACAGCAGAGACCCCCAGGGTAAATCGAGGCCTAGTTCCATGGACTCCTGATCCAGGAGGAGAGGCATCAGTATGGTGTCCAGGAAGTGGCTGAAAACCTGTTCATTACTGGGCCTCCTCTGCCTGCTCCCTTTCCAAAAGGACCCAGAGCACAAGGCATCTACGGCTGTTTGTGCATTGCAGCTCACAGTTGCAATCTACCATCCTTTCCATTAAAATCATCAGCTCCAACCTGGGGCCCCAGGAAGCAACACTGGAGTTGGGGAACTAGAGGGAAATCCCGTCAAGGCAGGCGGCTCCAGCCCCATCCACTAGAATGGACTGTGCCTGAGCAAGGCAGGGCTGAGCAGCCCCCATGGGAAGTGCTGGCTGAAGAGTGAAGGCCAAGCACTGTCTGTCCCCAGGCCCAGGCCTGGCTGTTCAGCAGCAATTTGCCTTGCTGTGTGTGGCAGCAGCCAGCAGCAAATTGTACTGTTTCCTTGTCACATGTTGCTGGGCTCTGACACTGCTCCCCTTCCCTGGGCCATTACCCTCATCCACAGAGCCCTGTCTTCTGCCTGGACTGTGGCAGAGGCTCACTGTCCCGCTCCTCTCCAGCTGACACTGTGGCTCCCACAATGTGCCTTCCACCTGGTACTCAGTGTCCTTTCTGAACACCACTGGATCTGACACCCATCCACCAGCAACCCTCATAGGCTCTCAGGGCTCATAGCAAATGCCCAGTGGCTTCCCAGGTTTACTTGACCCAGGATGAGTTGACCCAGCCACACTTCTTGACTTAGCTCTCATAGCTCTATTCTTAGAGCCACTCAGATGGAAATTCTCTCTATTCTTTGGGTATATCAGGCCCCCTCACTTCTGGGTCTTTTTCTCTGCTATTGCCTCTGCTTATTCTTTCTCTTTGTCTTTATTTGAAGAATACATTTACTAATTATGTTAGTCTGTTTTCGCATCACTATAAAGAAATACCTGAGGCTGGGTAATTTTTTTGTTTTTATTTTGTTTTTTGAGGCAAGTTCTCACTCTGTCACCCAGCCTGGAGTGAAGTGGCACAATCACAGCTCACTGCAGCCTCAACCTCCCAGGCGAGGATGGGAGGAAGGGAGTGAGGTACAGAGGAAGAGCAGGCGAGACCACGGGAGGCAGCCTGGGGGTGCAGGAGGAGGTTGCCATCAAAGGCGGAAGAGGCTGTGGCTGGTGGCTTTTCATACCTGGATGTACCCGTGGCTCCATTCACCACCATGCCTGGTGCTGTGGGGCTTTCCATGGCTGTGCATGCTGAATCCTGACCACAGTCCCTTGACAAATGCTCTATTATCACACCCTGTCATAGAAAAAGAGTGGACGCTCACACTGGTACCCCAACTGTCCTGCCGGTAGGTGGTGGAGCTGAGAGTTGATGAGGGCGGTGTGTCTCCAGCACCTGGGCTCCAACTAAGATACTCCATGTCCTCCCTCACGTGGGACATGCCCATCCTGCTCTGTGTCCCTCAGGCCCTCACTGCTCTGCCAGGTCCTCCTTCCTTCAGGCCCCTACCCCTCCTCTGGCTGTGTTGTTTTCAGAAACTTCTCCCTGCGTGTCCCCCTGTCCTGTCCTGTCCTGTCCTGGGACCCTGCCTTCAGGTGCAGGAGGCCATTCTCTTGTAGGAGCCCCATTAGGAATGACGTGACCGTCACAGGCATCTGTGCTGTGCTCCAGTGCTCCCTGCGCGCTGTCTGCCACCTGCACGTGTTACTGGAAATGCCCTCTTATTTCCCTTCTGAAACCCCATGCAACAGGGATGCGAGGTGGGAAGACATGAGTGGGGTCGGGGGCTGATCCCCCTTTGCCTAAAGAGTAACTTCCTAATCACGATCCAAAAAGAGAAGGAATGCTCTCCCTCAAGCCCTGCTCAAAACCACTTTATAATAGTAAGAGTCTTCACAGTGATAATGCATGCACACTGCCATCTTCATCCAGTGCCAGAGCCATGATGAACATTTGCATGCATTCGCTTATCTGACACGTAAGTTACCCCTTGAGGTAGGTTCACTATGTCTTTACTCTAGAATTCTCATTTGACAGATGACAGAATTGAGGCCAGAGGGGCAGGTGCCCATGGTACCGTGTCTAAATGTCAGAGCCGGACTCACATTCAGTTTCATTTCATTCCCAAACTCATGTGCTCAACTTCTTTGTTCAACCGCCTTCTAGAAGAAGTAGACCTAGCTGTGAGAGACCAGAACTGGACGATGACAAATATCAGTGCTGAACATACGCTGCTCAGAGGCTCCTATATGGCTCCTGTCCTCTGCACCGTGACGTGCTAGAGATGGCCCTTTGGAAAACTGAAAAACAATGGGATCCCAAGTGAGGTGACCATTGCAATATCCATCAAGGATTTTATGTTGCAGGGACTGGGCCAAAGCAAAAAGGCCTTTCATGGCAGCTGACGCTGGGGAGATGGAAAGCAGCCGTGAGGTAGAGCTAGCCCTGAGAAGAAAACGCCACCGCTTTGCTGTGGACCTCCGTGGGAAGCCAGTGGCCTGCGGGGAGCCTGTCCACTGCTCCTCCTGGAGCGCCCTCCCCAACAAGCGAGATTGACAGGGACTCCCTGCCCTGCTGCTGTCCCTGGGCACTCTGGACCCTACGAGGAGGGGAGGAATTTGACCTCTAATCTGAGCTCTCCTTTCTCAGGGACTGTGTGGCCCGGTTTATTTTTAGTGAGAGTACATGATTACCGAATCTACTAAACGGGCTTTGGTTAAAGAGCAGCACAGGGTGGAGGTAAATTTGGGAGGCTTCTCGGAGGACAGGCAGAGATGGAAAATGGGCTGGCGGCCACTGCTCCAATGCCTCGGGCCTGACCTCAGAGCCACCCCGAGCCCAGACGCACAGAATCCTAGCTGAGTTGAGGCCCTGACCTGCCCAGCCCAAACCGCCGTCACCTGCTCCCACCCCAGCTTCCAAGACAGGCTGGTGCTCCTTAGTAAATAGCTCCACCATATTGCTCTAAAACAAACACTAGAACAGAGGAGAAGGTGGTGGGGAGAAAGCAGGAAGTTCTGTTTATGGAGTGTCTGCTGGAGCTGGGAACTGTGCTAGGCACTTTATGATTCCATTTAATCCTCTTTGCGTTCCTCTGAGACACGTATTAAAGGAAACAAGAATTCGACGTGTTGAGTCCCTGCCCTGGGCCGAAGCCCTGTCACATGTGCTATTTCATTTATCCATCACAACAGCCCTGTGTGGCTAGGAGCATGAACTTGAGCTTGGGGAGGTCGAGTCACTCACCGAAATTCCAAAAGCAAATCACACCTGGCAGAGCAGCGGCTGGCAGGTGACTAACTCCAAAGCCCATGTGCTCAAACCTCTGTCCTACCTTGTTCCCCAAGGGCTGCTAGGAAAGGTCCCCAGGTTAGGAGAGTGAGCCCCTGAAGTTGGGCCCAGGCAAGAGGAAGCGAGCAAATTGCAGAACCACAGGGAAAGATAGGGAATCGGATGGGACAGCTAGCTTGCAGGGGTTGGGGGTCCTCAGACGCCAAGGAAAGCAAGGCGGAAACCGTGTCCTCATGGCAGCGTGCTGTCTCATCTGCAGGGCATGTGGAATGGAACCCTACCTGCAGAAGTGCAGAGTCAGGACTGCTTGCTGGTAACAGGTTCTGAGCGAGGGTGGAGGAGGCCTGGACAGTGGGGAGGATATGGAAGGGCAACGCTTTGGAGGCCAAGGCTGAGTGCATGTGCGTGCATGGAAGCGTCCCATGGTCTATGTTGATTACTTAGCAGATCTAAAGTCAGCCAAGGGCCCAAAAGGAAATGGGTTTTCCTTGGCCCAGGAGGGGATTTGGGTTAGATACAGGGATAATATTCTAGAGCAAGTGACTCACTTCTCTAGAAACCCACTGTGCTGAGTCACAGTCAATGTGAAAACACTAAGTATCACATATTGAAAGCAATGTGGGTATTGAAGCGAAGCTCAAATCCCAGTGGCAACAAGGGGTAGCTGTGTGATCTTGGGCAAGTTGGGTAGCCTCTCTGAGCCTCAGTTACTTAGCTTCACATTTCTTGAGTGCACCAGAGGTAAGGTGACCTACCTTCCAGAGTTATTATGTAGTGCCGTTAGCATAGTACCTGGCATGGAGCACTAAGGCTCTGGTGGCCATTGACACTATGGCCAAGGCAGAAAGTGAGAACACAGCAATAACTGGGTGAGAAGAGAAAGCCCTGGAGGAGGCTCGGGCAAAGCCTCCCCATCTGTAAATTGGGGTGGGTGGGGAGGTTGGACTATATAGTATGGACTTTTTATACCCCTCCAAACTCTTCTAGTGTCAGATTCTGGGATTTACTCAACTTGAGTCAGTAGGTCATGGAAAGAATCTCTCCATGTGATGGAGAGATGGTGATGGGGTCCCAGGTGGACGAGTTGGCCAATTTCTCAGAGCGCCTCGACAGTTGCAGTCCTTGGCTGGATGTGTGCCAGTCTTCCTGGCAGCACTGGTGGCTGGTGTCTTCCTGCTCTCAACCCTTGTGTGATGAGGGAGCCCTCTGACACCCAGAGCTGCAGACTTCGCTCCCCACCCCATCAGAAAAGGCCAAGCTGTCTGCATCAACAAGGGAGTCACTGATGGAAAAATGGTGGTGATTCTGATGAAATAGGGTCTGATTTCTTCTTGGCTGCAGCTGCTAGCACCTCCCTTCCCAACCTGCATGGCCCCTGATTGCTTTCTCTGGCTCAAGGGTCTTGGGAATTTACAGCTTTGGAAAAAACACAACCAATGTCTGCCGTCTGTGTTGGAAGGGGACATCTTGGAACAAGGGTGCACACCATGGAGGCCAGCCTTCTGGGGCACAGAGGTGGGGACAGAGTGGGAGGGGCACCAGGGAAACATCCACCACATGGTAATTGCTTATGCTTATGTCTGTGTTTGCCTATTATATATAACGGATGGTTGGTTTACCCACCATGGGCCTGCGAGGGAAGTCTGTCGTTCACATTGCCCTTAGACTTGTGCAAGCAGGGATCCTGCCTGAGTCTAGAGCTTCGGAGAGCCTTCTTCAACATTTTATAAATCTCCCTCCAATGCTTGGGAAAAGCTGGGGCTGTGCGTGCTGTTTGTGCAGGGAGCCTAAAGCCTGGAAAGGGAACCATGTGGGCCCTGGGCCCTGAACCCTGTTTCTTCCCTTTGAGGTATGCTTCAACTCTTTACCCTCTGCTCTGTCACCCATGTGCTGGGTGGACCAGATGTCCCAAGGAGCTACAGGACTCCCACCTATGGGGTCATCCCTGAGGCCCAGGGCCTGGTTCCAGGAGGGAAGCTTGATGGGGGGATTGTTCCTATTGGCTGGTATGGCATTTCTTTTGCAGGATTATGTGAGATTGGGCCACTGGTTTTGGATGACTTAAATTGTTTATATACACAGAAGCCCAAATATTTGCCCAGGGCTGTATGCAGAAGAGCAGCCTTGTCTGTCATCTCCAGGTATTCTTTTCTGGAGTTCTGAAGTTAGGCCCCTTGCCCCTTGGTAGGTCCACCCACCCATTGGGTCATAATCTTGGAGCACTGGTAGGGCCAGAGGAGGCCTCTATTAGTTAGGTCTGCAAATATGACCAACATTGTAGAAACTTGGGAGATCCCCAGGGAAGCCCCCATGTTGTCACAGTCCCCATATCCCACCTTTAATCTCCTCCTAAATGTGAACAGGTCTACGGGAGAACTGTTGTGCCTTTGATGCCTGATCTCACCCACCCACTGTCTACTGGGACCACTCCTCAGCCCAATTCTGAGCACATTACAATATTCTCAGTGATGTTTTGATATCGAAAGTAATTTACACAAAATTAATAAATTCATTAACCTTCTAGGGCTCCTGGGGAGTAAATTCTATTTTATTTTTTGTCTTTTTTTTTGCAATAGGAAAGATCCAAGAAGGTGGCTAATATTTCAATAGATGTCTTTCCCCCTCTTGTCTACTGGTGGTAGGAGGAGAAGCTATTTTCATTGTTCTGGAGGGCAATTTGAAAACACTTACTGAAGTCTTTAAAAGGTACTTACCCTCTGACCTAACAATTCTACCTCTAGGAACTTACCCAAAAGAAAGAATTCAAGATGGGTTCAAAGAAGCATCTACAAGGCCATTTGTTCAAGTATGGTTTATAATAGTGAGACATTAAAAAATACATTGAAAACCAACAATTGTGAGTGGATCATATAAATTATAGAGCATGTATACAATAGAGTCCTATCCAGTCACCAAAAATGTTGTTGAAGGAGAACAATTACTAATATGGAAAGATGCTTAGGATGCATTTTATGTTTTTCTAAAATGGCAAAACAGAATAGGCAGTAGGATCTGTTTTCTTTTTTAAAAACTGCTATTGCTTGAATATGTGTTTCCTCCCAAACTCATGTTGAAATGTAATCCCCAATTTGGCAGCATTGAGAGTTGGGGCCTTTGAGAGGTGATTGGGTCATGAGGGCCCTGTCCTTATGAATGGATTCATCCGTTCATCCATGAATAGATTAATGGGTTAACAGACTAATGGGTTATCACAGGAGTGGGACTGGTGGCTTTATAAGCAGAGAAAGAGAGACCTGAGTAGCACACTCAGCCCCTCCACCATGTAACACCCTGCACCACCTGGGGATTCTGCAGAGAGCCCTCACCAGCAAGAAAGCTCCCACAGCAAGAAGGTCCCCACCAAATGCAGCTCCTCAACCTTGGACTTCTCAGCCTTTATAGGATATAAATTCCTTTTCTCTATAAATTACCCAGTTTCAGGTATCCTGTTGTAACAGAAAATAAATGAAGACAGAAAATCTATGTCTGCATATGTATGAAAGAAAGAGTGGAAATCTATGTATAAAAATGTAAACAATGGGATTCTATTGCTTTACTTTTATTTTAATATTTCAATAATTACCAGATATTACATGTGCAACCCTTTTAAAGAGGTAAAAAAAGTGTGCCCCAATTACCATAGTGCTTCCCCAGAGGCCAGCATTGTAAGTCAAATGTTTGAACTGCCACTTTAGTGAGACTGCTTTAAAAATCAACAATTAATGGGGCCTGCTGTTTACACATCTGTCTACTGAGCCTTGCTGGGGTGTGGCGAGAGGTGTGACTCCATGCTTGCCTTCCAGGAGGGTATACTCTAGAAAGGAGAGAGACCCTTCCAGGAGGAACCCTAGTACGTGTCAGGCTGTGTTTGTTTGCTGCAGAGGGGAAAGCAGAATGGAGAGGGCTGTGGCAGACCTGGGCACATCAGGGCAATTGTAGGTCAGATGTCTTTGATGGACAGGTCTCAAGGAATGGTGGGGGGAGATGTCTTCCAAGGGCGGTGTAAGTAACATCCTTTCCGCCCCACAGTGGTTGCCCCTTTTGGGTGGATTTTGCCTGAGTGTGACTCACATGGAGCCCGTCATGGAGCACCAACGCCGTATGAAACCCTCCAACTTTATTTAGGTCTTGGGCAGAGGCCCCCTTCCTCCCATGGGGAAGCAGATCCAGCCCTGGCCTAGAATCCTAGAAACTTCCTCCCACAGCGCTGACATTCTCGAGCCTTCCTGCCACATGCCACCAGCGATCTCTAGGCTTATTTGAGACCTATGTGCCCTCTATTTTTTAAGCCACCATGGGTTGGACTTTTCCTTTGCAGCTGGATGCAAACCTGACCAACAGCATCACTTACTGGCTGCAAGGCCTTGGGGCAGTTACGTCACCATTCTGAATTCAGCTTTTCTTTCTGTAAAATGGAAACAGTCTCCCAAGTTATTGTGAGGATTAATTAACAGAATGTACACAAAGTGCTTGCACATAGTAGGTGCTCAATACATGCTCCGATGACCTGCATATCACCATGGGACTGGCAGTGGTGGCTCACCCATGAGGCCATGGTGGACTCTCTCCTCCAGCGCAGGCACGATCTCCCTGTGGCTGTGTCTGCTCTGATGCCCGTCCATGTGTCTGAGAAGCACCCCCAGCTGTGAGCACCAAGCTCCCAGCCTCCCACTCTCCCCTGCAGCCAAGGAGCCCTGCACCAAGAGCTGCTCCTGGGTTAGCACGGTCCGTCCTGCCCACTCGCCCTGGGCAGATAGAGAAGCGCAGACTCCGGGGCAGCTGCAAGTGCATTGAATCTTCAAGGAGGATTCTTGCTCACAGACAGGAATAAAAATGTAATGCCTGAGATTTATGCTTCCCCGGCCTAAAACAACATCCTAACCACAAGTTATCTGAAAGGACACACTCTCAGTGAGAACATGTCTGTTTTGTTTCCTCCGTCAGCCCCTGTGGATGAAGCGATGGACTGGAAGCCGCATTTCTACCTCTCCTCATGAGCAAAAGGTTCCTGAGCTGCCTGACAGTTGAGGGCTGGGCTCTGACTTTGCAGCTAGAGCAAAATCATCTTTGCTTTGCTTCTCCAGGCATTTTGGCTTTTGGAGCTGTGGGTGAAATTGAGCAAACCCCGGCCTGGTGAACGGCAGGATGAGGGCTCAGGGAGGCAGGGCACGCTCCATTGTCCTCTGTTACATCAGAGCAGCTGGCATTTAGGACTTACACTGCCTGGGAGTGGGCAGCCTGGCTTCTGCTGGCTGTCCTGAGATGAGCTGTATCCTGGTGCTGCAGAGGCCTCAGACACAAACAGAAGTCCCAGTGTCATTCCCAAGGTCCCATTCTCAGGGGCATGCACACACCTGTGTGCACACACACCCACCTGCTGGGCCAGGCTATCCAAGAGGCAGCAGAGCAAAGTGGAATCAGCCCCGCAGCCACAAAGTCTGAAGTTTGCACCCTGATCCCATCACTTCGTAGCTGGCGGCTTTGAGAGTGAATTCACCTTTGTAGACCTCAGTTTCCTTGCCTGTAGAATGGGGATAATAAGGGCATCCACCTGTGGGGGCTGTTGAGGGGATTAGAAATGATGCATGGAAGGTGTCTGGCATGGGACAGGCGTTCACAGCAGGGCTGCTGTAATTAGATGGCGATGTGTGTCGGCGTAGGTGAGGTCCTGGGACAGTTGGGCTGCCTGTGGCTGCGTGCACAGGAAGTGGGTGCTGGAGATCACTCACAGGTGGTCCTGGGGGCAGGGCATGGGGAACTAGAAGAGAGAAAGGCAGGAGGAAGCCAGGGGAAGGGACAAGCTGAGTGGCCCCTGTGCTAGGGATGGAGGGGAGGGGCAGAGGTGGGGTTGGGGCAGGATGCCAGGCTGGGGGAGGGGAGGCTGGACATAGGAGGCAGTGGCCTGGGGCCGGGGGAAGGGTTATGTATCATCCAAGTCTTCAACCCTAAAGCTGGTAGGGGGCAGGGGGAGCGAAGGCAACACCTCCTGGGACCAACTTAGAGGATGTCCTTGCCAGCATCCCTCAGTCCCGGAACCCCTCATGGGAATGAATCACTCAGGCCTCACAGAGGGACTCTGGAAGACTCTTAGGTTGATTCAGGCAAGATGAGACAAGGGGTGCCCCCTGGGCAGTAGGAGGGTAGCAGAGGCCTTCCCCACTGTTAGTTACGGGCCCACAGAAGGGCAGGGGCCTCTGCTTCTGTGGGGCCAGACCAGCTTCCCTGAGAGGAGGGAGTGCAAGAGAAAGTGGAATGACATCCTAAGTAATGGCCCCAATGACAGTGTCCCTGAGCAGGTCCCTTCCCGGGTAGCATCTCAGCTGTTATGAATGCGGGGACCGCCTGGACTGCAACGCAACCCAACCCCACTGCCCGCCCAGTGCCAGTGGCCCCATGAGCAGGTCATTAAAGCAGACTCCATGTCCCTGTCACCCTTGGAAACTCTAGGACAGAGTAAGGGCACTGCTCAGTGGAGGGACTCAGGCCTGGAGATCCAGGCCCCATTCTTTCTTGGATCTTTAATGAGCCCTGGGCAAATATTTTTAGCAATGGTAATAAAAGCTTTCCAGGAAACCAGGGGCAGGGGAAAATATATTGCTTCTGCCATATGTTTGTGGTTGGTCTGTTTATATTTTTAAAATAATTACACTGTTGAATTCAATAATTTCCAACTATGAAAATGAGCAGACTCTAAAGAATCTCAAGTTTGTGGTCTGAAAGCCAGGAGTGGGCATTGACAGTGAGGCTGTGGGGCTTGAGATGCTGGGATCTAGGCTCCAGGGAAGGGAGAGCCAGGAAGGAGAGGCAGGAGGGTCAGAGCAAACTGTGCCTCCACAGGGACACGGCAGCATGCCTGTGTCGCCTCCCAGATGGGGAAACTGAGGCTGGAGGAGGTCTTGGCTGGTCCAGCTAAGGCCTCCAGGCTCCCTGGCTCTCCCTGATCGCTGTCCTGAGGGGAGGCTGGACAGCAGGCAGGTGACTGAGAATTCCTGGCTGCGGGGCCTGCATGGGAGGACCCTGGGGACTGATTTCCAGACTGCAATCTGCTGGGGACACTGGGTGCCTGAGGGGTCAAGGTCTGCATGTGTAGGGTCGGGGTGGGGCAGGAGCTCTGTGTTGGCAGCCGGCTCATTTCAGTTTCTCTGGGTAGTGCACCCTCTGCTTTCGTCCTGGCCTTTCCTAACCCTGGAGCGGCTTGGGGTCAGTTGCACCTCTCCCTGATTACTGCCTTTCTCTGACCCCCTTTGGGGCTGGAGGGCACTGGGCTGTCCTATGTCCTCGCTGGCCGGACGCACATCACTGCTGCCCACAGCTGCCTGTCCCTGCCTGAGGATGGGCGAGCAAGCGAGGTGCCCGGTGCCTGCTCCGCCCTCCCAACCCTGAGCACCTGAGTAGGAGGTGCCAGATCTTTCCCAAGTCACGGTGTTCTGCCTCACACCCACGGAGGGCTCCCTGCTCCCTGGGGGCAGGCTTGGGGTGACCGGCCTAACACCCAGTGGTAGGTGGAACGCCTGCACGTGTTGCCCTGGGCCCTCGGACACACCACATGGTTAAAGGCTTTTGATGACTTTTCTTTGCTTTTAGGCAGATTTCCAATCCCTCACATGGCCCCTATGCCCTTCGTGTCTGGGCCCCCAGCCTTATCTTCGGTGCCTTTCCTTCTTCTCCACGATCTTCCATGCAGAGCCTTCTGCACGCTGCTCCTCGCCCTGCCTGGTGCCTTGCGGCTCAGCCCTATGTGCTGCATTCCTCCGTCACCCTCCGCTCTAGGGGGGCTGCATGCAGAGTTGTGCAGCAACTGTTTACCATCCGTCTTTCCCTGGAGGGAGGCTCCAGGGGGCCACAGCCCCATTCTGTGTTGCTTGCTATTTCCAGCCGTAGCACCCCAGGCCCTGGTGTGCTGTGGCTGCTCAAAAAATAGTTGCTGACCGAAGGAAAAAGAAACAGGTTCCAGGAGTAAGTGGGAACCCCAGGGGCCTGAGCCAGTCACCCCATACAGGGGCCATGGGAGCTGATGAGGGCCCCGGTGAAGGTGTCGGCCAAGGGAGGGGAGAGACAAATCTGAGAGGCATTGAACTGGCAATTCTCTGGATGTGGCTCTTGTGAAGCTGAGGATGAGGCTGAGCCGATTTCATAGTTCAGCGGGCAGTGGGCACCTGCTTGTCTTCACAGGCGGCGAGAGCTGTGACCAGGGGTGAGCGAATCAAGGTGGGCAGAGGCTGAAGGAGGAGGGAAGGCGGCTCTATCTCCTCCCTCCACAGCCGGGGCCACCTCGTCAGGCCGAACCTGGCCACCTCCTCCCAGAGCCCTTGCAGCTGCCTGCCTGGCCCAGGCCTGCCTTTCTCTGATCCGCTTCCACTCTGTGGTTGGCGGGATGGGATGGGAAAGCAAGCCTGGTCCTGCTTCTCCCTCCTCAAATCTTTCCGTGGCTCCCTATTGCTAACTGGAAACACCCAAATCCATCAGTCTGGCACTTTAGAGATCCAGCCTCAGCTGACTTCTGAGCCTCATTTCCCACCGCCCTCCCCAGGTCACCCAGAGCTCAGGGGCCCCTGAATTCCTCATAGTTCTCTAATTAAGAGTCTCTAAGTCAGACTCTTGCATCCTCCGTGCTGTCTGCATATGCTGTTCCCTCTCCCTGCATGCCTTTCCCCGACCGTTCATCCAGGAGTCTTTACTCATCCGTCAAGACTCAAGTTAAACCTTCTCTGCCAGGGAGACCCTCCCTGAGCTTCCTGGGGTGGGGAGCACACCCAGCCATGCTTGCCATCCCTCACAATGTTGCACAGGGCACTGTGACAGCCTCCACCAGGCAGAACCTCTCGGCCTGTTTCCTCCAGCACCTCCTCTGCTTCCAGATTGTGCCAGGACACAGTCCACTCTGTAGACAGCATCAAGTCCTCCTTCGCAGAAGAGGGAGCTAAGAAGGGGTCCCAGTAAGGCTGATGGGCTTCTCAGGCCCCTCCAAAGCCTGCCCAAGCTGACGCTGCTTCCACGTGCTGGAGCTCTGGCCTTGGGAAGCTGGGGAGGCTGCTCATCCCAAGCCAGACCGCCCAGGCCCCAGCCCCGTTACTCCAGGCTCTGAGAGGAGGGAAAGGCTGAGTGTGTTCCAGCCCTGACTTTTTCCCCTCACTGGCTGCAACCAAGAACGGGGTTTACCCACTACCCTCAGATGTAAGGATGGATCCGTTTCCGGCTCATTGCCGGAGCAGCAGCAGCTGCAATCGGAGAAGCAGGGCCGGCAGAGGGGCCGCCAACAGCAAGGACGTGAAAGATTCGTGTTCTGAGAATTCGTTTGCATACATCCCAGCTGTAATTTTTCCCCTTGGGAGAATGGGATGTCACAAATCTGACGCGCATTCAACAACTGGAGTAGAAAGGAAAAAAGGAGCAAGCTGCCAGGGCTTCAAAAGCAACACTTTCTTGGCAGAAAGGACATAAAAACAACTTGACAAGATAAAGGGCGTGGAGCTCTGAGCTGCACAGTGGTGGATGCTAAAGACATAATTGGCCTCTGGAAGACCAGGCAGTGCTCTGGCAGCATTGGGGAAAGTGGGCCGCAGGTGGGCAGGGGAGGGGGACCTTTCCAGCTCCTGGGACAATGACCTTATATGCTCACTACAAAGGTGTGTGTGGGGGCAGGGATAGTGTTCCTTGAGTGCCTGTGTGTGCTCTGAGCATATGAGTAGACTTTGTATGAGCTTGAATATTGTATCAGTCAGCTATTGCTACAGTAACACTGTGTAAGAAACCACTCCAAACCTAAAACGACAATGACTTATTCTTGGTCCCATTGGTTTTGGGGTCTGCTGCAACTCCACTGGGCTAGCTTGGACTTTTGGCTCTGGGCTCTGGGCTCCAGTGTCCAGGCTGTAGGTTGGGATCAGGAATGGCCCACGTGTCACATATCCTCCTTTGACCAGCAGCCCCCAGGGCACATGGTCACCTCCATGTGTCTCCTTTTGGGGCCCTGGCTGAAGGAAGAGCAGCTCCTGGAGCATGTTCTCACTGTAGATCACCAGCATGAGAGAGCAGAACTTATTGTCCAAGCACTCCCCAGGCTCTGCATGCTGGGGCTGGGTTGAGACTTGCTTTGGCCAAAGCAAGTCTCAAGGTCAAGACCAAAGTCAAGGGTCAGGGAAACATGCTCTGCTCATCATGAGGCTGTCATGTAGTAGAGAGCTGGGACCAGGAACTCTGTCTGCCACAACTCACTCAGGATGTGAGGCTTCAGGTGTCATGAGGGTTCTGAGGGCTTCAAAGTGTGTTGTCCTGTGTCTCAGTGTGTGTGAAACAACTCTGTGCATTTTTTGACTTTGGTGCAACCATCGGTCCACTCCCAGATGAACATCAGAAATTATTTTAGTGAAATCATGGATGGAGGTCACAGGAGAGAAATGCCCAGGGTTGTAGGACTGTTAGCATTGTGGGAATTTTAGAGCAAAGTTATAAAATCTGCCCCAGATAGAGAAGCTGATAAACCACACGAAGCCTCTCTGTGTATCCATCACCTCTAAGGTATGGAATTTTTTGATCTTATCACCAGCTTGTAACAAGGGGGTGGGTGCAGCCAAAAAGGATTAATTTTCCAATCTATTACAGGGAGCCCAGCAATCTATTACTTGGAGGCCACAGAAGAGAAGTTGGAATGAAAGTGAGGATTGAGGGACTTCTCCCCATGCAAACTGAGTTGAAAGCATCCCCACAGGTGAGGAGAAAGGCCAGGTCTCCACAGAGAGCTGTTCTCCAGGGGAGGGACAAAAATAAATGTATTGATCCGAGAGCTTCAGGTAAGAGGCTTTCGCAGTCAGTGTGTTCTCCGCACAACACGAGACGGCAGAAACGTTCTCCAGTGGCACATTAAGCTGTTCCTCATCAGCCTTCAGGCAACAGAGCCAAATTTCCCCTGTTAGTTACACTTGCCTTTTATTTTTCACGAGATGAATTTTTAATTTTTAAGATAGTATTGGGAAAATTTCAAAGTGTCTGCACAAGGCAGGCTCCAAATGTGCTGTGTATTTGGTCAAAGCATCAGGGCTTCCAGATGGGTCACTATAGCACCACGAGAAGAAACACAAGTTGGCTTCCTCCAGCCTTAGGAAGTGGGCTTGTGCCTGGGGCCCTGAGTCACCCACTGCTGTGGACTAGGTGTTGCCTTTGACTCCTGGTCTGGGGCATCTCCTGAGCACTGACTTGGTGCCAGGCACTGTGCTAGGCTCTGGAACTATAGCACAAACCAAGACAGACAGCATGGTATCTTAGTCCTTCGAGCTGCCATAACCAAGCACTATAGATTATTACAGCACTTACAATAGACAACAGAAATTTATTTCTCACAGTTCTGGAGGCTGGAAGTCCAAGGTCAGGGTGCAAGCATGTTGGGTTCTGGGGAGGGCCCTCTTCCAGGCTGTAGGCTGCTGACTTCTCCCTGTGTCCTCACATCGGAGAAAGAGGAGAAGAGAGCTCTCTGGGGTCCCTTTTACAAGGGCCTAATCCCATTTCTAAGGGCTCCATTCCATGACCTAATCACCTCCCAGAGCCCCTGTCTCCTAATACCATCACCTTGAGGATTAGGATTTCGACATAGGAATTTGAGGGGGACACATATTCAGACCATAACATGTGGTCTTTGCCTTTACCAAGCTTATAGTCTACTGGGAGCCAAACCTGAAAGAAAGAAACTGACAAGCTTAATAACTGAGCCAAGAATGAACCTGCGAGGAGCTGAAGTTGCAGGTAGCAGGAGAGACCTCTTTAGACCTTACCTGGGCTGAGGGTACCACAGGTGGGTGCCTGCAGCTGTGCTGTAATGAGAACGATGTCTCCCAGTGATTGGATTGCTAGGAGGGGCCACTGAGCTGGTTCAGCCTGACCTAGGATGAATGCTCATCCCAGGTTTAGGCCCCTGCCCTCTCTAAAGCTGAGGTCCTGCCTCCAGCCTCAGAATGCACCCTGGCCCTGCATTGGAGCCAGATGACCTGCAGGCCTGTTTTAGGCCCTCCAGAGGCAGGTGACAGTGATCACTACCAGCCCTTGCACACGGTATTCCTCTCTCTTCCGTCCTGCTGGTAACGTCCGGCATCACCACAGAGTCCAAAGGCAGAAAACATAGAGGAGATTGAGACAGCCGGGTCTCAGGAGCTGCCATCTTCTCATCCTATGCCTGCCTCCTCCTCTCGGTGTCCCTTTGGCGTCTGCAGATTCCAAGGCTCCGACAACCCTCCAATTATGGTGCCTGCTTAGGGCCTGCGGTAAGAAATTTGCTAACAAGGTCAGGAACAGGCCTGCCTCTGCAATGAAATCAATTAAGATCAAAGGAGCATCCAATGCCCGCACGGGAAGGGGCCTTCCTTCCTCACTTGCTTGCTCACCTGGGGGTGTTTGGGGAGCAGGTGCACGTGCTTGCTACTAATGCTGGGTGCCTGCAGGAAGCAGGAAGGTGCTGTCCCTCCCGCAGGACGCTGGAGCTGAGGGTGTCTTACGGGGCACCGTGAGCTAGACTGCAAAGGACCAGGAGAGGGGTGGATGTGGAGCAGTGGATGGCACATTTAGAGTGGGGGATTGAGGAAGGCTGGGAGAAGTTACCTAGGTGTGGCAGGCTGCTTGTCTGCAGTTCTCTGTTAGGGACTAAATGCGTCCCCCTTAAATTCATATGTTGAAATCCACTCCCAGTATGGGCACTTTGAGATGTGATTAGGTCATGAGGGTGGACCCTCATGAATGGGATTGGGCCCTTATAAAAGGGACCCCAGAGAGCTTCCTCCCCCTGCTCCCACCATGAGAAGGTATGGGGAGAAGTCAGCTGTCTGCAGCCTAGAAGAGGGCCCTCCGGAGAACCTGACCGTGCTGGCACCCTCATCTTGGACTTTCAGCCTCCAGAACTGTAAGAAATCAATTCTGTTGTTTAAAAGTCACCCAGTCCTGGCCAGCTGCGCCGGCTCACTCCCTAATCCCAGCACTTTGGGAGGCCGAGGCAGGAGGATTGCTTCAGCTCACAAATTTGAGACCAGCCTGGGCAACATAGTGGGATGCATCCTGTTTCTACAAAACAAGTTTTAAAAATTAGCCAGGCATGGTAGAGTGTGCCTGTAGTTCCAGCTACTGGGGAGGGTGAGGCAGAGGGATCGCTTGAGCCTGGGAGGTTGAGGCTGCAGTGAGCTATGATTGTGCCACTCCAGCCTGGATGACAGAGTGAGACCCTGTCTCAAAAAAATAGTCACCCAACCCCGTGGTGCCTTTTAAAAATAGCAGACTGAGGCTGGGCGCAGTGCTCACACCTGTAATCCCAGCACTTTGGGAGGCTAAGGCGGGCAGATCACGAGGTCAGGAGACCAAGATCATCCTGGCCAACATGGTGAAACCCCATCTCTACTAAACATACAAAAATTAGCTGGGCTTGGTGGCGCATGCCTATAATCCCAGCTACTCGGGAGACTGAGGCAGGAGAATCGCTTGAACCCAGGAGACAGAGGTTGCAGTGGGTGGAGATTGCGCCACTGCACTCCAGCCTGGCGACACAGTGAGACTCCATCTCAAAAAATAAAATAAAATAAAATAAAATAAAATAAAATAAAATGAAATAAAATATTAAAAAAAAATAGCAGACTGAACTCACAAAAACATTTTCCTTCATCCATTTACCCTTCCCCTGTTTAGAGGGATGTTGGGGTTGGCTGGAGAGGAAGAATCTGGCCTGGAGTTTTCAAATGCTGGAATTTTGGCCTAATAAGGGATTTTGATGACTACTTGTTTTTTACCACAAGGGAAAAGAAAATTCTCCAGGCTCGGGGAGAGGGGCGAGGACTGGAGCTGGACACTGATGTAGGTGTGAGATGCATCCTCTCCCCACCAAGGCCCAGGGAAGGAGGGAGGGTGGATTTGGAAACGCAGGGACAGAGAAGACCTGCACCCTCCCCCTCCCTCAGGCCAACCACGTCCACAGCACATGATCTACGATTTCTAGTTTTGCTTCACTTTTAAGTGGAAAAAGAGCGTAAATACTGTGGAGCGATGTGTCTTAGACTCCTTCCAGGTTTTTATCATTTTCTCCAGTCTCTCACAGATGGCAACCTACCCATCGATTTGATGGACAGCATTTTTAGCAACTTATCTCTACCAAGTCTTACCTGAGTATTCAACTTAGTTTTCATAGAAGCAGCAGCTCTCTTTTTTACATTTATATTTCATTGGTTTAACTAATATTTAAGGAAATTACATGATATGGTTTGGATTTGTGTCTTCACCCAGATCTCATGTCGAATCGGAGGAGGGGCCTGGTGGGAGGTGATTGGATCGTGGGGGCAGATTTCCCCTTTGCTGTTCTAACGATGAGTGAGTTCTCACGAGATCTGATGGTTTAAAAGTGTGGCACTTCCCTTTTGCTCTTTCTCCCTCTCCTGCCACCGTAGGAAGAAGGTGCTTGTTTC
The DNA here is from genome assembly GCF_000001405.40 of Homo sapiens. Lineage (NCBI taxonomy): Eukaryota > Metazoa > Chordata > Mammalia > Primates > Hominidae > Homo > Homo sapiens. The sequence goes on along the minus strand of NC_000010.11, from coordinate 124,167,266 downwards.
CTCTTCGCCTTCTGCCATGATTGTAAGTTTCCTGAGGCCTCCCAGTCATGCTTCCTGTTAAGCCTGTGGAACTGTGAGTCAATTAAACCTCTTTTTTTCGTAAACTACCCAGTCTCAGGTAGTTCTTTAGAGCAGTGTGAGAACGGACTAATACATTACATAACTACAACAACAAATACAACTGGCATAAACAGGTTTGGGACCATGCCATCGGACTCTGGGTAATCTCACAGTTGGACAGATGGGAGCAGAAGTGGGAAGGCACCTGAAAGTAGCCCCTCCGCTGACAGCCTTCGTACACCAACTACATCAGGTCACTTGGTTTAGGGCAAGGCAAGGGAAAGGAAGAGTTGGCTACTCAGCCACTCTGCGAAGCGGACGCTGGGTTAGAGAGCTTCCACTGCATGTGCAAGAGAACGATTATGTTTTAGGTTTGGTTTGCCAAAAGCATACCCTAAGACAAAGATTTGAGTGCAAGTAATGCCAGCTATCCGTTTACCATGAGGCACAGGTGTGGGTGGGAGGAAGGCAGGGAAGCCAAGGTGGGCCTGTGTAGCCAAGGGAAGGCCACAGTGGGCGGTGGGAGCTTAGGCCTGCGTTAGAGCGGTGCTACCCACAAGGCAGGGAAGCGGGGCTGATCCGTCCCCCAACTCCTAGTGTTCTCGGCTGAGGACTGCTCTCGGGGGCATGAACTGCCTGGCACTGCATTGCAGCCTCTGGCTGAGTACGCTGCTGCCACTGGGAAAGTCCTTAGGCCGAGAGCTCGAGGTGATACTGATTTACCCATCGGACTTGAGAGGCACAATGCCCAGGACCCAAGATACCTTTTAGGACCCATGAAAATGCTTTCTTGCTTTTTTTTTTTTTTTTTTTTTTTTTTGAGATGGAGTCTTGCTCTGTCACCCAGGCAGGAATGCAGTGGTGCAATCTCGGCTGACTGCAACCTCCGCCTCCCAGGTTCAAGCAATTCTCCTTCCTCAGCCTCCCGAGTACCTGGGATTACAGGTGTCTGCCACCATGGCCGGCTGATTTTTGTATTTCTAGTAGAGACGGGGTTTCACCATGTTAGCCAAGCTGGTCTCAAACTCCTGACCTCAGGTGATCCTCCTTCCTCTGCCTCCCAAAGTGCTGGGATTAGTGGTGTGAGCCACCATGCTCAGCCACATGCTTTTTTATCAGAAGAAAAGTAAATAAATTTTTAAGGTGAAGAAAATGTTTTAATATATAATATGAATATATTTGTCTTTATATCAGTACAATTGTAAAATATTATTTTTAATAGATTTTTAAATGGAATGTCTTAGTCTGATCGAGTTTCCATAATGAAGAATCATAGACCTGGTGGCTTAAACAGACATTTATTTCTCACACTTCTGGAGGCTAGAAGTCCAAGATTAAGGTGCAGGGCAATTTGGTTCTTGGCAAGGGCCCTCCTCCCGGCTTGCAGACAGCCACCAACTCCCTATGTCCTCACATCCAGAGAGAGAGGAGAGAAATCTTCCTGTTTTTCTTACAAGGTCACTAATCTCATCGATGAGAACCCCACCCTTATGACTTTGCTTAGTCTTAATTACCTCCTAAAGCCCTATCTCCAATTATAATCACAGTGTGGGTTAGAACTTCAACAACCTATGCAGTTCAGAGGAGACACAATTCAATTCATAGCATGAAGGAAGGGCCCCAGGATGGGACACTATGATCGTGGTTGGAGGGGCTCACGATGAGACGCGGTCAGTGGGGCAGACACCGGGACGGCCCAGGGGCTCTAGTTGCATCACGGCAGTGAGTAGCAGATAGTAATGGTGGTAGATTCAACATAACTTGGGCAAGGGGAAAGTGAATATGGTGGGGAGCCTTGGGGAGTGAGACAGTGACAGGGGTCTCAGCCAGGCAGTGCAGTCACAGCGAGGTCACATCAGCCTTCAGGCTGAAGAGATGGAGATGGTGTGAATTTGTTGATTTAGAGGCAATGCAGTTTCAGATTTGTGATGACAGGAGGGGGCTGAGGTGGAGCCGAGATTAAAGTCCTTGGAGGCAAGAGGATTAAGGAAGGAGGAGGCAGGCCATCCCCTGCGCTATCCATGTGGGCCCAGTTGTTTAGGGTGATGGCTGCATTTGGGTGTGAGGCAGGTGGTGGCAGGTGCAGAGGTCTTAAGTGACAGAGGGGATGTGACCAACGGTGAAGGTGAGCAGAGAGCTCTTCCCTAGAGGGAAGGAGGACAATGAACCAAAAGTGTCCTGGAGGACAAGAAAGAAGACAACCTTTGGGTGACCCCGAGGAGCATGGGGTATAAGAGAAAAACAAGTATTTGCTGTTTTCCTAAGCAATAAACCTGCTCAATCCCCTCACGGTCAGGCCGAGGAAAAGGAAAATTTGTCTGAAATTCCTCCACTAGACAGAGGACAGCTGGGACTAGAACACAGCCCCTCAAACTGAATTATTCAAGCTAATTTTAAAAGGGAGTTTATTAGACTGTGGAGTTTATTAGACTACGTTCTTGGTCAGCAAGATAAAATATTGAATAGTTGTCTATCCTCCCTCAAGTTCATGTATGGATTATAAATACAATTACAATCAAAGTCCCCTAAAGGCGTTTTAAAATCAATGTGCTTTGAAGTCTTGTGTGAAACAAAGAAACAGCCAAAACTTTCAAAGAATGTTATTGAAATTAAGAGCAACAAAGTGAGGGGTAGAGAGGGACAGTGGTGTGGGCTGAGCCGCACCCAAGAGCAGATGATAAAGCAAAGCTATTGAGAGCTCAGAGCTGGCTCCTGCACAAAGACACCACAAGACAGCCCAGGGAATCCAGAAACAGGCCTGGGTATGAAGCAGATCAACACATGGTCAAGTCCACTCTCCAAAACAAGCCCTAAGGAGGAAGTGCTTTTGAATTGTGTTGGATAATGGAATAGTCATTTAGGATAAAAGACCAGGTTGGATCCACACGACATCATACACTCAATAAACTCAAGGTTGATTAAAGTGTTAAATATGAAAAACTAAATTTTAGATAAACAAGCAGAACAGAAAATAGAATATTTATCAGATTTGTGGATGAATTGCTCATCTCACAAGCAGTAGAAACAACTTCAAAGACAAAGATTGAGTTGAATGTGGAAGGTCTACAAACTTTCAAATAATGACAGTAACAGAAAAAAAAATGAAGGCCCAACACACTGGGAGAACACTTACACCGAAAATGAAAACAACATCGTTGCCAAATATGACTGGCAAAGAATGAGCAGGTATAATGTCTAAAGAGCTCACCCAAATGTATAAAAATATGCAGACTCCCAAAAATAACAAAGCAGAGGCTGTATAAAGCATTCATGAGAGAAGAGCAAATTGTTAATAATTAAAGAGATAGAGCTTGGGATACCATTTTGCATTAATTTAAAAACTAGTTATTTTGAACAGTTTGATCTTGAGCCACTGAAGCTAAGGGGAAGCGGTCAAACTCACTGATACTTGCAGGATACTTGCAGCATTTTCAGTAGGGATAATGTGATTGGAAAGGAAAATGGAGATATGAAGCAAGAACCATAAAGATTTGTCCAACCTGACTCCTTATTCCCCATCTGAAACTCTGTGCTAAGGAGACGATCAAATGGGAGCAAGAGCCACATGCACTAAGATCCTCGCCATCATCTTTAATAGTAAAATGATGTTTTACTACTAAACACATTATTTATATTATTACATATTATTAAACATACTATTTATATGACAAAAATAGTCACCGTGTTAGGGCTATGGTTTAAATAATTTGGGAGAAAGAATTCCTTCCATCCTTCCTTCCCTCCCTTCTTTCCTTCCTTCCTTCCCTTCTTTCCTTCCTTCCTTCCCTCCCTCCCTCCCTGCTTCCTCTCTTCCCTTCCTTTCCCTTCCTTTCCCTTCCCCTCCTCCCTCCTTTCCTTCCTTCCTTCTCCCTCCCTCCCTCCATCCCCATTAAACATACTATTTATAAATAGTAAAAGAAAACATAGAGAAACAGAAATGACCTAAATGTCCCAAAATAAGAAAAGAGTTATATTGTGGCATATCTACTCAGTGGAGTATATTTAGCCATTAAACCCACAAGGAGAAAAACAAAAATAGTCACCATCTTAGGGCTATGGTTTAAATAATTTGGGAGAAAGAATTCCTGCCTGCCTGCCTGCCTGCCTGCCTGGCTGCCTGCCTGCCTGCCTGCCTGCCTGCCTGCTTGCCTTCCTGCCTTCCTTCCTCCTGCCTGCCTGCCTTCCTCCCTCCTTCCCCCTTCCCTCCCTCCCTCCCTCCCTCCCTCCGCAGCAGAGTGGACCATGCACCGAGTCAACAGACTCTGGGAGGCTGTAGAATGCTGATAATGCTCTCAATTCTCCAGGACTAGAAGTGGGCAGGGGCTTGGGGGACCGGAGGGGGTGCGAACCTCCTCTTATCGGCCAAACAGGTACACCCCCGTTAGGCAGAAATCCAAGGAATGGAACATTAGAAATTCAATCTACACATTTAGAAAAATCATGTATGCTAGTTATAGATATATTGCCAGGTGAACATAAAATTCTATTTTGGGAGTGTCTGAAAAAAATTCACCTCCTGGTGAAAATATGTCACATTTGCAGCAAACCACACATCTCACACTTCCAGTTCCCACATCCTGGATTAGCAGGGGAGCTTGTTTTTCCCAGGCTCTTCTATCCATTTATTCCTTTTGGGAGTTGCCACGGTGGGGTGGGGTCTTCATGTGGAACCACTGCTGTGGGTCTCCACACTGCAGACCCTCCCTTCCAGCAACTGCTGCCTTCCTCTTCTTGCTGCCCACTGACCACCATGCTCCACTGTTCCTAGGCTACTGCCAAAGCCCTCCGAGTGTCTACTTCCACTCCGCTCCCAGATCCCCGGTGCCCAGCCCCTCTGCCTTGATGCCACGGCTCCTCCTCTGCCTCCTCACTCTGTCCCCATCTTGATACCACCTCAGGGACTGGGCACAGGTTCCCTAGCAAGGCTGTTGGCTCCTAGGGAAGCACTCACCCCTCTCTACTGCAGCCTCTTCTCTCCAGAGTTCATAGGTACTGCTGTGGGAGGCTGGGAGGGAGTAAATACCGTGTCAAGGCGTGGCCCAGTCAGCCTCATTCTGCATCCTCCTATCTGGACCACCTTCTCTGTCTGGCCAGCTGGCCAACTCCTTCACTTCTGGTGACTTTCTCTCAGGCTCCACTGTTGCTGCTCCTTGTCAGACCCCATTTGGGGACCCCCTCACCAGTCTATCTTAAAGGATCTGGCAGTGTCACCTGCTGTTATTGACTTGGTTTAAGTTCTCACCCCAGGATCCTGGGGTCAACAGGGGTGGTCGGTGGTTGTTTTCATGTTCCAGGGCCTTCAGTTAAAGAAGAGGGTTGGAGAGTCTGCTCTGTTCAGGGCACACTGGGGACCCTGGGGCAATATGGCCTTTGTCTCATACCAAGCCGGTAGAGCCCCGTTGGTGAGCAAATCAGAGGACCCACAGAGGGGGCCCTGGCCCCATGCCCATCTGCACTAGGGAGAGAGGGAGACCCAGGACAGACAGACCCCAGTGAATCCTTGGATACACTCAAGCCGGAAGCCCACTCTGCCCTGGTCTTAGTGAGGCAATTCTATGGAGTTTGTCCAAGATGGGTTTCTGACCTGCAACGCAAGAGTCCTGAGGACTGCAAGAACTACTCACTACTTCTTAACTTTTATAAGTCATCTCATCGTGCAGATTCATGGGGGCGAGGGAGTGGCTGCCACACGCTTGGGGTGGGATCAGGGAAGGAGCCACAGGCTGCCCAACCAAAGCCAGCTGGGCATCTTGGTGACAGGGAGCAGATGAAACCAGCAGTCCTCTGTGGCCACAAGCAGGACCTGAGCCCCTCTCTGGGTCAGCGGGTGGAGGCGGCAGCCTGGGCTGGTCCCCAGGGTGGCAGTGCTGTTCCCACAAAAAACGCAGGGGGAAAAAGAGCAAGAAGCTCCTGCATCGGCCCATCCCGTGCCCAACAGCACGTGTTGCTGATGAATTTCTGACAGCGTGGACCCATCTGAGAAATCCGAGGAGGCCCAGCATGTCTCTTCCAGAGAAGTGAACTTTAATTTATTTAAATGTAATGGAAAAGCATATGGAGGAGAACGGAAAACTAATTTGAAATAGTGCTCAAAGCAATCAATATGTTAACTGGTTCCTTCAACTTTTGCTTGGCTGCAGAAATAAAAACAAACAAAAAAAAAACAAAAAAACCCCACAAAAAACGTTTAAAATGTAAGCCAGTCTCTTCCATCCCCTCCTTCTGTATTATGAAAACACTGTTTTTGATGTTTGGGGCTGAATTCTTTGGAGTTAAAATCAGCCAGTCTTGTAAACATTAAAATATGCATTTGGAAATATAAATCACTGGATGAAGTTGGAAGTGGTATTGGAGATAATTTTAGTAAAAACCAAAACAAAAACTGGTTTTGGGTGTGCCATAGCAGGTGAAGCAGATGAAGTCTTTTAGATCAAACTAGAGTTTCCTCTGTGCATTTGTTTTCTCATCTGCAAACTGGGCACAGCTGTCCTTTCTTAACGTTCTTGTAAGAATTTAGTGGGATGAGTCTGCTTCGCAAACTGCAAAGCTGTTCAGCTGCTCATTTTGAACGTGAGTTGCATTCCTCCCTTTCCTGAGAGACCACCGGTTCTTCGAGGCTGGGGTCGTTCTCCTTCCAGCACGTGCCTCAGAGGAGACAGCCTGGGGCTGAGCATCCTGGCCCCAAGGACATGCTGGATTCGGCTGGGCTGAATTGAGGAAACCAAGGTTGACCTACTACCTCCTAGCCTGTTTGTACCCAGTGCCGCAGTGTCTAACATCCACCATCAGTGAGTCATCCCTTTGTTACACTCTGCACTCTTCTTTTCTGGTGATGTGTAGAGCAGAGGTACCCAACCCCGTTGGGAACGGGCCGCACAGGAGGAGGTGAGTGGCAAGCTAACATCACTGCCTGAGCTCCGCCCCCTGTCAGATCTACCGCAGCATTGGGTTCTCATAGGAACATGAACTCTATCGTGAACTGTGCATGCGAGGGATCTAGGCTGTGCACTCCTTATGAGAATCCAATCTCCGACGAAACGATCCCCTCCTCACCCGTGGTCCGTGGAAAAATTGTATTCCGCGAAACTGGCCCCTGGTGCCAAAAAGGTTGGGGACCGCTGGGAAGAACAGAGGCTTTGCAGCAATGGGCTTGAGCTTGAGTTCTGTGTCCAGCAGGCTTCTTGGGTGCAGGACTTTACAGAGTCCCTCATGCTTCAGGTCCTGTGTCTGTGATGTGCTGTGGGTGTTTGTAGGGAAGGAGTCAGGCACAACACCTTCTCAATCAGAGGCTCTCTTTATTTCTTCCAACGACAAATCCCCAGGGTACGAGTGCATTGAGAACACTCACAGTGCAGTGCTGGGGACTGAGTTGGCCCTGCCCTCCCACTGGGGCTGGGACAACGGCTGAAGGCAACCTGCACGTGGTGGAAGTGGGTGCTGAGTGAGGAAAGCTGTGCTGGTTTTGGGGTCTTTGCATATATACATTGCCATCTCCTTTCTCCCGTTCTGATGCCAATAGCGGCCTTTTAAATGGAAATCAAGCCCACTCAATGACAGGCATCTCCTCCTGGGTTTTGGTACTTCCTTATTCCTGAAAGCACTTCAAGGTCAACTGTTTCCAGATTGAAATTTGGAAACTGACTGGCAGACGCCATCAGAATCCTGATTCTCACTCCCTCTCAGCGTTGACCTTCGTAGGGGCTGGACCACGTTAAGATGCTGGGGCTTCTTCCTGTTCTGCTGCCAGGTGCACGGAGCCCTCATTTGCTTATATATTAAAGGAAGAGGGAAAAAAGCTGCAGGACCATTTTAGAATTTCATATGTAATCAAAATCTGCCTAATTGCATTTTCTCCTGGAGAAAAGAGCATTTCAGGGCTATTGAGTTACCTCCTAGCCTCATTTAAAGGTGGGCTTCATTTCCATAAAGTGTCCCCAACGGGGCTTCCCTGCCTGAGAGACTGAGACACTGTCAGCATTCTTCTTCCAGGAGGGGTGTCTTAGCTTGCCAAGAACCTGCTGGCTTAAATGTCATCAGGTTTACTGAAAATGTCTTTCACCAGGTGCCCAGGGGTGGCTTCTAGAAGGTTAAAGGGTTGTAGGGCTGTTCCCCAAATAGAAGGCAAGATCCTGGAAAGCTAAGGTGGTTCCTTTCTCCCATGTAGACCTACAAGCCTCATGGAAAGAGAGGACTGTGGTTAAACCCAGCTACCAGGGGCAGGATCTGTGTGATGTCTCAGAAAGCAATGGAGTCTGTGCAAAGGGTGACTTTCTAAGGATGTTATTCACGTCCTGTCAGAAAGCCAGGTGGGGCAACCAAATTGTCACCCCAGAAGAAATGAAGGGAACCTGAGAGCAACACCTCCCAGAATAAGCAATGGGGCTGGCCCCTCCTACCACGCAGCCATAGGGCTGGCCCCTCCTACCACGCAGCCATAGGGCTGGCCCCTCCTACCACGCAGCCATAGGGATGGCCCCTCCTACCACGCAGCTGTACACACTTCTGTGCAGTAGCCAGAACAGAACCAAGAGAACCAGATCTACAGAAACCGAGAATGGAGGCCCCAGAGAAAGTTCGAACCTTGTCTAAGTGCAGACACTGAGAATTCTTCGAAATTCTTGTAAAAACCCTAATGCCAGGCAATTATGACTTTGATGCAGGAAGCATGGGGCACAGAAGAGTGCAGCACAGGGCTGGGTGCCCACATCAGAAGCTCACTGCATGTTCATATGCACTGGGGTGGGTGAGGAGGAACATGGCGTCATGCTCCAAGTCTACCTGGGTGGTCACCAGGTGGCTTTGCAGTGATTCAGGCTTGCCAGCTCCACCTCCTACTTGATATGGTTTGGCTTCGTCCCCACCCAAATCTCATCTTGAATTGGAACTCCCGCAATTCCCACGTGTCATGGGAGGAACCCAGAGAGAGGTGATTGAATTATGGGGTGGGTCTTTCCTGTGCTGTTCTCATGATAGCAAATGAGATCTGATGGTTTTAAAAACAGGAGTTTTCCTGCACAAACTCTCTTTTTGCCTGCTGCCATCCATGTAAGATGTGACTTGCTCCTCCTTGCCTTCTGCCATGATTGTGAGGCCTCCCCAGCCATGTGGAACTGTAAGTCCATTAAACCTCTTTCTTTTGTAAATTGCCCAGTCTCAGGTATGTCTTTATCAGCAGCGTGAAAATGGACTAATACACTACTCCAACCTGTGCTGTGAACAGTCACCTCACCCATCCCACCTGTCTCATCCTCATAGTCTTACCTGAAAATGGGGATTATAGCATGCCTGCTAGTTGTTGTGAGCACCAAACTAAATAATGCACATTACATGGGTCTATAGCTCTACCTTGCCTCTATCACATACTAACAAATGCTTCTCTTCCTTACTACTGTCATTGATGATGTTGCTATTTGTAACTAATTCTTTTGCAGGCTCTATAAGGGTCTGGTGAAATAACTCCCTTGGGTGTTATTAAGGAGAAGGATTTTAACCACAGGATCCCTGACCCTGTCCATCTGGACCGTGCAGGTGGCCCTGCCCCACAGGCTGGAGCTCAGGGCTGCTGATCCAGTTGGAACACCAGACAGCCCCAGCCTGTGAGATCTGGGGCATGTTCCTTGACCCCCTCAACTGCAGACATGCTTCGGCCCCTAGTGACTGAGGGTGGCCTCCATGGAGGCTCTTTCTTCACTCTGGGAAGGATGACACTTGGGGCTGTCCTTTCTCACAGCTTGCATGTAAAGCAGTGCAGAGCGCCCCTGCTGCATGTCATATTTGAGCCATAACCGGGAGGCTGGCTCTATTTTAAAAATAGTGTTCACAACTGTGGAATGTCAGGAAGGTCTATAATTTCTCTTGGGTCGAGAGAAGAATGTAGCTTGCAGCAGCATTTGAGGAAAATGCATCTCAAATGCAGAGCTGGAGATGATGTGGTTGTCCAGCCCCTTCTTCCCGCCGCCTGGGTCTCCTGGGTTGGAGAATTGGACACTGTAGGCCCTGGAGGAGTATCCTGGGTGGACTGTACCTGGGCTGAGCTGCCATCGACACTAGGAAGCTCTTTATTAGCACTTCTGAGTCAGGAGCACCAGACTGTTGCCGTGGCAGTGGCTGGGGTGTCAGGGGAGAGGACCTGTCTCATGAGCCGGTGGGGAGGCCTAAATGCACCCCAAATGCTTGGTACAGTCTTGTCACATGGGGGCGCTCAGCAGATGCCCACTCTTACAATGACGAGGAGATCTGGGTCCTTCCCCATTCTGTGTGCCCGGTTATCACTGTCCCTCTTATGGGTCACACCTGAGCTAATTAGGATACCACTGGGTAGGTCCCACACCTGGGCTCTCAGCTGCAGCTGGACCCCAGGAAGAGTGTGGCTGGTCACACAGGGCTGAGGGGAATGTGTGCTTTGGCCATCAGGGTCCAAGGATGCAGCCGTCCGAGGCAGGAAACCCTGAGCCAAAAGGCCACCGCTCCTGCCTGGATGGAACCCAGCCGGTGCCTGGGAGGAGGCGGGGCCAGCAGACAGGCTGGCTGTGAGCCTCCCTGGGCTTCTGCAGCCGGTGCCACTGGGGCTGCCATGTTGTCCCTCATTTCCTCTGCTGTAAGATGCGTAACTGACTCTCGAAGGAATGTGGGTGCACATCACCAGGGGCTGCACTTTTTAATAAAGGGGGCTCCAGCCGAACCCCCTGCAGCTTGGATCGGCTAAACCCTCCGGGAGTCTGTGAATTGGTCCCACAGAGCTGATACCCAGGGACCGAGGGATTTAAATCCTGGCTCCAGCTTTTTCTTCTCATACGGAAATAAAATTGTTGACCAGACGTCTACTCCGGCCATCAAGGCTTTCACACTGCTGAGTAGGAAGTTTGGTTTCTAACCCATATCAAAAATCCCGCAGGAAACAAACGAGGCTTGTGCCAAGGGAGCAGGGCTTCCCTGAGATGAAACTCAGCTGCTCTAAAACGTCCAAGTTGGAGGCGAGAAAACTGGGGCAAAGGTGACAGGGCTGGGGGTGAGGATGCCAGGCCTGGCCGCTGGATTCCCGGGCTTCCTGAGGTGCCCACCCACCCCAGGCATGAGGGCAGCACCAGAGCTGTGCCCTCGCAGGGCCAGCGGGGCACCTGCACGCTTGCCTTCCTCTTCTGATCTGCCTCCTGACCACCCAGGCCCCCTAAAAGCAGAGTAACTGGCCCTTTAGGATCACTCTGGAAAGTTAAAACCTAAGAAGAGAACAAAGAGAGGCAAAGAGCCAGACACTGGTCATGGCCAAGTGACCGCGTAGGTCTGAGAGCTCTGCATTCCACAGGGCTGACCTGCGGCTGGCCTTCCGGGCAGTGGCCTGGCTGCTCGGGGGATGGGCCCTGGTGGGGGTCTCTGGACACCATTCCAGGCTGTAACAGTGGTGTTGGTGCAGGCCCCCAACAAGGGTTGCTCTGGGAGAAAGACTCCTTGCCACTGTGCATGAGGACATCATATGTGGATGTGTGGATGCATATGATCATGCGTGTGTGTGACCGTGGAAGTGAGTGTGCATGTGTGTGTGAGAGCATGGGGGGTATGCATGCATATGTATGTGAGCGTGGGGGTGAGTGCATGTGTGTGTACGCATGGGGGTGTGTGTGTGCATGCATGTGTGTGTGAGCAAGAGGTGAGTGTATATGCATGTGTGTGAGTGGGGTGAGTGTACAAGTGTGCATGCATGTGTGTGAGTGTGGGGGTGAGCGTGCATGTGTGTGAGCGTGGGGGTGAGTGTGCATTCATGTGTGTGAGTGTGGGGGTGAGTGTGCATGCATGTGTGTGAAAGTGGGGGTGAGTGTACATGCATGTGTGTGGGGGTGAGTGCAGGCATTGTGAGTGGGGGTGAGTGTGCATGCATTGTGAGTGTGGGGGTAAGTGTGCATATGTGAGCATGGGGGTGAGCATGTATGTGAGTGTGGGGGTGAGTGTGCATGTGTGTGAGCATGGGGGTGAGTGTGCATGCGTGTGTGAGCATGGGGGTAAGTGCATGCATGTGTGGGGTGAGTGCATGCATGTGTGTGAGCATGGGGATGAGTGTGCATGTGTGAGCATGGGTGTGTGTGAGTGCAGGGGTGTGCATGCGTGTGTGTGAAGGTGAGTGTGCATGCATGTGTGGGGGTGAGTGTACATGTGTGTGAGCATGGAGGTGAGTGAGTGTGGGGGTGAGTGTGCATGCATGTGTGAATGTGGGGGTGAGTGTGCATGCATGTGTGAGCATGGGGGTAAGTGTGAATGTATGTGAGCATGGGGTGAGTGGGGGGTGAGTGTGTATGTGAGTGTGGGGGTGAGTGCATGTATGTGAGCATGTGGGTGAGTGTGCATGTGTGTGGGTGAGTGTGCATGCATGTTTGTGAGTGTGGAGGTGTTTTTGTGTGTGAGCGTGGGGGTGAGTGTGCATGCATGTGAGCATGGGGTGAATGTGCATGTGAGTGTGGGGGGTGAGTGTGCATGTGTGTGGGGTGAGTGTGCATGTGTGTGAGTGGGGTGAGTGTGCATGTGTGAGTGGGGTGAGTGTGCGAGTGTGTGAGTGGGGTGAGTGTGCGAGGGTGTGTGAGCATGAGGGTGAGTGTGCGAGTGTGTGTGAGCATGAGGGTGAGTGTGCATGCATGTGTGTGAGTGTGGGCATGCGTGTGTGGGGGGGTGAATGTGCATGCATGTGTGAGTGTGGGGGTGAGTGTGCATGTGTGTGTGGGGGGAGGGGTGGCTGCATGTGTGTGTGGGGGTTATGCCTGTGAGTATATATGTGTAGGTGAGCCTACATGTAAGTGTGAGTGTGCCTGTGTGTAAGGGTGTATGTGTGAGTGTGCCTGTGTGTAAGGATGTATAAGTGCTGTCCGCATATGTGTATTTATGTGTGAATGAGGGTGTGAGTGTGCCTGTGTGTATGTAGAGGTGTTTGTGGGTGTGAGCGTGTCTGTGTGTGTCTGTATGTGTGTGTGCCTGTGCTTATGTGTGTGTGTGTGTGTGAGTGGACCTATGCGTATGTATAAGTGTGTGTGAGTGAGGGTGAGTGTGCCTGTGTGTAGAGGTGTGTGTGTGTGCCTGTATGAGTGTAAGAGTGGGTGTGAGTGCCTGTGCGTATATATGAGTGTGTGTGAGTGGGCCTATGAGTATGTCTGTGAGGGTGTGCCTGTGTGTATACATGAGTGTGTGTGAGAGAGTGGGCCTGTGTGTATGTATAAGTGTGTGTAAGGGCGAGTATGCCTGTGTGTATGTAGAGGGGTGTGAGTGTGGCTGTGTGTATAAGTGTGTGAGTGTGCTTGTGTGTAAGTATGTATACATGTGCGTGAGGGTGAGTGTACCTGTGTGTAAGTGCATGTGTGTGCCTGTGCCTGTATGTGTGAGTGGGTGTGAGTGCCTGTGCCTGTGTGTATGTGTGTGTGTGAGTGGGTGTGAGTGCCTGTATGTATAGGTGTATGTATGTGTGTGTGCCTGTGTGTAAGTGTGTGTGTGTGAGTGTGGCTGTGCATATGTATAAGTGTGTGCGAGTAAAGGTGAGTGTGCCTGTGTGTAGAGGTGTGTGTGTGTGTGCCTGTGCCTATGTGTGAGTGGGTGTGTGTGCGCCTGTCCCTGTGTGTATGTATAGGTGTATGTATATGAGTGTGTGTGTGCGCGCCTGTGTGTATGTATGAGTGTGTGTGTGACTGGGTGTGAGTGCGTGTGAGCACTTCCCACAGCACGGGCCAGTCCTCTCCCACCACACCCTTTGTGGCCCCCCTGCTGACGTGCTTCCAGCCCAGCGCCCGCAGGCCCTCGGTGCTGCCTCTCCCTCCCCCTTTCTTATTTCCCTTGCCCTGGGCACGAGCACCGTTTCCCCCCTCTGGCTCCCACCACACTCAGGGCCACCAGCTGCTCTGCTCTTCCCCAGCCTCTCCTTCCTCTGCTGGGGTGTCCCGCCTGGCTGTGTGAAGCTGCTGAGATTCTCCCCGCTCGGTCACTGCCTTCTCATCCAGGAAGACTTCCTGACTGCTGAGTCATTTCCTCCTCAGAACCACAACACTTAGCACAGTTCCCCGGGGTTGGGTACACCTGGTGTTATCTGTTTTGTTCTGGGAAGGAGGGGGTGGCAACAGGACACCTGTGGAGTTAAATCCTGGCACTGCCATCTCCCCGCTGGGGGACCGTGGGCGGATTACTCTGAGGCCCTAAGCTTCGAATGGAGCCAGTAATTCTGCCCTCACAGGCTGCTGGGAGGATGAGCTGAGGGGATCCTATGGCACGAATGGGAAGGGCAGGCATTGCTGGCCCCTCTCCCTGGCCACAAGGGTGGTGCCCTGGTGCTAACTCGGTACCTCAGTGCCCAGCCCAGGGGCCGGCCCTCCGCGGGGCTGGTGCATGGGTGCAGAGCTGAACTGCCCTGTGCTGAGTTGAATTTACGTCAGGGGCTTTCTGTGGGTGTCGGGGACTCAGGGAGAGTGGGCAGTGCAGGGGCTGAACTGGGTTTGAATGTGGCTCCGCCTTGGACTAGACAGGGGCTTGGATGCCCGTCTCTGGGGATAATGACGCTGATCTCGCAGAGATCGAGGCAACACCCAAGCTGTGCTGGCCCCACTCCAGGTGGACACTAAACGTGGCAGCCACCCGCCCCGCGTTTCCTCCTGTCACCTCTCTCTTCTGCGACCCTCTGCTTCCTCTGCCCTTTTTCTCGTCTGGGCTGAGAGGCCCTGCGAGGGACCCCCTTGCTCCCCGGTGACAAGAAGAGTGGGAGGGGCAGACTGGAGGGGCGCTGTGCCCCGTGGTCTCACCGGGGGCCTCCGATGCCGCAGGGCAGGGCCCGCAGGCTGCCTTAAGCAAACAGCGGAGCTCTGGACTGAGTCAGCAGACAGGACTGTGCTGGGAGGAGCTCCAAGGAAACCCTCAGAGGATGGCATTGCAGGAACTCTGCCTAGGCTCCCAAAGCAAGGGAGAAAGCTTCCCAGCGGCCTGGCTCGGGCCAACTTACCACGCCTTGGCTGACAGTCCCGCCAAGACAGGGGCTATGCAGAGGCAGTTTCCCCAAATCAAAGTCTGCCAGCCACTCGCAGAAGAAAAGGGGCTGCCTGTGGGGCAGGGAAAGGTCACCCAGGACCCCCACCGCCCAGCGGAAGCCAGGAGCAGGGCCTGGCCTCTTTCTTGCCTGGTTCTGGTTTCCTTGGCTCTGGGACTGCCATGGGAGATGGTTCCAACCTGCTCCATAAAGACGACTTCGGCTTCACCAAGTGGCCATCTCATCGTCCCCTGAGTCCAGGGATGGAAGCTCCCGGGGCAGTGGTGCAGGGTAGCTCTGAAGATCTGGTTTCCTGAGAGGGAAAGCCTCGCCCTGTCTTGGTGGTCGTCATCACCTGTGCTGCCCATCCTGTACCAGCCTTTCTAAGAGCTCTCCCTCTGGCTAAGACACGATCACCCAGAGTCCCTGGCGGTGCCCTCATCTCCAAAGCTGCACAGATGGGGCATTTATCTATCTGCTCAGTAAGCCTAGCTGCCAGAGTCAGCCCGTTTCCATCAGGGTCTTCTGTGCTAGCTGGGGAGCCTCTGCCATTTTCCAGCCTCCCTGAGCCTCTGTCCCAGCGTGGGGTGGGGTTGATAATGACACCTTTTCACAGGCTCATTGTGAGGATAGAATGGGAAAATGCACCCATAACTGCAGTCTCCCTGGGCCCCCTTGAGCCCAGTGTCTATACACTGGCCCGAGGAGAACACAAGTTAGACCCCAGACAGGTGGAAGACAATGTGTGCAGGGGTCTCTTAATCCAACAGGACACAGTAGAGCTCCCCCAAATTCCCATCTGAGCATTTCTCTTCATGTGCGAGTCCCCTCTCTGTGACAGTCTCCTAGCTGCTGCCTGTCCCCAGCATGAGGCTAGCCTCCTCTCTCCTACCTTCCCTCCCGCTGCCTGCCAGTGAAGGAAAGCCTCCTTGCCCTCTCTTGGTCTCTCTCATTTGCATCTCTTCCAGAAATTTGATTTCTGAGCTGCATGAACAAAGGGTTCGCTTTCCTAGTTGGACGATGACAGGTGCTTGGAGGCACTCGTGACCTTGTTGTATTTCTCCACTGTCACATGTGGAGTTCTACATGGCACATGGCCCCTTTGGGCGGTTGACTTGAGACTGGTTCGTGTGGCTGCTGTTGCTGCTGCTGTCATTGTGGTTCCCAGGTGAGTGGCCCCTTCCACGCCTGGGGACAGGGATCCTCTAGACGCACCGGGGCTACTGATGTGTCTGGGGGCTGCTCAGAGGTGCTGGCTTTCAAGGCCCAGCTGCCTCGGCTTGGGGGCTTCCCTCTGGGTTGGCAGTTTCTGCACCTAGCCCGTAGGTTGATTCTGGACCTGGGTCTTTCTTGTGCCCAAATAGCCCAGCCGGAAGTCAGGGCTCAGCATGCTTTTTGCATTATAGGTTTTCATTCAATTTCATTATGGAGAGCATGTTGATGTCAAGCGGGACTGCGAGCTGGTCACGCCTCTGCCCGGAGCCTTCCCTGGCTCCCCAGCCCTGTCAGGACAAAGGCCTGGCTCTTTAGGCTCTTTAGGCACCTTGGTGGGCTGGGCTCTGCTTGCCTCTCAGCTGTCCCTGAACTTAACCTCAGGTCCTTTGCACGTGCTGTTCTCGCTGTCTGCAGCAATCTTACAAACCTGCCCCTTCTCTCAACCTGGGCTCATTCTGATTCACCTCTCAAAATTCAGATGCCTCATTCTAAGCCTCATGTGGCACTGCTCAAGAATGGGAAGACCCTCCTGGCCTCACAGGCCCCCATCCCACCCCATCAGAACACTTCTTGGTCCAGCTCAGAGTCACCTGCCTTCTTCTCTGGAGTACTCACCCCCTCCCAGCCCTACTCTGAGCTGTGTGAGGACAGGGGCTGCCCCTGCCTCGCTGCTATCCTGTCCTCAGTACCTACTGTGGGACTGAGACTCACAAAAGGTCAAACAAATGAATGAATAAACATTCTTTGTTTTTGGTTCAAATTGCATTCTTTTAGCAAAGAAAATCTTAGTTTTGGTTTAAGAGGATTTACTACAGAGTCATCTTTTAAATGATGTTACTTCCGGCTTTGGATAAAATCTTAAGAAATAGTAAACACTTTGTTTTTTATTCTCTCTTTGACATAAAATATGGTTTGTTAAGTTTCTGGAATCCTGGCTGGGTCTGGTCTCTGTAAAAAGTAAAACTTCTCAGTCAGATCAATTATTTGTTCATGGAAAAAGGAAAAAAATTCACATCCAGCAGTTTGGTTAAATGAAATCTCCCCTCCCCACCCCCTACTCCCTGAGGTTGAGGTTCCTGCAGGGCCCCTGTCAGCCAGGCCTGGGAGCAGGTGGTGGGGAGGCTGGTGCTGGTGCATTTTCTGCTTCCACTTTCGGATGATTTAATGCTCTGGGGGAAATGCTTTGAAAAGAACCCTCCTCTTGCCAGCCCTTCAGCAGGTTGGTTTAGCTTCGTAATTAGCAGCCACAATAGGAGCTAGGATAATTATCCCCCAAAGTAAAGAGAAAAACAGATGTTTTTAAAGCTGCACAGTAGAGATTTTGCCTTTCGATTGTAATAGTTTAGCACGTGAAATGAATTAGATGCCGGCTTTTCCTGGGACATCGTTTCCAAGGTAGGTTAAGGAAAACCCTGCTGTTTTCAAAAAGAACAGTCTTGGATTGGGGACGTGGGGTGGAGGCAAACACATGTGACAATTTTCAAAACCTAGCAAGAAGCAAGGGAGGCTGGATTGAATAAATTAATGAGTTTTCCGCTCCTGGGATTTGAGTTAAAGCTTTCTCATAATTGAAAATTGTGGCATGCTCCTCTGTGCTGGAACACAAAGCTACAGGTGTGTGCTTACAGCCTGGCACGGCTGTCGCATCTCACGTGGAGATTAAGAGTGGAATGCGTTGGGACTGCAGAATGGATGCCCCCGTGTCGGCTCGGAGAGGGCTCCAGGGCTGCTTTCTTTGGCTTCTCGAGCATTTCTGTGCTGCCTCCCCCATGTATTCACCACCATTCCTCCATAACTACGGGAAGGTATCTATCAGAAAGACCCTCAGTGTTACAGGAAAAGGGTCCCGATCCAGACTCCAAGAGAGGATTCTTGGATCTCACGGAAGAAAGAATTCAGGGTGAGTCAATAGTAAAGTGAAAGCAAGTTGAATGAGAAAGTAGAGGAATGAAAGAATGGCTACTCCATAGACAGAGCAGCCCTGAGGGCTGCTCGTTGCCTATTTTTATAGTTATGTCTTGGTGATATGCTAAACAAGGGGTGGATTATTCATGCCTCCCCTTTTAGACCATATAGGGTAACTTCCTGACGTTGCCATGGCATTTGTAAACTGTCATGGTGCTGGTGGGAGTGTAGCAGTGAAGATGACCAGAGGTCACTCTCGTGGCCATCTTGGTTTTAGTGGGCTTTAGCCGGCTTCTTTACTGCAGTCTGTTTCATCAGCAAGGTCTTTATTGCCTGATCTTGTGCCGACCTCCTCTCATCCTGTGACTTAGAATGCCTTAACAGTCTGGGAATGTGGCCCAGTAGGTCTCAGCCTCATTTTACCCAGCTCTTATTCAAGATGGAGTTGCTCTGGTTCACATGCCTCTGACATCAGCACAGTCTTGTTCCTGGAAGTGAATAAAAGGATCAGATCACTGGGGAGATAAAACAGCCTTAACCAAATGGGGCCCCTAGTTATGATGGGTCAACTCTCACTCTGCACTGGGCTCTTCCTGAGGCCTTCACCCTGGGCTACTTTGGAAGGCCCTCAAGAAATTTCATTTCCTTGAGGACGTGGGTTTGAATTTCAGATTTGCTGTGGATCCTCTTAATTTTTGTGGGTAGACCCTGTCTTCTTTCAAGGACTCAGTTTGTTCAACTGTAAAATGGATGTTGGTTTTGATCAGTGGTTTTCAAATAGTGCCCTGCAGAATTCTAGTTCTGAGAGACATTAAGAGATGTTACAAAAAAAAAAAAAAAAAAAAAAAAAGAACCTAGTGAATAACATCCTTCACTTGGGGCAGGCTGATTTTGCCCCTCTGGGGCTACTTGGCAATGGCTGGAAACATTTTTTGGTTGTCATAAGGTGGGAGGATGCTATGGCATCTAGGAGGTGGAGGCCAGGGAGGCTGCTAACATCCCATAATGCCCAGGATGGCTCCATAGCAAAGAAGCATCCAGTCCCAAATGTCTATAGCGTTGAGGTTGAGAAACACAGCCCTAAAATTCTAGGTCTCATTTGAATATTAAAGGCTATGGGCAGGGCTACAGTAAAGAGCTCCACTTAACTTTTAATCCAGAATTCCTTACATTCATTTGCAGGCAGATTCCCTTTTCCCCCACCAGTCTGGGATTAATGTTCCTCAGAGCATGCTCAGGAAACCCTGAACTAGATGTTATCTACCATTTGTTCCAGCTCTGACCATCTTGGACACTATAGTCAGGGAACAGAAACCCCAAGAATGACTCTGGGACTTCTCATCACCCAGCTCTGGTGCAGGGCGTCTTGCAGGGGAAGTGTCCAGGAAATTCCGGGAAAGTTGAATTGAAGCTGGTCTTAGGGCAGGTTCCCTGATGCAGAGCCTGAAACAGAGACTTATTCAAGTGGTTTATTGGAAAGGAGCTCTCAGGGAAGAGTGATGGGCAGGAAAGGAGCTAAGCAAAGGGGTGGCCTCTGCTGGAGACCTGTTTCTGCCTGAACCCCAGGAGGTGGTGGGGTGGGCTGGAGAGCTCCAGAGCTTGGGGAGCTTGGGGTGGGGGTGGTGGGGTATGAGCTGATTACAGTGTTGAAGTCACCTTGAGTGGGAGGCCCATCTATCCTTCCTTCCATGGGTCCTTCCTGCACTGGCCTTGGCCTATGAGTGGGCATAGCCTCCCAGGTAAAGCTTCACCTCTCTGGAGGTGGGGAAGGCTGTGAGCTGTTAGCAGGCCAGCCTCACAGCTTCCAGGTGCTGCCTGCAAAAGCAGGTAGAGAGAGGAGACCTGGGAGAGGCACCAGCAGCCCCTACTACAAGGTAGCACAGCATGCAAGTGCTTAGAACTCTCAAAGAGCAGGGAGCCCCACTGGCTGGAGGAAAAGGGTGGTCTTTGCTTACCCGAACTTCCCTGGACTTTTAAAACTTCTCTCCCCCAGCTTTCTGGGATGCTATTGCTGCTGAAAATCATGGAGCCCCCAAGAGTCAGAGGGCTGCTAGGGAAGAAAGTAGAGGGGGAAACCAGCCACTAGCAATGTCAGCCACTTGGTGAACACCTGCATAGACCAGGCCCTTAGCCAGGGGCTATTTCAGAGGAGGTGCCTGGGTTCTGAGTGGTCCACGATCACACAGCTGATAGGTGTCAGAGAATCAAGACTTTTGGCCTCTCTTCACACTATTCTCCACATGGGCCATAAAACCTATTCAGAATGGCGGGGTGGGGTTGACAATGAAGTAAACAAGGGTAAAATATGCAAGTACATGATGGAGTTATTTAATTAGCCTCATATTTGGAAACATGTGGCTTCAAATTGGATGCTAGTGAAACATTCTGGCCCACATCCCCTGCTCTTCTTCCCAGCCCTGAACCTCATGTTCACCATTTCATGGGAGTTAGCCACTGACACTTCCCCAGCTGTTCACAGCCATTGGAAGGTGGAGGCACTTTCTGGACAGACTTGAGAGGCAGCCTCTCTTTGTGGGAGGACACTGGACTTGGAGTCAAAGATTCCACTGCCATGGAATGACTAACAGTGGCGTTGTATCGCTTCATATGGGTTTACTGTAATTTTCCTGAGTAGTAATTTATTAGTGGACATTTAGGGTATTTTTTCCAGATTTCCCAATATTATAGGTAACAACACAATAAATATCTTTGTATATTCATCTCCACCTACATCTTGACCAATTCCCTCAGGATAAAGTCTAAAAATAGTTACAGGGTCAAATTTACCCACATCTTAAAGGCCTTTCAGAAAGACTGTGCCAATTTCAACCCCAGCATTAATCTAGGGAGATCTCATTTCTTCGCTTCCTCACTGGGCTAGGTCTTATCTTTGTTGATCTATTAGGAGAAAAATGACATCCTACTGTTTTAATTTGCCTTTTTTTTTTTTTTAATGGTGTTAACAAAATTTCAACAAATTTTGTTTAAAGATCAAATTGGCTTTTATTTGTGGTTCATGAACGGGGAAGCATCCCATTCTTGTAATAGGAAGGAGCTCCTATGGGTGGAACAGAGGAGGCAGACTTTACAGGCAGAAAAGGGCTAAAGAAACAGAAACAAAGAACAGTTTGATCACTTTGTGGTGACTTTCCTTATAGGGTTAAAGCAGACAGGACTTCCCTGATGCTGGCTAAAACTGGACTGTTTGGGAATTTGGCTATTGTCTCTCTCCCAATTTCTCAGCGTGTCAGATAACTTCAGTTGGGTGACATGTAACTTCATCTTGGTGAGGCCTTGGGCCTTGTGTGGGAGCTCTGTCCGAATCCATGGGCTCCCACATGCTCTATGTAGCAATTGTGAGGCTGATATTTTTTCCCTGTGCGGATGACCATTCGCATCTCTTCACTGGAGGTCGCCCACTCATACGCTTGGCCTGCTTTCCTGCTTGTCATCTTCTAAGCACACTTTTCTATTAAGACTCTCAACCCTTGGCGGTGAGTGGTCTACTGACTTTTTCCAGTTCATAGTTTGCCTTGTCTTCATTTTGCTGGAATCTAGTTTTGAAACCTCAACCATCCAGGTAGAGATGGTTCCCCAGGAAGTGGCTATTGGCAGAAACGCTGGTTTAAGGAAATTTCTCCTGCCCCACCCCACTCCCACGTTTAAAACTAAAAGCTCAGCTAGAACTGGAGAGTTCAGTGGGGAAGAAGTTCAAGGGGTCAAAGCATATCCTGTTCCTCATTTCACAAATCATGCTGCTAATTGCCCAATTTAGAGAGATTTGGTGGCAACACTTGGCAGCAGGATGTGAATTGCCTCACACACAGGGACAGCTGAGGATGTTTTCATTTTGTTGGGTAGTGTGCACAGGAAGTCCCACGGGGGCTTCTGGGGCCCAGAACACTGGTCCTGGAGTCAGCAGACCTGGGTGTGAGTTCCGGCTGCACTGCTGATGGAGCTCTGTGTGACCGAGTTGTCATTTAACCCCTCTGAGCTTTCTGCGTCTGTAACATAGGCCCTGTAGCATTGTCGAGACCACCCAAAGGCGGGGAGATGTGGCATGGTCCTGCCTGCATGTGGTGATCCCAGGCCTTTGAAAGGACTCCCTGGCACCACCCTTCCCCTGATTTCTGAAGGGCGGGGTGATGTATCTTTATTTCTGCCCTCACTCCATGTGCCGGGATTCCATTTCCTCTCTCCATCTGTAAAACAGAGTTGTTTCTCACAGTGCTGAGGGGAATGTGGCCACCACGTCTCTGGACTGTTTGGTTTCTCTCTGAATAGACCTCTGGGTCTTGTACTTCTCAGGACTCCCCGCTGGCTGCCTCCAGGTCCCCACTTTGCAATCACTCTTCCTGCAGGAAATAGAAACGCAACAGGGGCCTTTGTCACTAAATACACACAAATCTTGATACGGTAATGGCTCACAGCTGCCGAGCACTTCCCGGGTGCCAGGCCCTCACTCAGGGCTGCTGAGGGGTCTCCTCACACGGGCCGTCCATAGAGTGGCCCCATCAGTCTTCCCTCTGAGGGACATTGGGAGAGGACTCAGAGACCAACAGGCAACCAGATGTGCACACACAACACACAGCCAGTCACATTCATACAGACTCATATTCTCATACATCCACATCCACACACACAGACTCTTGCATAAAGACACACAAACATACACACCACATAGACATACAGACACACTCTTACACATTCTCTCACACATACTCACACAGACACATAGACACACACACGTGCTCAAACACATTCATACAAACACAGACACATCCACACAGACATACCCACTCTCATATATTTATAAAAACTCACACACATACATACACACACTTAATACACAGACTCACACATTCTCACATTCACACATGCAGTCTTACATAGTCACCAAGACACACACACAAACTCCCATATATGGGCACATTCAAAGACACACAGACATAGATACACACAGGCACACACACACACAATGGTACCAGAGCCTGTCTGTTCTGTGCACATGATCTGGTTTCTGGCCACCACATATGAAGAAGGACACATAGACAGAGGTTCACTCTGAGGAGGGTGGTCAGGGTGGCCCCCCGTGCCTCTGAGGATCCATGAAGATGCTGGGATGTCCCGTGAGGAGAAGAGATGACTCAGAGGGCCACCAAACGCTCTTGCAATGCTCCGTGAACTTTCCTGTGGAAAATCGAATGTTCTCTGAGGCCCAGAGACGTGACAAATGAGGACTGGAGGTTGGGGGAAACAGCAATAACTATTTGTTAGTGAAATGTGTGTGATGCAACTGCTATGATTTGAATATTTGTCCCCTCCAAACTCATGTTGAATCTTAATCTTCAATGTGGCAATATTGAGAGATGGGCCCTTTAAGAGGCGAATGGGTCATGAGGGCTCTGCCTTCATGAATGGATTCATCTATCCATGGATTATGGGTGAATGGATTAATGGGTTACTGTGGGAGTGGAACTGGTGGCTTTTTAAGAAGAGGAGGACAGACCTGAGCTGGCGTGCTCAGCCCATGTGAGGCCCTGGGCTGCCTCAGGACCCTGCAGAGAGTCCCCACTAGCCAGAAGAACTTCACCAGATGCAGCCCCTCAATCTTGGACTTCTCAGCTTCCAAAACTGTAAGAAATAAATTCCTTTTCTTTATAAATCCCCCAGTTTCAGGTATTCTGTTGTAAGCAACATCTCTGAACCAGGAGTTAGGATAAAGCCGTGAAGAGGGCATGGTGCCATCTTCCTCAGTTCCTCAAGTTCACGCTCTCCTAGAGAGGGACCTCTAAAAGGATGACTCAGTTATGGTCTCTGTGACACTGACAGGGGATGTGTGGGGACAGAGCTGAGGGCGGTGGCCTGAGCCCCACTGTGGGAGTGGGCTCCCTGTTACTGGCTGTATCCAAGCAGGATGGGCAGCTGGTAGACAGGGATGCTGGGGCAGGGCCTCGAGACCTGGGTGGAGGCTTGGATGAGACACACATCCCTGACTCACAAGTTGCTGCTGTTTTAGGTTTCTCACTGGGTGAGTCTATGGAAAGGAGATCAGAAAGAGGAAGTAACGACTCCTTCATCTCCCTATCCCTCGACCCCGGCCTCTGGTGGCCTTACCTGAGCATATCTCTAGTGTCAGTGGCTGGGAATAAAGACTGGCCGAGCAAGAAGTTCAGGTGATCAGTGCCTTGGTAAAACACAATAACAACAACAAAAACCTGCCAACTTCATGTTTCAGCAGATAATCAGTTGAGTTGGGGGATGGCCAAGGGGCAGAGGTTGAAGGAGGAAGACCCCCAGCTCTGCAACTGATTTGCTGTGCCTTTAGGCAAGGCACCTGCCCTCTTGGGCCTCTGCTATGATTTGAGGAGTTGCACTAGTTGGTTTTATGGCCACCCCAGCTCTGAAGGGCTGCACGTAACCCTGTACTGACTGAGCCCACAAAGGGTGGGTGGGCGGCACACCCTGCAATGGCTGCCAGGCCAAGATCAAAGGGCCAGGCAGGAATGTTTCTGGAACGATGCTATTTATGCCTTTCTGGGTTTCTGAACAAAACCCCAGAAGCAGAAACCACTTACTTCTTAGCCCCCAGAGGTTTCTTTCCGAGGGTAAGCACACTTTCCAATGTGCTAACCAAAGACAGCTGCATCAGAACCGAGACTTTTCTTTAAACTGTCATCTGTAAACCTCCACACTGGACACAGCATTTGCCTACTGTAAAGCTTGGACGATAGCTTTAAATAGATAATCCTCAGGCTTTTGCATTTCAGCTGAGGCAAAATCCACAGCCAAAAGTAAATGGGAAAATTAAAAGCTTTCAGGAGCTTACATTTTTAAAATTGCAAAGTGCACCCAGTGAGTTATATGAAATGACTCAGTGTTACTAACTGGTCCCCAACCTCCCAACCCTTGCATGAAATTGATGCTGGTCATGCGCCCACCAAGTAGGCATGAACTTTACATGATTTCTCTAAAGGTCATAAGACAGTTTGGTGTCCACTCCTTCAACCAGTCCTCACCCCAGGGGACCCAAGCATGGCCAGCTTTATGGGTGGGCACAGGGCTCTGGGCTTAGAAAGGCCTCCTGCTTGATTTAAAGTTCTGCTAGGATTGTCTCAAAATTCTAAATAATTTTTGAACAAGGGGCTCTGTGATAATATGACACATATTGAACTTTAAAGCAAAAAAAAAAAAACTCAAAATATGTAAGATGAAAACAGAAATAGAAAGAGAACTTGAGGAATCCACATTCATAGATTAACACAGCTCTATTGATCAAGCAGACAATAAAAGTGGTACAAATAATGAATTAAGTTAGATTTTATGAAAGAATACAGAAATAACCATGCAGCCAATATATAGGTATATAATTTTTAAGAATATACAGATGTTTATAAAAATGTATCATGCAGTAAATCTTGACTAAAGTCTCAACAAATACCAACAAATTAACATTATCTTAACGCTCTCTGTGAGCACAAGCGATTACATTAAAAATCAACAGGAAAAAGATAAAAAGCATGTTTGGAAGTTGCTATTGTCTGAATGTTCATGTCCCCTCAAAACTTGTATTTTGAAATCCTAACCCTCAAGGTGATAGGATTAGGAGGTGGGGCTTTGGGGGGGTGATTAGGTCAAGAGGGTGAAGCCCTCATGAATGGGACCAGTGCCCATATGAGGGGCTTGACAGAGACCTCTTACATCTTCTAACATGTGAGGGCACAGCAAAAAGGTGCCATCTATAACTCAGAAATCAGGCTCTCAGACATTGTCTCTGCCAGCACCTTGATCTTGGACTTTCCAGCCTCCGGAACAGTGAGAAATAAATTTCTGTTGTTTATAAGCCAGCCAGCATATGGGATTTTGTTACAGCAACCCAAATGGACTGACACAGAAGTTTTAAAATGTTGCCCAATAACTCATGCGTGAAAGAGGTAATCAGGGGAATTATAAAATATTTAGAACTAAAGAATAAAATAACATGGCCAGAAACAGTGGCTCATGCCTGTAATCCCAGCACTTTGGGAGGCCGAGGTGGGCGGATCACCTGAGGTCAAGAGTTTGAGACCGGCCTGGCCAACATGGTGAAACCTCGTCTCTACTAAAAATAGAAAAAATTAGCTGGGTGTTGGGGCAGGCACCTGTAATCCCAGCTACTCTGGAAGCTGAGGCAGGAGAATCACTTCAACCCAGGAGGCAGAGGTTGCAGTTAGCTGAGGTCTAGCCTGGGCAATAAGAGCGAAACTCTGTCCAAAAAAAAAAAAAAAAATAAAAGAACAGTCTAGTCAACTTTGGGATATAGCTAAAGCAGCACCCAGAGGAAAATGTGTAGCCTTAGTTATAAATAAGTTAAGGGTTCAACTGAAGTCCCTAGAAACAACCTTGAAGTAAAACTAAAAGAAAAAGACAGGCAAGAAAATGATAAATACAAGAGCAGAAATTAACAAAATAGATAATCAATTGTTATACTTGAGATACTTGAGAAATAGATAAACATGGTTTTGGACTTTCTTGTTTTCTTGGCATAAATAATTTCTTTAATAATCACACCACAAGCATGGTTATTTGTTTAATAGCTGTATTCCCTGTAAGACCATATTCTTTGCTTGTTTTGTTCACCATTTTATCTCCACAGCCTGAACCTTGATAGACAGATGTTCATTAAACATTTGGAAATGAAATGAGTGAAAGGAATCTTAGCCCTGCCATTTACTCTGCACCATTGAGCAAGTTATTTACTGAATCGGAGCCTCTCTTTCCTCATCCGTCAAACAGAGAGAAGGAAGCCTCCATCACGGGCTGCTGTGGGAACACGTTAAGCTTTTGTGCAATTCCCAGGGTAAATAGTCAATCAATGGAGAAAGGTGTAATTATGAGCCATGGAATTGGCTCTGACACTGGAGAATGCCCTGCCTGCCCAGCAGCTCCACCTCCATCAGGTCCCTGCAGTTTTCTGAAGGCACAAGAGGCAAGCTTGAGAGGAGCTGGAAAATATGGGAAAAGAGAATCACAAGGAGGCTCAACGAGGTGGCCAGTGCCGGAGGTGAGTCCGAACTGTAGAGGGGAGCCAGTGCATCCCACCCTGCCTCGGCCGCCCTGCGTGCCTTTTGCTGGAATTCTTACCCCCTAGCACTCGCATGGGTCCCTCCTTTTATCAGACGTGTCTTGATTCGGTCATTACCTTATGTTCTGGCCGTTTGCCTGTTAGCCCTAAGATCTAGCCTCCACTTTCCCCTGACCCTACTGTATATCCCTGGGTGGCTTCTGCAAAAAGTTTGCATTTCCCTGGGGAAGATGCATTTTCCAGGCATGTTTGACCTTTGGTTTCTGGTTATGTTCAGCTGATGGGAGATGTTCATGGCAGGTTGGAAGGCAGGGAGAAGGGAGAAGCCAGGATGTTTCTTCCCCCAAACCCCTCTCTGCTTTAGGAACTATCCCAGGCAGCTGCCCCATCTCCTCTGGGTTCCACATGCTACTGGGCCACTCTTCCTTGTATGTTGCCCTCTCTTGGGTTCTGGAAGCCCTTCCCTTTGTCTCTAGCTAGGGCTGGTAGCAGCTGCTGTTGTTACTAATCTCTGGATAGCCTCACCGTGTCCTTTGCCCTTTCTTCTCTTCCAGCACCTTTGGACCTAGTTCTCTATATTAAAATTCTTTTCTTAAACCGCCTGGTTGGGATCTGCTTTCTTGATTAGAGACTGAAGTTTCTTCTCAGAGAAACCTTCCCTCACCATCCTGGGAAAAGTAGCTCCAGGCTCTTTCCATCGTCTTATACCACTGGTACCCTTCTCAGCACTAACCAGTACCTGAAATGGTGAGTTCATGAATTGCTTCCTTGTTTATTGTCTTTCTCTTCCAGCGAGAATGCAGACTCCTCAATGGCGGACATGTGGTCACCCTTATATCCCCAGCACCCAGCAGAGGGCTTGGTGCATAGCAGGTGCTCAGTGAATGTTTATGTTCTGTCATTGGATGCCACTAATCTAATGCGTGACCTTAGGTTACAGGCACTTTCTGTCCCAAGTTCTCATATTCTCACCCGCCAGTAAGAGTTGGCCTTAATGTTAAATATCTGAGATTCCGTGACTTTGCTTTGCAATTACTATTATAACTCAGCCAATTTGGAAACAACTCAAAATTTCAAATTTCCTTGTCCAGAGTTGTCAGCCTGGCTAACAAATGTCAGAAATCACTAACTCCTTAGAGTGCTTTGTTCTACTGGAAGGCCATTTGTCCTGGAAAGCCATTGCTCTATATTAAGTGCTCAAGTGTGTGTACTCATTAGGAAGAAATGGAACAGAGAAGCCATCATTCAGTTTAAGCAATGACCTGACACCATGGGCAGCTTGCACAAGCCATTCCAAATACCAGTAAATACGTAATTAAGGCATTGGAGGCCAGCAAAACTCAGCCAAGTTCATTCTAAGCTGTCTCTAGCAATGCGTGGGAAAGGCTGGAGGCTTTGTGTTTTGAACTCCAAGGCAGCCACATGCTGAGCAGTCATTTTTGTGTGGACACACCACAGCACTAGGATTCTGTTGAAACAGGCATTGGGTACTAAGTATCTGGGCAGCTTCTCTCACCCCATTGCCACTGCACTCCTTGGGGCCCCCTCACTTTTTGGTCCAGACCTTTCTCCTGTGTCTCACTGGCTTTTCTGCTTCCAGAACACCCTCTCCTCTGCCCCATTCCCCTCAATCTCTCCTCCACAGTGGACTTTCTCAAATGCTTGGAGGACTGAATCACCCACCCACTTAATACCCTTAATAAGTTCCACTGGCTTCAGGACAATTTCCTGGCTCCTCAGCACTGCACGCCAGGTTACTTAGGGTCTATTCTCCAATAACCTCTGATGCCTAACTTTAGCCACCCTCTCTTGGTGTGTGCTTTATTTAATTTGATTTTATATATATATATATATTTTACACAGGGTCTCACTTTTGTCTCCCAGGCTGGAGTGCCGTGGTGTGATCACGGCTCACTGTAGCCTTGAGTTCCAGGACTCAAGTGATCCTCCCACCTCAGCCTCCCGAATAGCTGGTACTACAGGCACCTGGCTAATTAAAACAAAAATTATCTGTAGAGATGAAGTCTGACTATATTGCCCAGGTGGGTCTCAAACTCCTGGGCTCAAGTGATTCTCCTGCCTCGGTTTCCCAAAGTGTTGAGATTACAGGTGTGAGCCACTGCACCCGGCCTCGATGTGTGCTTTAAACACCATGTTTCTTGTGGTCTTCCCCTTCTACCTCCTGGTTTACCCCCCAGTATCTTTGCTTATGCTTCTGTTCCCTCCTAGAAGACTCCTTTCTTCCTCCTTCATCTGATGCTAACACATTCCTTTTTTTCCTCAATTTTTCAATAAAGTATGTGGTATCCAAGGGATATAAAGAATACACTACCAAGCTTAAGAAACAAAGTGTATCAACATGGTTAAAGCTCTTTGTGTATTCCTTCCTAATCCTTTCCTTACTGCTCCCAGGTAACCATCATTCTGAATCTTGTGTTTTACCTTTTTATAATGATCTTTGTACGTGAATGTATGCGTGCATCTCTAAGCAGTATGCACTGTTGCTTAAAATGCTTTCACATGTTATGTGAATGATATCATACTCTCTATATTCTCCTATAACTTGCCATTTTTGCCCTCTATCATGTTTTTGAGGTGCTCTGTGTTAATGCATAGAGCTCCAGTTCACACCCATTTTCAGTAAAGTACAGTATTTAAATGTGTGTGTGTGTTTCTGTGAGTGTGTGTGTTTATTCTCTCATACGACATTTGTTTTTGCTATTATTAACCTACTGCTGTGCACACTGCTAACCACATCTCCTTTGCACATGGACAAGAGCTCCTCGAGGGTATCATGCAGAAATGGAAGTGCAACTCATAGGCCCAGCATATCTTCAGTTTTACCGTATGTTGCCAAATAATTTGTTAAAATAGAGCAGTTTATATGCTGGTCAGTGGTATATAAAACATTTCTCTTCAGTCTACATGGTTGCCTAACCTTTTCTATTGACAGGTTTACAAATTCTGACAGTAAATGGATGTAAAATGGAATCCCATTGTAGTTTTGACTTGATATTTTCCCGATTATAGGCAGACTGTTGTATTTCTTCTTCTGTGAAATGCCTGTGTATAACTTTTGTCTCTATTTCTGTTTTGCCTCTAATAATTTTTTAGTGATTTGAAATATATTTTGGATAATCTTTTTAAAAGAGATGCAGGGTCATGGTGGTCTTGCTGTGTTGCCCAGTCTGGCCTCAAACTCCTGGACTCAAGGGATTCTCCCACTTTAGCCTTCCTAGGAGCTGGGACTACAAGCATGCACCCCTATGGCTGGCAATTTTTTTTTGTTGTTGGTGATATATTGCAAGTATTTTTTCCCTGTTTGTGGTTTGCCTTTTTTTGTTTGACAAAACATTTTTGTATTATTTGTATCTGATTAGCAAAATTTTTTTTATTTACTTAAATTGTTCTATTTTTTTCTTTTATGATTTATGCTTTTTGTCTTTTTTCTCCCATATAATCTGAGGTAGGGATCCAGTTTATTTGTTATGTGGATAGCCAATTTTCCCAGCACCATTTATCTAATAGTCAACCCTTCCCCCTTCCAAATGAGTCAACTTTTTTGGTTGAATAAAAGCAATGATCTCAGATATTCTTGCCTATTTTATAATTTTAAAAGGAATGTTTTTCAGTGCTTTACCATCAAATATGATGTTTATGTAGCTATTTTAAATTTATTCTGTTGGATTAAGTAAAGTACCATATTTTTCTAAATAGCCAGGAACTTTTATCATGAATGAGGGTTAAATTTTATCTAATGTCATTTTCTGTCATTAATAAGATGCCAATATTTGCCTCTAATCTCTTAATATAGTGAAATTACCAATAACTTACTAATAATAAACCATCTTTATTTCTCAAATAACCCAATTTGATGATGATGTATTATTATTTTATAGGCTTTGGTAGATTTGGGTTGTTAATGTCCTGTTAGTACTCTTGCATACATACTTCTGAGAGATGTTAGCCAGAGATTTTCCTTTCCCAAATGCTTTTACCTGGTTGAATTACCAAGGTTACACTAGCTTCACAAAATGGTCTCACCCTTTCTAGTCTCTGAAAGAGTTTACATAAGTTGGAATGAAAAGTTTGGTAGACCTCTCCAGTAAAACCATCTGGGCCTTGCAGTTTTTGGTGGAAACTAATTTAATTTGTTTAGTGGTCATAGAACTGTTCAGGTTTTCTATTTCCTCCTGAGTCAGCTTTGGTCACTGTGTTCATTAGGACTTAAGAATAAGCTTGGCCGGGCGCAATGGCTCAAGCCTGTAATCCCAACACTTTGGGAAGCCAAGGCGGGCGGATCATGAGGTCAGGAGTTTGAGAGCAGCCTGGCCAACATGGTGAAACCCTGTCTCTACTAAAAATACAAAAATTAGCCAGGCATGGTGGTGCAAGCCTGTAATCCCAGCTACTGGGAGGCTGAGGCAGGAGAATTGCTTGAACCTGGGAGGCAGAATTTGCAGTGAGCTGAGATCATGCCACTGCACTCTAGCCTGGGTGACAGAGCAATACTCCATCTTGGAAAAAAAAAAAAAAGAATAAAGAATAAGCTCAGGTGCAGTATCCTGCAGGAAGTCTTCTGTGACATCCCCTGCCCATAATAGACTAAATTATCTTCCTACTAACTTCTACATTGTATTGTCATTCATTCATTCATACAATATTTATTGAGCATCTACTATATGTACTGTTCTAGGTGCTGGGGAAAACCAGTGAACAAAATAGAAAAATTCCCTGTTCTCACAGAATGTACATCCTAGTGAGTGGAAGGGCCGTCAGTAGACAATATACATGAATGACTTGTATGACAACTACTGGAGGAAAAAGCACAGCAAAGAAGGGGTCCAAGGAGTGTCAGGACAGGCAAGGCTGCAAGTTTTAATTCAGCAGTCAGAGATGTCACTGCACACACTCCTTCTTTAGGAAATATTTATGGAGTACTTACTAGGTGCTAGGTACTAGGATTACAAAGAAGAACGAAATAGACAATATTCTTGCTTTTGTGGAGTTTATTATCTGGTGGAACACAAGTGATACATAGGTAAATAATCAAATAAATAGAAATTATAGCTATTGATGAAATAAATCAATAGGTGCTTTGATAAAGATAGCAGGAAACCTGGTGTTAAATAGGATGCTCTCTCTGAAGGGGTCCTCTGGGGCTTGGACCTGAAGCATGGGAAAGAGCGAGTGGGACAGAGCACCCCATGGAAACAATCTGCTCACCTCTTGTCTCATCCATGTGACTCTGAGCTCCTTGAAGGAAGAGATCATGAATTATTCATTCCCCATTTCCAGCATGGCACCAGGCCTGGCACATTAGAGATGCTCCACAAATGTTTGTTTACCTGTTAGGTAGAAGAAATCAAGAGTAAGAGCTGAAAAACATTTGAAAATTGCCGTTTGTTGGCTGGAAGAAACAAAGTTCATCATGCAGTTGGCTGACATCTATTCAACAAACACTAACCGTGCCTGGCAGTGGGTTACAGGTTGCGTGGAAGACCCCCTCTTTGAGGCGTTTTAATCCGGACGGAGAGGCAGACTGGAGTTATTCTCATTCGAGGCAGATCCAGGCCCGGGCAGTCCCAGCAAAGGGGTGGGTGTGTGGTCTGGCAGTGGGCCAGGGGGTGTGCTCCCATCAATGTTGCCCAGCCTGGATGTGCCATGCCCTGTGGATGGAAAGGTGGATGTGGTGTTTGAGCTGGCCTGGGTCCTCCCTGGCTCAGGGCCCTGGAGACAGATCTGAGTAGTGACCAAACTTGAGGGAAGGGTCAGCTCCTGCTGCCAATCACCTGGGCTTCTTGCTGACAGCAGGACACAGCCAACCTTGTTGAGAAGACAGCCACACAGATGTCATGGGGTGTCCAAAGACAGTGTGTAGCTCCTTCTAAGGCACCGGGGACACTCCTCTGGCCATCCAGTGGCAGTGTTTAAATGGCAGAAACATTTGCTACCTTGTCTCAGGGAGCTTCGTAGGACTAACGGGTTGATTTACACTCTGCAAGGGAGAAAAACGTCCTCCTCTGAGATGTGTCATCAAAACAGTGACAGCATTGGAAATTAACTGGGCAGGTCCATGTTTCTTCATTTCCTAGAGGTGTCCAAGTGACATTTTCTGCCAGTTTGCTTCATGCAGCCCTCCTCAGATAATCAGAAATGTGTTTACGGGCTTGGGCGTTTGCGTCGTTTGACTAGTGCTTCACGAGGGAAGCCAGCATGTATGGGAGTAAGAAAAACAAATGTTTAAAACACCTGAATGATAGCAATACCTTGTTGGATTATTTACTCACGTTTTGCAAGTATGGGTTTCTAAAACCTGAGAATCTGCTAATTTCTTTCAGATACTCTCCGTAAGTATTATGCATATTGAAAATAACAGAGCTCTCCTCTACTAAAACAAAACTTCAAAAGGGATTTCCAACTGCCATGTGCTGCTTATTGTGGGGTTGCTAGATGCCCCCCTCCCCTTCCCACTACACCAGCCCCTGCCCCGTGGTAGAGAGATCCAGTGTTGGTAACCACAGGTGACCACCGACTCTCTACTCTCCTTTTTGCCCAGGCTGGCCCTGTGCAGGTATTTCATGCCGGAACAATGCTTTTGTTTTTTCCCCTGAAAAATTGTGGGATTAAAGCAACTGGTGGTTTGGGAAGTGTACAAATGCTAAAAATATGTAGAAGTACCCAAGCAGCTTTAAGTGGTGCCATTACCTTCAAAACCAAGCCAGGCACATAGCTCGATAAACATTTGTGCAGTGAATGAATGAAAATGTCAAACCCTTGAACCATGGGGCAGGAAAAATGATCACACAGTAGCTGACTTCTTAAATTCTCTACTTTAGCTTGTTCTTGCTTTAAGAAAAGCGCACATGCCCATGTTAATTTTTAATATCCAGGAACTTCCAAGCCTCAGCCTGAGGCTAACTAGAAATATCAGTGACTCTGGAGAGATCTGGCTAAGTGACAGGAGAAAAAGTGTAGAAACGGCTTCCACCCAAGCATCTGCAGGGAGGTCCCAGGATGTTGAGTGCAATGCTATCAATGACGCTATTTCAAAAGACTTTTTTCCTGACTTCATTTTTTTGAGCTACTTGGATTCCTTCTTTATCTTCTTATCCCATTGCTCGTGACCCCCAGGCTCCTATCACCCCTCGCTATTTTCCTGCTTTCTGGGTTCATCTCTGTCCTCTGGGGACTGGACCACATAGCATATGCCTGACGGTGACCTGGAATCTGGGAGCATGAGGGAGGCTGAGAGAGGAGTGAATGACAGATGGGAAAGCCAAGCAGGGGAAGGGGAGCAGGAACAGGAGCTTTCTACCTGCCCGTCCTGTTGCCCTGCAATGGGGTCGCTGGTGCCTGTCCCTCAGGCTTCAGACCCCGCCCCCCAGACAATGGGGCAGCACCTGGGAGCATGTGACTGTCCTGCCTCTGATGTGCTAGCCATGAGCCCTGGGTGACCAGGCCTTTCCACCATCCCACAGCATCAGGGTGCTCTGCATTCCTGGGTGGCTGCCTCGGTTTCCCTGTTCACAAAGCAGGTCTTAAGCCAGTCCTAAAACGTGTCCTGAGCTGCGGCCTTCTTGGCTGGAACCCTGACCAGTGGGCCTCCCTCCTGCTCAGACAAGGCAGCCTCTCTTGTAGCACCCACAGCTGGGTTATTTTCCAAAGTCCCTTTACACTTTCCTCTGACTCCAGCAGGTGAGTGGAGGCTCTGAGGCCCCTGTGCATCTCAGGGCTGAGCCATTGTGCATGACAGTGGGCTTGGACTGTGCACAGAGACTGTGGGGTCCCTCTTTTCTTCATCCCTCCACTCCAAGGAAGAGGCAGTGCCTCCCAGCTCCCCCCAGGAAGGTTCTAGGAGGGGTGGCAGGTGCTCAGCAGGAGATGAATTTGTTCATAGTGATCTGGCAGCTCCTAGGGCAGGGAGAGGGGAATGGCATTTGGAGAACACGGCTTAGTCCTGGCCCTGCTATTCCTGTGAGTGCGTGTGACACTGTATAGGATGCCTAGCATCTCTGGGGCTCAGGTAGCACACCTGTAAAACCAGTGACCTACTTCTCTTGGCTGCTGCAAGAGTGGGGCGCCCTGGCTGGGAATCGCACTGAGGCTGCATCCTAGCTTTGCTCCCTGGTGGCGAGAACCGGCTACCCCTGCTCCTCCAGCCTCAGAGTCGGGCAGTCTAGTTTCACATCGCTTCCCCTTTGGAGACCAAGAATCACTCTTTATAAAAAGGGAGTGGAGAGGGAGAAATGGTGGCCCAGCCCTCTGGGAGAACCCAGGCAAGGCCTTTGGGTGGGGTATGCTTTTGGGACAATGGCTGTCTCCCTCCCTGCATTGCACCTAGACACAGGCCTGGATCCTAGCAAAGTGGGACTCCTTCTTTAACAATCCCTGGAACAGATGTAAGTGGATGGGACTCCTCGGAGGACACACATAGGAAAGGCTTAGGTGCTTCTAGGAGTATCTCAGGGGGATTTGTAGGAGGAAATCAAAGCTGAAGCAGGAATCATCATTGGAAACCCCTTTGTGACATTAATTACTCCTCTTGGAGATGAGAGCCGTGTCTTCCCAGGAAGCTTTTAATATCCTGCATTATGGCCATGGATGTCTTAGGGCTCCACCAGAGAGAAGAAAGCTCGTCAATTATACATGGCCCGCTGCCCCGAGAGTGACTTGGTATTGACAGGCGGGAGTCTCAGAAGGATGATCTGCTGGGAGAGGGGATGGAATGCGGCTCATTTCTCAGGCTGCCCCAGCCTGGCCTCGCCCCACGTAGGCTGAGCCTCCCCTCAGAAGTTCCTTGGGAGTGAAAAAAATATTATTTGTAGGTTAAAAGGGAAAATAGCTGTTTGGAGATGTGTGCAAAACGGGGCTAGTCAACATGTGTGGACGTGGAGCAGGAAGAGCTTGCTCTCTGGCTTTCCCGGGCCTGGGCTGGACCCTGGAGTTTGGATTTTTAAAAGCTTCTGCAGGAAAGGCCTTGAAGGACATCTAATCCATGTCCCCAGTTTACAGTGAGGCTGCACAGAGGGCAATGCAGTCGCTTAAGGCCACACAGCACGTCACAGAGAGTGAGATGTGGCACAGCTGAATGTGAGCCCAGAGAGGCTGCTTGGAAGGAGCCTGAGAGCCTGAGGTGGGGCAGAGAAAACTGCTCACCCTGCTAGGTTTTGTGGCATCACACATACGGTAGGCCGAATGTCTGCTGGTTGCTCCTGGCCAGGACTTCAAGTGTACTGAGGCCTCCAGACCCTGAGGATCTGGGGAGAGAACCATGACAGCAGAAGAGGAAGGAGACAGCAGGGTCAGAGGAGGGGTGGGAGGAGACAGAGCTAGGCATGTGATGGCGACCTGGGCACAGGAGTGGGAGTTGAAGCCGCCTGTGTCCTCTGCAAAGAGGAGGCTCTGGATAAGTATTTTCTAGGAGCAGACCCTGCACCCAGCAAGGGCTAAGCACTTGTCACATGTCACCTGCTGGCATCCTCTCAATGGCTGCCCAAGACAGGTACAATTGCTATCCTGTTAACTAGAGGTGACAGTGACCCTGGCTGCAAGAGGTCAGGGACCTTTCCCAGGCTCCCAGACAGCAGATGGCAGAGCCAGCCTGGGCCTGTCTTCTTAACTAGACAGTCTGTTCCACCTCCTCCAGCTGTGGGCTGCTCCCATGACCCCATCCCACCCCGCTGTCCCCACCACAGCCCTGCCTTCCCTTCTGGGCCTGCCCTCCCCTTCCAGCATGTGGAGGGAGAGTGCTGGGCTGAAGTCCAGGACCTGGTTCTAGTTCTGCTCCATGGCCCAAACTGTGGTCGCAGGCAAATCGTTTGTCCCCTCTGGGCTGGGCTGTCCCATCTCAGACCTCTCCCGGGCTGGCATTCACCGAGTCCATCTTCTCTGGTGGATTCCAGATGGTTCTCACCCACCTCTCCCACCCACAGGAGCTGGATTCTCCTGAGTTCTCTTGTGACCGCTATCCCCACCCTCAACACCCCCATCCTCATGAGGAGGAGAAGGGGGCCCCAGATCAGCCCTCCAGGCGGGTGTCAGAAGTGGCAAAGTAGTTTCTGTCCACCCTGGGGATTGGCCCCAGTTTTAAATACACACTGGTTAGAAATGTTCTCGGTGCATTTTGAGATTCTCTCCAAGCAGTAGTCATTGCTGAGCACCCTACGGGCAGTTAGGGCAATGTAGGACCAGGACAGGCCTGTGCAGGCACAGCTTGCAGTGCCCTCCAGCCTCCTTTGCCTCTGTCCAGTGCCTGGCCAGCTGAGCAGGGTGTAGGGGTAAGGCTCTGTTGCAAGGAAGGAGTGGCGAGGGAGGGAGGACGATAACCCTGTGCAGGCCTGGCCTTTCCATAGCACGTTGACTCACAGCCACCCATGAGGCTCACTGGGTCATCTCCTTTCCCCAGAAGAGGAAACCAAGGCCAGGAGTCAGGAACAGCGGTGCCACAGTCAGAGGCAGCAGCTGCAGAGTGGGGACTGGAGTCTAGCCTGCCATCCTGAGCCTTGCCCCCAACCTGACCAATGTGGGATCCCAGGCCATGCCAGGAAGCTGCGGCTGAAGCCTGCCCATACCTGGCACTGTCCTCAGTCCTTGTCACCACGGATGACCTTCAGTCCCACTGGCCAGCCCTGCTGTTCTAGGGCCAGGATCTGTGCAGCCCCCAAGAGTGTGTGGAGTGGGGAAGGTGGCCGTCCCAGTGGCTACCTGGTCACGGGGGAGTGGGGAGGGTGGCCGTCCCAGTGCCTGCCTGGTCATGGGGGCCACGGGGCCCATCGAGAGGATGGAAGGAGGCTTTGGAAGGTCAGGCTGGGCTTGGTACTGCCCTGTGAGAGGAAGATAATGGCAAAGGAAGGGGGCATTAGGGCTGATTCTGGACAAGGACTTATGTCTTTCCAAAGGAATGTTGCCACCTGGTCATGGTGAGCATCTAAGCAGGTCACTCTCCTGCCTCCAACCCCTGGAAGCGTGTCATTTCCCATTTTCCTTGGGGGCCAAGGGCCGAGCCCTCAGCATGGCCTGGGGACCACCCCGAGCAGTGGCTGTGGCTGGAGCCTCATCTTTGCCCACACCCAGCTCACCGGCCAGGGCCCCAGTGTCTGCCTCACCGCTGCCTTCCCCTGCCTCTCCAGTCCTGCTGCTGAGCCTCCTGAGAGACATGTCCCTGCTTTCCCCCTCTGCTGACCCCTCCCTCCTTCCCTTTGCACCTTGCTGGGGTTGGGAACAGAGCTCAGCAAAGGAGTGCTCAAGCTTAGAGGAGGAGGCCGAGCTTCTCCCAGCCCGGTCCACCTCCACCGCGGTGCTGGGCTGGCTCTGCAGGGGTGATCCTCTTGGCCCTTGGTGAGGCTGGTGCCCAGCCTGGCATTCTGGGTGGCAAATAAACCATGGACTTCTCAAACCACCAGCTGGCCAAGGCTGCAGCTGAATCCCAACACCAGAGCCTGGCCAGGTGAGGGGGCAGGAATGGCAGCTGTGGCCATGTTTTCAGAAGCCCCTCTGTACCCACAGCAAGGAAAAAAACAAGATGAGGGCCTGGGGTGGGCTGACCAGCCAGTGAGTGCTAACAGGAGGAGCGGCTGGGAGGCTGATGGCTGTGGAATCTTCCAGGGGCCGCTCAGGGTTGAGTGGATGGGGGGTTGGGGAGGGATGATCCTTCCTAGGCCAGAGCGGCTGGAGGGGGTGGGGTGGGGTTGGAGGCCCCGGTGAGCATGGACTGCAGACTGAATAAACAGTTCATTTCTGTAGGCAGCTGCGCCACCCCTCCCCCAGGGTCCCACTGCTGCTCAGGGGGCCTCCTGGGTGAGGCCCAGGTAGGGTGAGGCAAGCCCGGTCTTGCCCACGGGGTCATCACAGGGGCTGCCGCCTACTCCAAAGGAAACCCTGATGGCCGGGGCTTGTCTAAGGAGATTCAGGTTCCCTGGGGCCAGGGTCCCTCAGGTCTCTCAGGGACCAGGGGAGGCTGCAGGGCTGGTGATGCCCCAGGGGGCCAGGCCACTCCCCGCCAGCAGGAGGGCCTGCTTAGAAGGGGTGCCTGGTAGGACCCTGGTAGGAGGGACCCATGGACAGCAGGGTTAACAGATCCCTGGGCCGCTCACTGAGCACCTGTGCTGGACTTGCTGCACCAACCGTGGGCTTGACCCAGTTCATTTCTCCCTCCCAGTCTCCTGGTCTACAAGCCAGAAACCGAGACTCACTCACGTTCTGATCTGGTGCGTCTGGAAGCCTGCACCCCCTTGGTTGGGCCAACTGCCCCTGTTGTCATCCTCTCGATGATGTCCTGAGCATCGGATCTGGAAAACTCTTCTAGGCTTATCCAGTGCAACCCGTGAAGGGTGCATGAGAAAACTGAAGCCCAAGGCCCCAGGGCCAGGGAGGGTCAGAACTGGGAGTGGAGGGGAAGCTGCCTTCCCGACACCCTGACCCAGGCAGTGAGCTTCCTTTAGAGTTGATCTTCCTTTAGAGTTGAGGCCAGCACCTCATGCAGTGGGGACGGAGGAACTGCCAGGGCTCTGTGGAAGACCCAAGGCCCGGGGCCCAGGAGAAGGGCTGCCCGTAGGTCTAGAGGATCCAACAGCTCAGAGGCACACTGGCGTTCCTGATAAAG
The DNA here is from genome assembly GCF_000001405.40 of Homo sapiens. Taxonomy (NCBI): domain Eukaryota; kingdom Metazoa; phylum Chordata; class Mammalia; order Primates; family Hominidae; genus Homo; species Homo sapiens. The sequence goes on along the minus strand of NC_000010.11, from coordinate 124,127,438 downwards.
AAACCTCAGCTCTGAGGTGCCAATTACGAACATTTAGACAAAATGCCAGCTTAAGTTCTCCCCACCGTCAGGCAGGGTTGGCAGAGAGCTAGACCACGGGCCCAGTACAACCAGGAGGCAGAGAGCTAGACCACGGGCCCAGTGCGACCGGGAAGCAGAGAGCTAGACTATAAGCCCAGTGAGACAGGGAGGTAGAGAGCTAGATCATGAGCACAGTGCGACCAGGACTGCTGCTCCCCTGCACACAAAAAGGTGCTCAGGGCATACTGGGTGAGTGGAAGGCGGTGGAGGGGACAAGCTTGGACGTCTGGTCTTGGCCTTGCATCCAGGCTGTCCTCAAATCTGCTCTCGGTCTCCAGTTCCTCATCCCTCACCAGAGGGTAGAGTGAGGCCATCTCTTGGGCTCCTTCCTCAGGCTCCAAAACCTCCCACTTCTGGTATCTGCTGCCATCCCAGAGTGCTCAGGTCTGGCGTCCTCGTGGGTGCATGGAAAAGGCATCCACAGGGACCTTGCAGGAAGGCCCAGGCCACAGGCATCACAGGGCTCCAGCCAAGAGCCCCACGTGCTCACCCTGGGGAAAAGGCTGCTGTGGAGCACGACCAGATGCATCTCTAAGTTCTGCTGCCACAAATGGGCTCTGTGCAGTAGCTGAAGAAAGGCCAGGGTTTTGTAACTGTGAGTTCAAAATGAGAATAGATTTGGTGTCTGGCAAGAATACCATATTGAGGAGTAATTTTTTTCCTGTTATAAATCCATTAGGAAATTAAAAATCTAGGCTGCGACTTTAAAATATGGAATGGAATTTTCTTCTGAGCCCCCTAGGTAAATTTTTTTCCTTGTTAAAGGCAGAAATCTAATGAATCTAAATCTTCTCATTGAGGATAATGTTCCCAGAGGCGACTGCTGTGCCTTAGCTATTCACTGACTTGCAGCTAGGATCAGATTTTCAAAAAAAGGTTAACATAAAATCTGACAATGTTTGCCCTGGGCTGGAACTGAAAGCTGAAGGGTATTAAGAAATACCTACTGTGTGGCAAGACACAATGGGTGCTGGGCCAAGGCGTGGAGAGGGGAGGGGAAGAGGGACGGGAAGACTCTGAGATACGATCAGCCCTCAGCGGCTCCCAGCTCAGTGTGGGAGGCACAGACTGGAGAGAAACAGTACAGAGATGGTTTGACGAATGAGCATATCAACCAGGACAAGTGTACAACCAGGAAAAGTTAGTGTACAACCAGGATTAGTCAGTGTACAACAAGGACAAGTTAGTGTACAACATGTGAACACCCTAACACTCCACCAATCTAGAAATCAGAATAAGCAAACCTGGACCTAGAATAAACTTGAGAAGTGGATCTGGGGCTGCAGAGAGAAGCCAAGTCGGGTTCTGCAAACCCTGGCATTTGACTGTGTGGGCAGAGCAGCTTCGGTCCTCCCTCATTATCTGTTCTTCTATGAAGGATTGAGTGGCAGCAGCAGCACCTCCATCCTCACCAACAGAGCCACCAACAGCAGCATGAACCAGAGAAAAGACCCACGGCGAGGCCCAGGGCTGAGAGCCTCACGCGCCACCTCCGATGGAGCAGGTGTCTTCATGTTAGCTCATGCCCCTAGTGGTGATCTTAAACTATCAAGAAAATTGCAGTCATCCTATTACGTGAGAATCCAAGAAATGCACAAAACATTTTATCAAGGTTTTTGATCAATGTGGTTGAATTTTAAAAACGTGTATCACTGGTCTGGGATAGTTGATTTCATTGGATGCACATTCTCCAACAATGCTGGCTGAAGTGCAAGTGTGTGTGTGTGTGATATGTGTGAGTGTATGTATGGTGTGCATTGGTGTATGTGTGAGTGTGTGTGGGTGTATGTGTGAGTGTGTGTTGGTGGATGTGTCAGTGTATGTGTGAATGTGCATGTGGGGGGAGGGGTTATATGTGTGAGTGTGTGTTGGTATGTGTGTGTGGGAGTGTGGGAGTGTGAGTGCGTGTGTGGGGGTTATATGTGTGAGTTTGTATGTTGGTGTATGTGTCAGTGTGTGGAGTGTATGTGTGACAGTATATGAGGGTGTATGTGTGAGTATATTGGTGTGTCAGTTTGTGGGGATGTGAGTGCATGTATGTGGGTGTGTTATATGTGTGAGTGTATGTGTGAGTGGATTTATGTGTATGCGGGTGTTGGTGTATGTCTCAGTGTGTGTGTGTTGGTGTGTCAGTGTGTTTGTGGGTGTGTGGGTGGGAGTGCATGTGTGGGGGAGGGGTTATATGTGTGAGTGTGTGTGTGTTGGTATATGTGTGTGTAGGAGTGTGAGTGCATGTGCGTGGGGGGTTATATATGAGTTTGTATGTTGGTGTGTGTGTGTGCATGTGTATGTTGGTGTATGTGTGTTTGTGAGTGTGTGTGTGTTGGTGCATGTGTGTGTTTGGGTATGTGTGTGTTGGAGTATGTTTGAGTTTGTGTGTGGGTGTATGTGAGTGTGTGTTGGAGTATGTGTGCGTTTGTGTGTGGGTGTATTGTGAATGTGTGTTGGTATATGTGTGAATTTGTGTGGGGATGTATGAGTGTGTTTGGGGGGCATGAGTGTGTGTGTGTAGGTGTATGACTGCATGTGGGGTGTGTGTGTGTGTGTGTGTGTATTTGCTGACTACTGAAGTGCCAAGGAGATGTCAACCATGGGCGTAAATAGTCAGGAAGGGTTTTAAAGAGAATGGGAATTTGCGATGACCTGAAAGGTGGGGAGAGTGCGTTGTAAGCAGGAAAGGCATAAACACGTGAACATACTGTTTTGACCTCCAAAATCAGTTAACAGTTTTCTCAAAATATTTTTGCATAACTTGGTTGCATCTAAGCCCTATCAACAAAAAGACATCGCCTTGGCAAACCTCCCAACAGGGCCATTGGAGGTTTAAGAATGCTACAAGGAACTTGTAGATGTAATTCCTGAACAGGGAGCTCTGTCATAGAATCTATGCAGTGCTAGGAGACCAGGTTATGGTTCCTTCTCTGCCCCTGCCTAGCTGTGTGACCTGGTACGATGATCTTTCTGGGTCTCATTTTCTGTAAAGTCTGTAAAATGAGGAAGTTTGTCTAGACACCAGAGGATCGTGATCAGAGTTTGTATCAGAACCACCTAGGATGCTTTTTCAAGATGTGCATGTCCAGACCATACACGAGATCTACTGAACCAGGACATCCGGGGTGGATCTCAGGGGACCTAAGATGTCAAAGAAGGTCCACACGTGATTTTAGTTGTGAGCCAAAGTTGGGATCCTATTGTGTTAGATAACACTGGCTCCTGTAACAAACAATGCCTCAAATCTCACTGTTCAACATGATCCAAGTTTGTTCTCATTCATGTGTCAATCCGTGCAAATGCACCAGCAGCCAGCCAGCTTCCAGGTGATGATCAGATGACCCTGCCTCCTCTGTCTTGTGTCTGTCATCTTCAGTGTCATCTTCAGCTACCTCCATGGTCTCAGTGGGGTCATCTCCATGCTGGTGAGCTGGAAGGGGAGAGAGTGTGGAACATACTATGTGGAAATGTGTCCATGGGCCAGGCCCAAAGTAGTGCACACCACCCCCACTTCTATCCCAGTCACCAGCCATTCCTACTGCACGGCTAGCTGCGGAGGGGGGTTGTCCACAGGAAGCAGGGAAATGGGTTAGGGTCACGGCTGTCAGTCTCTGCCACCAAACTAACATGAATAATTTTTTTCTTTTTGAGATGGAGTTTCGCTCTTGTTGCCCAGGCTAGAGTGCAATGGCATGATCTCGGCTCACTGCAACCTCCGCCTCCCGGGTTCAAGCGATTCTCCTGCCTCAGCTTCCCCAGTAGCTGGGATTACAGGCATGCACCACCACACCCGGCTAATTTTGTATTTTTTGGTAGAGTTGGGGTTTCTCCATGTTGGCCAGGCTGGTCTCGAAACCCCTGACCTCAGGTGATCTGCCCACCCCGGCCTCCCAAAGTGCTGGGATCATGGGTGTGAGTCACCGCACCGGGCCCATGAATAATTTCTAAGATTCTTTTTAGCTGCAAAGTTCTGGAATGTTTATCTTTTTGCTGCCACAGTCCTCACTAAGAACCTCTACAAAGAGCTAGTTTCTTTCCACCTCGCATTCGAGTGTTTATCTGTGTCATCATCCGCCCCAGATGGTGCTGTCCCTGAAGCAAGGGTTGCACCTTATTCATCATTGCTTCTGTTCCCCAAAGCACCTAGCGCAGTCTTTTGCACATATTATGAACATAATATTAACTGAGTGAGTGACTTAAATGCATGATTTAGAAAAAGTTCATTAGCCCAAGGAGGAAGGGCAGGAGGCCTGGTGTCTGCAGACACAGGATCCGTCACAGCGCTGTCTGGTACTCAACTCTAGAGCCCTCCTCAAGCCTTGGTTTCAGTAGAATTTGGCAGCAGCAGAACGGGCCTCATTAAGTTGTTGAAAGGATTAATGAGATAATGGTTGTGAAGTGCTGAGCACAACATCTGGGTGAACAACTGCATCTCCTTTCATCTTGGCATGGGCTCGTGCTACCTCGAGACAGTCTCCGCAGAGGTCATATTCACAACCGGCAGGACCGGGACTGATCAGCTCCATTTCGTATTTGCAAACGGCCTGGAAGTTTGGCATCATGGAAAATCACAACTAGGATGGTTGATACTTTATCCAGGGGGCCCAGCAGACTCTTGTGAGGTCCTGGCAGGATGAGGGACAACGTAACTGTCGCTAGAATTCCTCATATTATGCAGTGCTTTGTGGTACTCATGGATCTTTTACATTTGTTTTCCCAGTTCAGGGTTCAGAAAACATAGTAAAAATTTTAGGCTTTGCAGGCCATAGAGTCTCTGTCACGACTACACAACTCTGCTGTTTTAGTGTGAAAGCAGACACGGACAATGTGTGAATGAATGGCTGAGGTCATTTTGTGATGAGGTTTGATTTACACAGACAGGTGGCAGGTCGGATCTGGCCTGCTCACAGCCCCGCTGAAGGCTCAAGCTTGGTCACCTCGGCGTCACGCGACTCTTCCTGCCGCAGCTGATGGACCAGGGGTGACGGAACCCAAGACCAGCCAGGGTTTGGCCAGTGACCAGTCAGATTCTTTCCTTGGAGAACTGGAAATACCAAGTGAGCACATGCAGGCCGATCTGCCTACTCACTCTGCGTCCYTTTTGCTTCTCAGTGCCTGGGYGTGGTGGCACCTTTCGGATACCCAGTCAGATGGAGGAATGGCCCAAGCAACCTGGAGACTAGTAGAGGGAATGTCAGCACTGCAAGACCCTGCACACTGGATCCTGCACACCGGGTCCTGCACACTGGATCCTATATGCTGGATCCTGCACACTCAATTCTGCACVGTGGGTCTGATCAGAAGAGAAAGCAGAGAGGCCATGTCGCCCAGGAAGAAAGGAGAGGGGAACGGTGAGGCAAAGAGAGACAGAGGCAGAGACAGAGATGGAGACAGAAAGACACTGAGTCCTGTTGACATTCCAGCTCCACCTGAATTCTGCTGATTCTTAAGATAAACTCCCCTTTCTGAGCTTTCTCGTGTGGGTTTCTGTCCTGGCCAAAGCAATGGTGTGGTGAGAATCAGGATTCAGGCTTCCCAAGTCTATCCRGGCAGTTTTCTGCTATCAACAGCTCCCAACCCTTTACCTTATAGTCTGTGAGTGGCTCTCCCAAAACCCCTGGGCTCTTCCACGTTGGACATGGAAGCAGGCTTCCTGAGAGCGTGGCCTCAAGTCCTGGGTGTCCTGGGCTCCATGCTGTTCCAAGCTCCTGACACCTCACTGCATGCCATCCTCCCACCCCGAGACTCACTCTGGGCCTGGAGAGCTCCTGGGGGTCAGGACGTACCTCAGGCCACCCCATCCATGGGTGGGCTCACTCCACAGCCTGTCCACACCACACACACACACACACACACACACACAC